>NC_000014.9:39308682-39611713 GCF_000001405.40 Homo sapiens
AATTTATGATTAGATTGTATTTCATCAACTTATTTTTAAGAAAGGTATTTGATCTGGAGACACTTTTTTTCAACAAAGAAAATATTGTAAGTGATGTTGGAATTTCCAAGCTAGTTAACAGAATCCTCTTTAGCTCCTAGTAAGTAGTCAGCAACTTATTGCCTTAAACTTCCTAATACTGGCAGGGAATCTGAATGGACACTCTTGATTAAACTGCCCATTAATTCCATCTCTGATATATGTAAAACTGATTTTTCTGTTCTGTGCAAATTGCTTCTGCCCAGGTGTTCCTTGGCTTAGTAAATGGCAGTGTCCTTTACTTAGTTACTTAGGGTGGCACCTCAAGCTGTTTTTGACTTCTCTCTTGCTTTTATATCTCCTATTTATTCTGTCATTAAATCCTGTCAGCTTTTTTATAGCCTGAATCTGACCACTTTTTACCATCTTCCATATTAGTCTAGTCCAAGTCATCAACAGTTAATACCCGGCTTATTATAGTAGCCTTATGGGTAGTCTCCTTCTTTCCGCCCTTTCTCCTGCACTGTGTTTTCTCTGCAACATGCAGGATGACCCTTAAAATGTGAATTGTGAGTATGGTCACTCTCGTGCTCAAAATCCCTGAGTGCCTTTATATCACACTCAACCCACAGCTTTTATATCTTGGCCTACAAGACAGTACAGGATTGGACCCTTGGCCACCTCTTTAATTTTAGCTTATTCATGTTCTTTTTCCTCTCAGTACCCTCCATCCAGCACTGGCCTTTTTGATGCTCTTCAGCACATTGACCTTAGGGTCTTTTGTGCTTGTTCCTTCTGCCTGGAATGATGTTTCCTTATATATTTGAATGGCTCAGTTCTTCATTTTATTAGGCCTGGGTTCAAATGTTACCTCAAAGAATCCTTCCCTGGCTACTCTAACTAAAATAATACCTGCTACTCTTTATTCCCTTATTTTGCCTCATGGCTCTTATTGTCCTCTGATTGATTGCTTTTCTTTCTTTTATCTTCCTTATGTTAAATACAAGCTCTGAGAGAAAATTATTTTCTTCACTTCTGTATTCCCAGTGCCTAAAGCTACATGAGACGTGTGGTAACTGTTCAGTACATGTTTGTTGAATATATGTACAAATATGTTCAGTGCCTTTATATATTGGAGTGAAGGAGTGTGTGTGTGTACATGCTGTTGCCTAAATGCCTAAGTACACTGAAGACCCTTGAGATATCTGAAGACTCTAGATTTTCAAATAGTGCCATGGCATGTATTTTTTTTTTTTTTTATCATAAAGGGTAATAAAATGTAACAGACTTTCAGGTTCCTTTAGGCTCTTAATGATAGTTATTACAGTTGTTCCTTATTATTTATAGAATCTGTATTTGTGAATTGACTTACTAGCTAAAATTTATTTGTAAATCAGATCAGTACATGCAAAGCTTTTGTAGCCATTCATGGACATATTCAGAATGATGAAAAATTTGAGTTGCCCAATGTGCATGTTCCCAGCTGAGGTCAAACAAGGTGACACTCTGCTTTCTTGTTTCAGCTCTCATTCTGTAAACAGGTGTCCTTTTTACAGTATATTTAGTGCCTCATTTTTTACATTTTTATGCTTTTTGCTGGTGATTTAGCTGTTTAAAATGCCCCCTAAGCATAGTGCTGAACTGCTATGTAGTGTTTTTAAGCACAAGAATGCTGTGATATGTGTTATGGAGAAAATACATGTGTTAGATAAACTTTGTTTAGGCATGAATTACAGTGCTTTTGGCTGTGAGTTCAATGTCAATAAATTAACAATATATATTAAAGAAAGTATCTTTAAACAGAAGCACACAAAAAAACAAGGTTATATATTGATTGGTTGATAAAATTGTTGTGACCAGAGGCTGTAGCAGGAAGCTAACCCTGTATTACCCTTAGGAGCAGTGATCTAGTATTTGCTAATTTACGATGTATAGTGACTTTATGGAACAAAACTAGCACAAATAATGAGAATCTACTTTATCTATTTGGAAACTGGTAGAGAGTACTAATGCTTCTTTGAGATCAGGATGCTGGGTAGTGCTTGGCTCATTCACTGCCAAGTTCTGTACTTCAGTCATGATTTGGATTCAGTTCACAGTTAAAAAGCTGTTATTTGTTATGGCCCTTTGGCCCTTTGGGACTGCTCAGGGTATGCAAGAGACTAAACGTGACAAAATGGAAGAATTACAGTATAACTTCAGGGTTTTTCAGCCAGTATACCTAGGAGTGGGCCCTTCTTTTTAGGTTAGAATGAAAGGTATTAAAGTAAAACTTGGATATAAAAGTGATTGAGGTGAAAGAAATATTTTTGAGTGTATCTTTTGAATAAAAAAAGTATATGGTTGATTATAGAATTTTGATGAGTAATGTTTAACATTTCAAAGAAAAGGTATTTTCTTTAGATTTTTAAAGGAAGGATAGGAAACTGAGTAGTACCCTAGTTGTGTGTGTTGTTCACAGGATTTCATTCATTAGTTTAAAATTATTTTAAATTCCTAAAATATTTTACATTTCCTTCTTATATTTAACTAGCAAGTAGTTTATATTACTGAAATTCAATGAATTATGCCATTGGCACTTCTTCAGAGTAGAATATTGAGTTGATAGTACCAGTGAAGTGTTAAATTTATATTCTTGCTGCATATAGTATAATTTAAGTTCAGTCTGGATGTTGGCTTGATGTTTTTCATGACTGATATACCATTTTCCCAAATTTAATAATGGAAACAAATGAAATGGTAGGACCTAGAAGCTTGATGTGTTGCTTTTTTTTTTTTTTTTTTTTTTTTTTGGTGAGATGAAGTCTTGCTGCGATGCCCAGGCTGGAGTACAATGGTGTGATCTTGGCTTACCACAAGCTCCGCCTCCCGGGTTCACGCCATTCTCCTTCCTCAGCCTCCCGAGTAGCTGGGACTACAGGCGTGCGCCACCACTCCTGGCTTATTTATTTATTTTTTTTTGTATTTTTAGTAGAGGTGGGGTTTCACCTTGTTGGCCAGGCTGGTCTCAAACTCCTGACCTCTAGTGATCTGCCCACCTTGGCCTTTCAAAGTGTGGGGATTATAGGCATGAGCCACTGTGCCTGGCCCTTGATGTGTTACTTTAAATATATATGATGGTTTTTGTGTGTGTGTGTTTTTTTTTTTGAGATAGAGTCTAGCTCTGTCGCCCAGGCTGGGGTGCAGTGGCACGATCTCGGCTCACTGCAACCTCTGCCTCCTGGGTTCAAGCAATTCTCCTGCCTCAGACTCCCGAGTAGCTGGGATTACAGGTGCGCGCCACCATGCCTGCCTAATTTTTGTATTTTTAGTGGAGATGGGGTTTCACCATGTTAGCCAGGCTGGTCTCGAACTCCTGACCTCATGATCTGCCCACCTCTGCCTCCCAAAGTGCTGGGATTATAGGCATGAGCCACTGCACCCGACCAAGATATGATATTTTTAAGTCATATCATCAGGTCTCCTTTCACAGTGTAATTTCTATTATTAATAGGCCCACCCAAATTCAATGGGAAGGTACATAAACCTCACCTTTTATCAGGAGAGGTGTCAAAGAATTTCTGGCTATCTTCAGTCTACACAGTCTGTAAAAACACATCTCTCTTCCATATCCATGCCCGTCGCACTTTCGTGCTTTTCCTAAGGAGATGACTTATTTTCTTATAACATCCATGAAAGTGATTGACCTTAGGGAATGCTTTCTAAGCAATAGGTAATGTAGTGTGTAGAATACAAAATATTTACTGCCATACTGCAAGACTTCTTCAGTAGTTTGTCTTGTTCTTCTCAAAGTTCATGAAGAAGGGAAGATATCCATTTAGGACTCCAAATGTGTTTTCCTGTGGTGTTCAATAAATATTTCTTGGGTGACCAAGATATATTAATGATAGTATGTGAAATGAAACAACATGGGTATTATAGCATAAAAGAGTCACTGCTTATGAGCTCTAGGCTTTGGTTTAATTATTTCTCTGTGCTTCATTGTCGTTTTTGTAAGATGGGATAACAGTACCACCCTTCTTGTAGAGCTGTTGTGGTAATTAAATAATACATGTAGAAGTCTGAGAACAGTTTTTGGCACATACTAATGGCTCAATAAGTTATCTATTATTATTATTAATAGAATTAGATGTAGTAAATAGGACTGCTACTACTACTGTTTACTTTGGTTTCATTGTAATTATAATTGTGTGTGTGTGTGTGTGTGCGTGTGTGTTTACTTGCCTGGAAGCCTAATCACTAACCAATATAAAAATTAACGAAACACATTTTATTAATTGGTGACTTCTTACTAGCAAATGTAATGCTTGTTTATACAGAAAGACTTGATAAGTGATAGTCATAATAGTTTTTATTAAATATATCTTTGATCCTATTTTTAAGATAAATTTATATAGAAAACTCTTGAAACTATTAGTAGTTCTGTATTAGACACAATGCTTTACAATTTCGGTTTATAATATTAAATTCAACACCAGGAATATTTACACAGATACTTTTTTTTTCCTTGTAGGTGATGTTTTCAGTGGTATTTTAGAAATCATTTGACAGGAATCACCAGTTTTTTCACAATTAAAAATATAGAATTGATTATCTTTTGACATGTATTAAGAGAATTATAACATTTTTTGTTTTTAAGGAAATTAACAGTAGAGGAAAATTATCGGTTAGAGAAAGAAGAGAAACTTTCTAAAGTAGATGAAAAGATCAGCCATGCCACTGAAGAGCTGGAGACCTATAGGTATTAAATACATTTTTCTGGTTTCTTTTTTGGAATGGGAAGAGTATCTAAAAAACTTAATGCCAGAAAAATAATAAATCAAATGAAAATAGAAAACATTTTAAAATCTGACAGGTGGTACAGACAAAAAAATAATATATTTTTGTCTCATCACTTTTCATTCAGATTTCTTGGTCTTGAGCAATTATACAGAAAATATAAAGAGGAAAAATGTTTTTCTTTCAGGTTGTGTGATTTTTAAAATCTCTCAAAGTTGAATATGGACAATTCTATTTTATGTTAGTGTCAATATGAATAGATATTAATTTTAAGGTCCTTCCTCATTGGTTCAAATTGAGAAGAATGTATGTAATATTAGTGAATCAATAGGTGTGCCACAAAAAGAAGAGTGAGCCATAGAGCATTTGGAAGTATTTAAAAGACTATAAATCTAGATTTTACCTTGGTTTGATCCTTACTAGATCCCAGGAAATAGAAAATATAGAGAAAAAAAGATTCAGCAGTATCCCAAATAGTTGTGATACTTCATTTTACCTCAGAAAGAGCAAGCTTGCTTTTTATCCAAAATAAGTTATCTTGTTAATCTCACAAAAGTACCAAGTAACATTTTACTTCACAGTGGTTGCTAATTTCCTAGAATTCTATTAAGACTACCCACATCTGGCCGGGCATGGTGGCTCACGCCTATAATCCCTGTACTTTGGGAGGCCAAGGTGGGTGGATCATCTGAGGTCAGGAATTCGAGCCCAGCCTGGTCAACATGATGAAACCCCATCTCTACTAAAAATACAAAAAATTAGTTGGTCGTGGTGGTAGGTGCCTGTAATCCCAGCTACTCAGGAGACTGGTGCAGGAGAATCATTTGAACCCTGGAGGTGGAGGTTGCAGTGAGCCGAGATTACGCCACTGCACTGCATACTGGGCAACAAGAGCGACACTCTGTTTAAAAAAAAAAAAAATGACCAACATCTGAATAAATCTTCTAGGATCATTCTTCTTAAAAATAAAAAAAAAACAACACAATATACCACGTAAATATTTATGTGACTTTGGGTTTAGGTAAACTCAAGTAGTAGTATTAAGTTGTAATCAATGTTAAAATTAGTTTAGGAAAAAATATACTGTAGAACCTGTCAGAGGTGATTATTTCTTAATGTGGAGTTCTGGAGTTTTTTTTTTTTTTTTTTTCATGAAGTAGAGCATTCTGGGTTTTCTAATAAATATTTTTTTAGTAGAGAGTATGTTCTGTCATTTCATGTTATATGTTAATAGTAGAATAATTATTCGTTCCATTTAGAAAGCGAGCCAAAGATCTTGAAGAAGAATTGGAGAGAACTATTCATTCTTATCAAGGGCAGGTATATATATATGTGTGTGTGTGTGTGTGTGTGTGTGTATATATATATAATTTAAAACAATTCTGATTTCTTTGAATTGATGCAGGAATATAATTACTTGACCAGTTGTATACCTCTTTTGAGGTGTTGCATGTGGCTGTGGGACATTTCCCAGGAGCCAAAGATTCTGAGATAAGAAATCTTATTTAAAATTGCTGTATTGGCTGGGTGCAGTGGCTCACACCAGTAATCCCAGCACTTTGGGAAGCCGAAGTGGGTGGATCACTTGAGGTCAGGAGTTCGAGACCAGCCTGGATAACATGGCAAAACCCTGTCTCTACTAAAAAAAAAAAAAAAAAAAAAAAAAATACAAAAATAGCCGGGTATGGTGGCACATGCCTGTAATCTCAGCTACTTGGGAGGCTAAGGCAGGAGAATCACTTGAACCCTGGAGGCAGAGGTTGCAGTGAGCTGAGATCACGTCACTTGCACTCCAGCCTGGGTGACAGAGTGAGACTCCGTCTCAAAAAAAAAAAAAAATAAAATAAATAAAATTGCCGTATCTCCTGCTGCTTTGGGAAGGTAGATTGCATCACATAAATGTGTATCAACAGTGGGGTCTCATACTCAGTCAGGCTAGTTATATGTTAACTGGCAATTCCTGTTGATTATTACATAAAGTAAAAGTTTACCAAACAAAAAATTTAATTGTCTTTACATTCAGTTTTTGTTTTAAAATATAATAGATTATGTATACATGAAAATTTGCTTTAAAAATGTTGCCTACTCTTCAGAGATGCTTGGGATAGTTTTGAGTTGTGCACTACATCATAGTGGTAGATGTGAATGTTTTTTACTTAAGAAAAATAATGGTCAGTAGCATTTTAATTACTTTCTTTTTCAGATTATTTCCCATGAGAAAAAAGCACATGATAATTGGGTAAGTTTAAAATTTCCTTAAGTCTCTTTTGTCAAATTGTATGTTTTTTTCAGAAGATACGTTGTTTATTTAAATTAGATGAAAATAAATATAGTATTCTAAAAAATCAGTTTCTTTTAATTTTACAAGTAGTGAAATTATGTTCCTTGTGAACTAGTTTGTTCCAACACAGTTATTAGAAAAATCTGATTTTTCCTTCTTTGCTTTTATCACATTGCTTCTTTGAAAGGAGTTTATACTCCATGGGGAAGGTGATATAATGTTCATGGACTGATTGTTCCAGGGCACTGGATTGCCACTAATTAGTTGTGGACAAGCTACTTAAAATTCTTTGGGCCTATTTCCTCATTTGTGTAACAATGGGATTAGATTAAGTGATCTTAGAAGCCCCTTCTAGTTCTAAAAGTCATAAAATTCAGTTACCTGATCCTCAGTGTTGAATTACTGGGTACACATTAAGAAAAGGGTCATCATGAGAAATAGTGTATTTGTGCTCCAGAGGAACTAACTGTGTGAGGAAGTGATGAGGATGCAGATTTTGACTAATTATAAGAAAGACACTGTAACATATAGGACTGTTGTAGTAGCTGGCCTTTGGAGTACTTGTCACTAGGAGTCTTCAGCAGTAGGCAGTTTGCACAGTGGGTGAATACATGGAGTTTGGAATTAGGCTGTCTTGGCTCATGTCCTGGCTTCATCACCTATCATCAGTTTTCTTACGTGTAAGATAGAGATAGCAGTAGTACCTATTTCATAGGGTTATTGTGATGATTAAATTCATGTAAGGTTGTTGCCAAATGCCTGACACACAGTATACATTCAGTGAATGTTAACTGTTGTTATTGTTGTAGTGAAGCTTGGTAGGTATTTCTTAGACATGTTGGAGTGGAGATTCCAGCCTAGGGTGAGAGATTAGGTGTGGTGAATGTCTAGGTCCTCCTCAGTTGTAAGATTCTGTATGCTTTAGTATTGAGGGTTCAAATGAAAATTTGTTACTAAATTAAGCTGGGCTTGGAGATGAATTTAGTTAACCACTGCTCACCACTTGTAAAATACTTAGGTGTAGATTACTCTTTGAAGATGGAGAGGTCCACACACAGTCCCAGGGTAAGACGGTAACCAGGCTGTTTCTGGAAGGGCAGCAGGAACATCTTACAGATCTTACAGAGACACTGACTTGTAAAGATTAGAATGAAAACCACAAACAACAATGGCCAAGAAGGGAATATGCTGAGGTCCAGAGGTAACAATTCCACATCCCTCCCTCACCGCTGCGTATTTAGTGAAGTCTTCTAAGGTAGATAAAGGTTATCTCAGATGACATGGGTAGAGGCTACAAAGAGACAGTTAAGCAGTTGGATATAAAGATCGGGACAGCCAGATGACACCTAGGATATATCTGTCCTCACGTGTTCTAGAGCACAGGGCAGGCAGGAAAACCCAAGGAACCACAGGCTAAAGAATTACATATCAGGAAGGTCACTTGGGAGAAGCTCCACAGACAAGGTGTGTTTTTAGCTGAATTGGGATTGGTAGAGGGAATGAAAGTGACACTGAGCAGTAGCTTGTCACACGCTCCAGAGCTGAGCTACCCACAGGAGCAGACGGGTCTGGGCAGAAGACAGTTAATAGGAGAGGCTCATATTAGTTTCTGAAAAGTCACATGGTAACAGAGTTTAACTTGTTTTTTAGGGAAAAAGTGTTCATTTCAATGAACTAATCACCCAATCAGATAGAACCCAGGCTGGCTGAGTTTAGAGTCCATGAGGCTCTGAACGTTTGACCCCAGGGTGGATGGGGACAAGGACATGGCTCACACTGTCAACTTTAGAGATTTGAGGGTAGGGGGATAATAAAGTCTCAACTACACAAAAAGGATGTTTATTAAAATCTCTTGTGTCCTAGGCACTGTACTTAAAGGCCTTTTACATACATTACTTGTTCAATCTACTCAGTAACTGTAAAGTTGGTACTATAATCCCAGATTTATGGATGAGGAAACAGCCGAAGGTCATGGACTAGAGGGTAAAGAGTGGGTATAGAAATTCTGATCTTTCAGAGTCTAAGTCTTACACTTTTTCTTACTTCAGTGATTATGATTTGTATACCATTGTTGTGATATATATATATTTTTAAGAAATTTAATGAATGTTTATATTGACATATTTATGCTTATTTTTTAAGTTTATATAAATATATTTTTAAAATGTGTTATTTTCTTCAAGTTGGCAGCTCGGAATGCTGAAAGAAACCTCAATGATTTAAGGAAAGAAAATGCTCACAACAGACAAAAGTAAGTATCTTAGTGGGAACATTTAAAATTAGTTATTCTGTTATTTCGTTAATTAGGTAATACTTTTATAAGGTTAAGCAAGAAAACTTGCAGTGAATCCAGCATATCTTGTGAGATATCTATTAGTTTTACTAGGAATGTCTAGTTTGTTTTGTCTGTTGAAGTACTTGTCTTAGGTCACTGAAGTGGCACTTGGAGGAAACTGTTAACAGATTATTCTGCAAAAAGTATAACTAGAATTTTTTTTAAACCAGTGTAGATGGATGGAGGTAAAAATGGATGGAAAGAGAAGGGGTGAATCTCTCTGACATAGTAATGCCCAGAATATCAGCCTCTTTTAATGGATAAGTAGATAGGATAATATTCATTAATTTCTCTCATTTCCTGGTTTTGTAGTATTGGGTGACATTGTTTTACAATAATAAAATGAAAGGTAGAATAAAAGTCTACAATGTACAATAGCAGGGAAGAATAAGTGCTTTTCTGTGAAGATGATAACAGTCTTCCTAGAGTGTTATAATTTCTTGTCACAATGTACTGTTAACATTATCCAATATTAGTTTTTAGTCCTCTTGCTTGTCTTTTCTAGTCTCAGAAATTAAAATCAAATTATTAAATGTTTTATATCTCATGATTAAGAACTAGAAATAAGATTCTTTTAAAATGTCACATTTGTAGGATAAAAAGTTTACGAGTAAGATAGTAGGACAAATTAATGGGATTTCCAGTGTTGTAACTGGAATCATGAGTGTCACGTTACAATGGAAAGCATACATGACTCAAAGCCAGGAACCCTGTGTCTTAATCCAGGCACTTTCATTGTGAATAAATATTTAAACTCCTAGCCTCAGTTTCCTTAGTTGTAAAATGATAGACTGGTTGACCTTGGAGGACTCTTGTATTTCAAAAATTTGGATTCTGTGATATAGTACTCATGGTAGTCTAGTTTTGAAGAAGAAATAAAACAATTGTAAGGCTCCACATAACATCACTATCTCTAGGGCAGCAAGAAACTGATTACCCTAGTTAATAAGCAGTGGGAGATAAAGGTGTTTTGGTCAGAATAATTTTAGAGGATCTGTTTGTTCTGTGTAGATATTAAAATAGTGAAGAGCAGCTTGTAGTTGGTAGAGGCATTTTTTCTTGTGGTGCTTCTCTTGGATGAGTAACTTAGAGATGTTTGTTCTTTATTTGCAGATTAACTGAAACAGAGCTTAAATTTGAACTTTTAGAAAAAGATCCTTATGCACTCGATGTTCCAAATACAGCATTTGGCAGAGGTAGTCTTTTTTTTTTTACCCCTCATTTAAAATACATATTTTACATATATATATATATTGCACATATAGTTTCTATTAGTGTAAGTTAACACTGTTATTTATATAAATATTTTAGATTTTAGAACCAAGGTTCTAGACTAAGCTTTCTCATAGACTCACAAGCTTCTAGGTTTTGTTTCCTGTGCAGTAATGAAAATTACTGTTGCTTTTATTTCTCAGTGGGATTTTGTAAGATGATACATATTTAGTACTTTGAGCTCCTTGAAAAGCTAGGTGCTTGGCACATAGTAAGGTACTCATTAACAATTTTCTGTGAGATTGAATGAATAAGGAGTGCTTACATGGACTAGCATTGTGACTGTTTATATATTAACTATACTTTGGAATTTGCTTGTTTAATAATTAAAAAATAGTTTCTAATTATTTAAAAGTATCAATTTAAAATGTGGGAAAAACTCAGTCTGAGGTTTGATTGCTTTAATTACCCTCAAGGGAGGACCAATTTTTTTTGTAAGATATATTTAATATTTCTGTCCATTGTTGAGTTAGGGTCTGCAGTGATCTCAAACTATTGCAAACAGTTTAAATTTTTTCATAATAATTTTGGTTGAATTGGAATTAAGCTTCTAAGGTACTGAAAAATCTATATATAGGTAGAATTCCATTTTAATAACCTTGGAAAGTTATAAAAATCACTTTTGAGAGTAAAATTTCATTAAAATGAAAGTCTGTTTCTACATTTAAAAAATATTAGATTATTACGAATTTCAGGTAGTAACAAAGTTTGGATTGGGGTGAAGTATATAGAAGGATTTTTTTTTGTCTGAATCCAACACAAAATTTCAAGAAGGGTAACTAATGCTTTGATCTTTTCTTGTAGCTGGTTTGAATATTATACCAGCTACACTCATGTTTTAAATTTAACATGTTTTAAAAATGTTATTTTGGTGGTTTTTGTTTGTATTTTGTTTTTGATTTTTGACTTTGGAAACAAAACCATTATTTGAGAGTGGTGAAGTTTGTAAAGTGGTAGGTGTCTTGGCTGTATAGATTATAGATAAAGTGATTTAGTTGATAAATTAGTATTTGTAAGCTGACTTTTTACTGGTAATGAATCAAAAGTAAATTGTGATCTTGCTTCAGAGTATTTTATGCATTTTTCTCCTCTTCATAATCTGAGCATTATTTAAACAATTCATGGCCCAATACAGCCTATCTGGCCCTGATTTAAACTGAGTACTTCTATGTTGCAACTCTCACCAGCTGAAATGTCTGGGTGCATACTGCCAGTAAAAACAAACCAAAAAAAAATCTAACTTTATGCTCCTATAACTCTAAGATATATCTCCAATATCCTTTGCTTAATATAAATGATTATTTATCATGATCTTTTTATTCCCAGTTCGTTGATGTTTTTATTGCTTAAAGTGTCTATTTGATAGACAAATATCGAAAACACCAGGGTCTGTATTTAATTCTGTTCTATATTAGCAAAATCAAAGGATACATTCAGGACATAGATTAAACTTAAATTGGCAATAGGATGACCTGATGGTAATTGTCGAAATGGGATTCTAACTCTGTAGTGTAGCTAAGTGAAACTATGAATTTAAATATGCTGTTTTAATTATTCCAGAGCATTCCCCATATGGTCCCTCACCATTGGGTTGGCCTTCATCTGAAACAAGAGCTTTTCTCTCTCCTCCAACTTTGTTGGAGGGTCCACTCAGACTCTCACCTTTGCTTCCAGGGGGAGGAGGAAGAGGTATATTGTTTAAACATCTTTATTACTCTAGATTTCTTCCTTACTTTATATTTTCATCTCAACTTACCTTAAAAATGATCTGTAAAATATTTGGAAAATACAGGCATTCCTTGCACTTACTGTAGATAACTTTTATTTGGAAAAGGAGCTCTATGACATCTAATTTTGATGTATTTTTCTCTTAGAAACCGTGCTATATTAGATAACATTTTGATCAAGGACTTGATGTGTATCTTTTTATTTATTTTTCTTTTTAATTTTAATTTTTATTTTTTGAGATGGAGTCTTGCTCTTTCACCCAGGCTGGAGTGCAGTGGCGCGATCTTGGCTCATTGCAGGCTCCACCTCCCAGGTTCACGCCATTCTCCTGCCTCAGCCTCCCGAGTAGCTGGGACTACAGGCGCCCGCCACCATGCCCGGCTAATTTTTTTTTGTATTTTTAGTAGAGACGGGGTTTCACCATGTTAGCCAGGATGGTCTCGATCTCCTGACCTCGTGATCCACCCTCCTCGGCCTCCCAAAGTGCTGGGATTACAGGCGTGAGCCACCACGCCTAGCCTGATAACGTATCTTTTTAAACCATATTTTTGACTTCTTAAAAACTATATATTACATGATATAATATAAAATTTTGTAAGACTGCATGAAATATAATAACAGTATAACCTAGCATAAAAATTATCTATGTGTATGTATATATATGTAATTTTTTTTTTTTTTTGGAGACTGTTTTCACTCTTGTTGCTCAGGCTGGAATGCAGTGGCGCGATCTCGGCTCACTGCAACCTCTGCCTCCCAGGTAGCTTGGATTCTCCTGCCTCAGCCTCCTGAGTAGCTGGGATTACAGGCACATGCCACCACACCTGGCTAATTTTTTTTTGTATTTTTAGTAGAAAATACAAAAGGTTGTTTTGCCACATTGGCTGGCCAGGCTGGTCTCGAACTCCTGACCTTAGGTGATCCACCCGCCTCAGCCTCCCAAAGTGCTGGGATTACAAGTGTGAAACACCATAAAATTATATTTTGATGAAGCATTAGAATTTGGAATTAAAAAAATTTACATTAGTATCATGATCTTTTTATTGTAGAAAATTAGAAAGTGAAATAATCTTTTTATAGACTCAAGGAAATCAGTAGTGCTCTTGTAGGCAGATTTTTGATGGGAACCTTTACTGTGGTCTGCATCATTTGTTAACACACTGGGGGCTGGGCGTGGTGGCTCATGCCTGTAATCCCAGTATTTTGGGAGGCCGACGGGGGCAGATCATGAGGTCAAGAGATCAAGACCATCCTGGCCAACATGGTGAAACCCTGTCTCTACTAAAAATACAGAAATCAGCTGGGTGTGGTGGTGGGCGCCTGTAGTCCCAGCTACTTGGGAGGCTGAAGCAGGAGAATTGCTTGAACCCGGGGGACGGAGATTGCAGTGAGCCGAGATAGTGCCACTGCACTCCAGCCTGGCAACAGAGCGAGACTCCGTCTCAAAAAAAAAAAAAAAAAAAAGTACATTGGGAAACCAAGCCACAATTGTCTGCTGTTACCCCCTTATAGGTACCTCAGGCCTAATCATTAGCTATTCTACATTTATCTCATCAGCATCACCCTGGTGTTACAAAAGGCCCTAGTACCTTTGAAAACTCCTGTGTACCTGGAGTTTTCCTTTTTTGATCTCTCACCATACTTTCTTTGTCAAGTTCCTTTAAAGTTTTATCTTAATTTGTGGCGAAATTCAAAGATATAGGGCCTTATTTATTTCAAAATCAAAAGTCTTACATTTTCAGTTCCAAGTATGTGTTTTATAAGAGCTGATGGCATTCTTCACCAGTGAAACATTCCCACCCTTTGTATCAGTGATTTTAACAGATTGAATTTGAGATAGGAACATAAAGTAATGAATCTAAATAAAAACACCAAATTAAATCCAACAAATCAAAGTTCATATACTCAGATGGGTATTACTCATCTAAATAGTATCTCAGGAAGTCTGTGTACTTGTTAGTTGAAGCTGCCATTACTCCACATATTTTTGGAACTCTTCCTTTGGAATTGCTTTCAAATAATATGAGAAAATCAACTTACTACTGTATGGTCATGAGATATTCTCCCTTTGCCCATATCCTGTTTGTATCCTCTTTCTCCACCCTCATTTTGCTTCACTTAGAACTGTTCCTGTCCACCTCCCAGTCCCCCCAGTAGATTGGGCCACAGCCTGGGGTCCCTACAGAGCCTCTGCTTGTGTTGATTTTGAACTGGAAGCTCCTAGGGAAAGGGACTGCCCTATAGACTGATACTTAGAGCCTTAGGGAGGCTTTGCATTGAGCACTTCAGGAAAGAGACTGATTTTGACATTGACATGTCTGCTGCAAGCTTATGACTTAGTTCTCTAAGTCCACCCCCACCCCTCCATTTTTTACCTTGGCTTACACTAAGAAATGTATTTTGTATCATGTCATATTGTACACTAACATAAACATGATTGAAATATAATTGAAACCGCTACATGAAATAGTACTTGCCATTACAGTTTTGATGCTTTCTATTCAATTTTATCCCGTTTCATTAATTTAATCTTAATTAGCATTATTTTTTAAACTTCACACATCACAAATGAGTAGGAGCTAGCAGTCTGAAAAAACAGTGCCCTAGAAATAAGGGTATAATTGGCTAAACTGCAAATATGAGTCACTGGAAATTGAATTACATAAGTCAAGGATTGCTTGTAGTCAATTGAATATTTGGAATGATTAAAATTTACATTTGATTTCTCCTCTTCTATTTCCTCTCCTATTTAATTTAAAGATACAGTGTGTTTAGATTATCTGCAAGGGTGTTTTACCATTTGTTTAAAAAGCTACAGAAGTTCTAGGTAAGTTGTCATCGGGTCTTACAGAGTTGATCCGAACTAAAAGTTTCTATGATCCACCAAAGGAGGATGGAGAGTACCTGTTATTTTTCCTTACTTTTATTATCTTTTTAATTTGAAGTTTGGATGAGTGGTATATTTGAATAATACTGAGTACAAGTAAAACAATTTCTTCTTAGAGTAAATTGTATGTAACTGGGTTTGAATAGAAAACTTTAACCATTAGAACTTTTAGGTTTGTAATATTCACTGGGTAGTCAGTTGGCCTGTAGCTTTGGTCTTCTGGAAGTAAGCAATCAGGAAGGAAAGCCTCTGAATGTCTCCTTTAAATCTCTGTGCTTCATTCCAGATGAACTCAGCCTAAATGACGACTTGCACATTTTCTGCTTTCCCAGCCTTCTTCTTCTAATGAGCTAATTATTAGGATGAAGAAGCGAGAAGGAAAGATTTGGGGAACTTAATAGAATGTATACTAATAAGGAAAAATGATAGTTTACCTCCTGATGTAAAAGCCAGTTGATCTGATTCTACTAAAGGGAGTAGATGGAAAATTTGTTTTAAAGATTACTATATATTAAATGTGAATGCTTATGCTGATTTGTACAAGTTACCAAGAAAAGTTAAAATTAATTTTGTTCTCTTAAAGGAGGTACTGAAATAGAGTAAGCATTTTTGTTAGACTTCTTTTTTTTTTATTTTTTTTTTTTGAGATAGTCTCACTGTGTTGCCCAGGCTGGAGTGCAGTGGCACGATCTCGGTTCACTGCAACCCCTTCCTCTCAGGTTCAAATGATTCTTGTTCCTTAGCTTCCCGAGTAGCTGGGATTACAGGCACGTGCCACTGTACCCAGCTAATTTTTGTATTTTCAGTAGAGATGGGGTTTCACCATGTTGGCCAGGCTGGTTTCGAACTCCTCACCTCAGGTGATCCGCCCACCTCGGCCTCCCAGAGTGCTAGGATTACAGGCATGAGCCATCACGCCTGGCTATTTTAGTTAGGCTTCTATTGAAAAAAAATTGTTCACTGGGTGCAGTGGCTTACAACTATAATCCTAGTACTTTGGGAGGTCAAGGTGGTGGGATTGTTTGAGCCCAGGAGTTCAAGACCAGCCTGGGCAACATGGCAAAACCCTGTATCTACAAAAAATACAACAATTAACAAAGCGTGGTGGCACATGCCTGTTGTCCCAGCTACTTGTAAGGCTGAGGTGGGAGAATTGCTTGAGCCTAGGAGGCGGAGGTTGCAGTGAGCTGAGAATCGCACCACTGCACTCCAGTCTGGGTAACAGAGTGAGTGAGACCTTGTCTCAAAAAAAAAAATGTTTTTAAAGCTGTTCCTTGAGAATAATAAGCTTTTGTTTTCTGGACAATATAATTTTGAGAAGACCCCCCTTTTCCCTCTCAATGACAGATAAATGAGGTATTAATATATTTTATTGAATGTTAAATTTTTTTTTTTTTTTTTTTGAGATGGAGTCTCGCTCTATCCCCCAGACTGGTGTGCAGTGGCATGATCTTGGCTCACTGCAACCTCCTCCTCCTGAGTTCAAGCCATTCTTCTGCCTCAGCCTCCTGAGTAGCTGGGACTACAGGCGCCTGCCACCATGCCCGGCTAATTTTTTGTATTTTTAGTAGAGATGGGGTTTCACCTTGTTAGCCAGGATGGTCTCGATCTCCTGACCTTGTGACCCGCCCGCCTTGACCTCCCAAAGTGCTGGGATTACAGGTGTGAGCCACCGCGCCTGGCCAAAATTTTTTTATATTTGTCTTTTCCATTTTAGTTGAATATGGGTTTTGTTTTTTGTTTTTTTTTGAGATGGAGTCTCACTCTGTCACCCAGGCTGGAGTGCAGTGGCACGATCTTGGCTCACTGCAACCTCCACCTCCTGAGTTCAAGCCATTCTTCTGCCTCAGCCTCCCTAGTAGCTGGGATTACAGGCACCTGCCACCATGCCTGGCTAACTTTTGTACTTTTAGTAGAGACAGGGTTTCACCATGTTGGCCAGGCTTGTCTCAAATTCCTGATCTCAGGTGGTCCACCCTCCTCGACCTCCCAAAGTGCTGGGATTACAGGCATGGGCCACTGCGTCCAGCCCTGTATATGGGTTTTTAATTAAGGTACTATCTTTTCTGTGGTCGTAAGAAGGGAACTTTAAAATTACTCCTGTTTGTAAATGTAAATATACTAGATTTTCTTATCCAAAAGAATGTTAGCTCATTTAAAGTGATTATTTCAACAGTGCTGTTGTTTTTGAAACTATCGTTTTAGACTTGTCTTCAGAACTTATGAATTCTTCTTTTGAATGTGAATTTGATATTTAGAAATCACTAAAAGCCATCTAGTGCCAGTTTATCTGTTGTACATAATGTTTTAAATCAGGCTATTTAAAATCATTTTGGGGCAGAAGTATTTATCTTTTTTATCTTCTCATTGACTCGTAACACTATTCAGTGAATTTGGGCAGAAGTAGAGAGTCATGTTTTAACTTTGAGATGCAGTTTTTTACATGGCTCTTAAGTTAAACTGAGTACATTTCCAAAAGAGTTTTTCTGAAAAATACTTTAGTAGCAAAATTAGTAGAATAGATATAGAACTGCTAAGATGACTGTTTTAAAGGAATCATGCTCATTTGGACTATTGATATATTAGTTTAAGCAACAAAATCATTTATGCTTTTTATTTAATCATTTATTATATTTTATATTTATTTTAAATATTTTATATTTATTTTATATTATATTTTTTATTTAATCAGTTCTTATAATTACTTTATAATTATCCTGTTACATCAGGCATAGGAATCATAGCAATTTACTTTCTACACTGTTATTTTTCAGACTTTGTATTTATAATTTATGATTTAACCACTGATTTTATGTGTAAAACAAGTATATAAGACTTTTTAAGATGAAACAGATTTGTATGTTTTTTTTTCTTTAATTAGGCTCACGAGGCCCAGGGAATCCTCTGGACCATCAGATTACCAATGAAAGAGGAGAATCAAGCTGTGATAGGTTAACCGATCCTCATAGGGCTCCCTCTGACACTGGGTCTCTGTCACCTCCATGGGACCAGGACCGTAGGATGATGTTTCCTCCGCCAGGTATGTAAAGACAATAGTTATTATTTCTCTTTGAAAGGCAGCTGGGATGTGGAATACACAGGAATGGAAGAAGGGAGGAGTATATGTTTGTTCTCTCTTAAGAAAAATCATCGTACATTTTTGAAAACAACAATGATAAATAATCTAAACAGAATGATTTGAGATAATTGTTCATATTATAGAAAGCTGTTTTCTCCCTAAATGGAATGTTTTTATTGTTTTTGTTGCTTGTAGAGGTAATAATGCATGTTTACTTTAGAAAATCCAAACAACACAGAAATGTGTAAAGAAGTGAAAAATCCCTTTTGTCATCTTAGCGTGTCCTTCCCAGAATTTAGTTGTAGGTATATATCTTTTAGAGATTTTTTTGGGTATACATTTATACACATAGCTGTTCAAATTCTTTTAATCACTCTGTGCAGTTGTACCATTCATCCTCTTTTGTAATTGTCTTTTTTCACTGACCATTTTATCTCACCAAAATAAATATATTTACCAGAAGAGTCACAGCAGAATATCTTGAAATAAGATAATAACTGCCATTCAACAGCTGCATCATCTACATTAGGTGTTTCTCCTAATGCTATCCTCCCCTGGCCCCCCACCCCCAGAGAGGCCCCGGTGTGTGATGTTCCCCTCCCTGTGCCCATATGTTCTCATTATTCAACTCCCACTTATGAGTGAGAACATGCGGTGTTTGGTTTTCTGTTCCTGTGTTAGTTTGCTGAGAATGATGGTTTCCAGCTTCATCCATGTACCTTGCAAAGGACATGAACTCATTCTTTTTTATGGCTGCCTAGTATTCCATGGTGTGTATGTGCCACATTTTCTTTATGCAGTCTGACATTGATGGGCATTTGGGTTGGTTCCAAGTCTTTACTATCATGAACAGTGCCGCAATAAATATACATGTGCATGTGTCTTTATAGTAGAATGATTTATAATCCTTTGGGTATATACCCAGTAATGGGATGGCTGGGTCAAATGGTATTTCTAGTTCTAGATGCTTGAGGAATCGCCACACTGTCTTCCACAATGGTTGAACTAACTTACACTCCCACTAACAGTGTAAAGCGTTCCTATTTCTTCACATCCTCTGCAGCATCTGTAGTTTCCTGACTTTTTAATGATCACCATTCTGACTGGCGTGAGATGGTATCTCATTGTGGTTTTGATTTGCATTTCTCTAATGACCAGTGATGGTGAGCTTTTTTTCATATGTTTGTTGGCTGCATAAATGTCTTCTTTTGAGAAGTGTCTGTTCATATCCTTCGCCCACTTTTTGTTGGGGTTGTTTGCTTTTTTCTTGTAAATTTAAGTTGCTTGTAGATTGTGGATATTAGCCCTTTGTCAGATGGATAGATTGCAAAAATTTTCTCCCATTCTGTAGGTTGCCTGTTCACTCTGATGGTAGTTTCTTTTGCTGTGCAGAAGCTCTTCAGTTTAATTATATCTCATGTGTCAATTTTGGCTTTTGTTGCCATTGCTTTTGTTGTTTTAGTCATGAAGTCTTTGCCTATGCCTGTGTCCTGAATGGTATTGCCTAGGTTTTCTTGTAGGGTTTTTATGGTTTTAGTTCTTATATTTAAATCCTTAATCCATCTTGAGTTGATTTTTGTATAAGGTGCAGGGAAGGGGTCCAGTTTCAGTTCTCTGCATAAGGCTAGCCATTTTTCCGAACGCAATTTATTAAATAGGGAATCCTTTCCCCATTGGTTGTTTTTGTCAGGTTTGTCAAAGATCAGTTGGTTGTAGATGTGTTGTGTTATTTCTGAGGCCTCTGTTTTGTTCCATTGTTCTATATGTCTGTTTTTGTACCAGTACCATGCTGTTTTGGCTACTGTAGCCTTGTAGTATAGCTTGAAGTCAGGTGGTGTGATGTCTCCAGCTTTGTATTTTTTGCTTAGGATTGTCTTGGATATATGGGCTTTTTTTTGCTTCTATATGAAATTTAAAGTAGTTTTTTCTAATTCTTTGAAGAAAGTCAGTGGTAGCTTGATGGGAATAGCATTGAATCTATAAATTACTTTGGGTAGTATGGCCATTTTCACGATATTGATTCTTCATATCCATGAGCATGGAATGTTTCTTCTTTTGTTTGTGTCCTCTCTTATTTCCTTGAGCAGTGGTTTGTAGTTCTCCTTGAAGAGGTCCTTCACATCCCTTGTAAGTTGTATTCCTAGATATTTTATTCTCTTTGTAGTAATTGCGAATGGGAGTTTGGTCATGATTTGGCTCTCTGTTATTGGTATATAGGAATGCTTGTGATTTTTGCACATTGATTTTGTATCCTGAGACTTTGCTGAAGTTGCTTATTAGCTTAAGGAGTGTTTGGGCTGAGATGATGGGGTTTTCTAAATATACAATCATGTCATCTGCAAACAGAGACAACTTGACTTCCTCTCTTCCTATATGAATACCCTTTATTTATTTCTCTTGCCTGATTGCCCTGGCCAGAACTTCCAATACTATGTTGAATAGGGGTGGTGAGAGAGGGCATCCTTGTCTTGTGCTGGTTTTCAAAGGGAATTCTTCCAGCTTTTGCCCATTCAGTATGATATTGCCTGTGAGTTTGTCATAAATAGCTCTTATTATTTTGAGATATGTTCCATCACTACCTAGTTTATTGAGTTTTTTTTTTTTTTTTTAGCATGAAGGGGTGTTGGATTTTATCAAAGGCCTTTTCTGCATCTATTGAGATAATCATGTGGTTTTTGTCATTGGTTCTGTTTATGTGATGAATTACGTTTACTAATTTGCATATGTTGAACCAGCCTTGCATCCCAGGGATGAAGCCAACTTGATCGTGGTGGGTAAGCTTTTTAATGTGCTGCTTGATTTGGTTTGCCAGTATTTTATTGAGGATTTTTGCATCAATGTTCATCAGAGATATTGGCCTGAAATTTTCTTTTTTTGTTGTGTCTCTGCCAGGTTTTGGTATCAGGATGATGCTGACCTCATAAAATGAGCTAGGGAGGATTCCCTCTTTTTCTGTTGATTGGAATAGTTTCAGAAGGAATGGTACCAGCTCCTCCTTGTACCTCTGGTAGAATTTGGCTGTGAATCCATCTGGTCCTGGACTTTTTTGGTTGGTAGGCTATTAATTACTACGTCAATTTCAGAACTTGTTACTGATCTATTCAGGAATTTGACTTCTTCCTGGTTTAGTCTTGTGAGGGTGTGTGTGTCCAGGAATTTATCCATTTCTTCTAGATTTTCTAGTTTGTTCACATGGAGTTCTTTATAGTATTCTCTGATGGTAGTTTGTATTTCTGTGGGATCAGTGGTGATATCCCCTTTATCATTTTTCCTTGCATCTATTTGATTCTTCTCTCTTTTCTTCCTTATTAGTCTGGCTAGTGGTCTATTTATTTTGTTAATCTTTTCAGAACACCAGCTCATGGATTTTTTGAAGGGTTTTTTGTGTCTTTATCTCCTTCAGTTCTGCCCTCATCTTAGTTATTTCTTGTCTTCTGCTAGATTTTTACTTTGTTTGCTCTTACTTCTGTAGTTCTTTTAATTGTGATGTTTGGGTGTTGATTTTAGATTTTTCCCGCTTGATCTCCTGTGGGTATTTTAGTGCTGTAAATTTCCCTCTAAACACTGCTTTAGCTGTGTCCCAGAGATTCTGGTATGTTGTGTCTTTGTTCTCATTGGTTTCAAATAACTTATTTATTTCTGCCTTAATTTTGTTATTTACCTAGTAGTCATTCAGGAGCAGGTTGTTCAGTTTCCATGTAGCTGTGCGGTTTTGAGTGAATTTCTTAATCCTGAGTTCTAATTTGATTGCACTGTGGTGTGAGGGACTGTTATGATTTCCATCCTTTTGCATTTGCTGAGGAGTGATTTACTTCCAATTATGTGGTTGATTTTAGAATAAGTGCTATGTGGCACTGAGAAAAATGTATATTTTGTTGATTTGGGGTGGAGAGTTCTGTAGTTGTCTGTTAGGTCCGCTTGGTCCAGAGCTGAATTCAAGTCCTGAATATTGTTAATTTTCTGTCTCGTTGATCTGTCTAATATTGACAGTGGGGTGTCAAAGTCTCCCACTATTATTGTGTGGGAGTCTAAGTCTCTTTGTAGGTCTCTAAGAACTTGCTTTATGAATCTGCATGCTCATGTATTGGGTGCATATATAATTAGGGTAGTTAGCTCTTGGTGTTGCATTGATCCCTTTACCATTATGTAATGCCCTTCTTTGACTTTTTGATCTTTGTTGGTTTCAAGTCTTTTTTATCAGAGACTAGGATTACAACCCTGCTTTTTTTTGCTTTCCATTTGCTTGGTAAATCTTCCTCCATCCCTTTATTTTGAGCCTATGTGTGTCTATGCACATGAGATGGGTCTCCTGAATACAGTACACCGATGGGTCTTGACTCTTTATCCAATTTGCCATTCTCTGTCTTTTAATTGGGGCATTTAGCCCATTTACATTTAAGGTTAATATTGTTATGTGTGAATTTGATCCTGTTATTATGATGCTAGCTGGTTATTTTGCCCATTAGTTGATGCAGTTTCTTCATCACGTTGATGGTCTTTTACGTTTTGTTGTGTTTTTGCAGTGGCTGGTAGCGGTTTTTCCCTTCCATATTTAGTGCTTCCTTCAGGAGCCCTTGTAAGGCAGGCCTGGTGGAGCCAAAATCCCTAAGCATTTGCTTTTCTGTAAAGGATTTTATTTTTCCTTTACTTATAAAGCTTAGTTTGGCTGGATATGAAATTCTGGGTTGAAAATTCTTTAAGAATATTGCATATTGGCCCCCATTCTCTTCTGGCTTGTAGGGTTTCTGCAGAGAGATCCGCTGTTAGTCTGATGGGCTTCCCTTTGTGGTTAACCTGACCTTTCTCTCTGGCTGCCCTTAACGTTTTTTCCTTCATTTCAATGTTGCTGAATCTGACGATTATGTATCTTGGGGTTGTTCTTCTAGAAGAGTGTCTTTGTATTTCGTGAATTTGAATGTTGGCCTATCTTGCTAGGTTGGGGAAGTTCTCCTGGCTAATATCCTGAAGAGAGTTTTCCAACTTGATTCCATTCTCCCGATCACTTTCAGGTACACCAATCAAATATAGGTTTGGTCTTTTCACATAGTCCCATATTTCTTGGAGGCTTTGTTCATTCCATTTTATTCTTGTTTCTCTAATCTTGTCTTCACGCTTTATTTTAGTAAGTTAGTGTTCAATCTCTGATATCCTTTCTTCCGACTGATCAATTTGGCTATATTGATACTTGTGTATGCTTCATGAAGTTCTCGTGTTGTGTTTTTTGGCTGCATCAGGTCATTTATGTTCTTCTCGAAATTGGTTTTTCCAGTTTGCAATTCCTCTAACCTTTTATCAATGTTCTTAGCTTCCTTGCATTAGGTTAGAATATGCTCCTTTAGCTTGGCGGAGTTTATTACTCACCTTCTGAAGCCTACTTCTGTCCATTTGTCGAACTCATTGTCTGTCCAGTTTTGTTCCCTTGCTGCCAAGGAGTTGTGATCCTTTGAAAGACGAGGCATCCTGGTTTTTGGAATTTTTAGCCTTTTTGCCTGGTTTTTCCTCATCTTCCTGGATTTATTTACCATTGGTCTTTGCTGTTGATGACCTTCGGATGGAGTTTTTGCTTGGTCCTTCACGGCACAGTCCCTCATGGCTTCTCTTGGCTAGGGGAGGAAATTTCCTGAACGCTTGTGCTTCCCAGGTGAGGTGACGCCCACCCTGCTTCTGCTTGCAGTCCGTGGACTGCACCCGCTCTCTAACCAGTCCCAGTGAGATGAACCAGGTACCTCAGTTGGAAATGAAGACATCACCCGCCTTCTGCTTTGGCCTCACTGGGAGCTGAAGACCGGAGCTGTTCCTATTTCGACGTCTTGCCTGGGAATCAACAATTTCTTGTGATCTATCTTCAGGTTTACTGACTCTTTCCTTGTCATCTCCATTCTGTTATTAAGCTTATCTAGTAAAAGTTTTATTTTAGATATATTTTTCAGGTCTAAAATTACCATTTGGTTCCTTTTTATAATTTGATTTATCTGCTGAGTTTTTTATCTTTTTATTCATTATAAGCATTTTTTTTAAACCATTGAGTATATTAGTTTTATAATAACTGCTTTAAAGTCATTGTATGGTAATTCTAACATCAGGGTCATCTTGAGGTTGGCCTCTAGTGATGATATTTTCCCTTAAGGATGGGTCACATTCTCTTTCTTGATGAGTTTGTATTGGATACTAGACATTGTGGCAATTCTGGATTCTATTCTATTCCTCTAAGAGTGTTACTGGTCTTGCTGTAGAAGACCATTAACTTGGATGGGCTCAGACTGCAGCCTTTTCCCTTCTGTGGTGGGGAACAGCTCAAATATTAGTTCAGTTATTTTTGCCTTAGCTGAAAACTGCTTAAATTTGCCATACACATGTGTTGCTCTGGAGTCAGCCATAGACTTGGGCAGAGATTGTACCCAGAATATTGGGCTCTACCTTTGCGGCTTTCTCCTTTCTAGGATATCCCAATCCCATTGCCTCAGGCTTGGGCTCTGTGTACTTGTTCTTCAGGCAAGAAAGTTTTATCGAGTTTTGACTGCTGTGTGCTGCAACTCACTGTGGTCTTCTATCAGGCTAAAACATAAAAATGGAAAACTCACCCCATACCCGGTTGTTACTCCTTTCTTCTTCCAAGCTCTCTCTTCTTTTCTAAGTCCTCCTGCTTTTGTTGATGCTTAAGCGCTTCAGGCAGTTATTTTTTTGCATATTGTCTGGAGTTTATACTTATGTGTAGGAGAGTCAGTCTGAATTTACTCTACCATACTAGAAATGGAACCTGGTCTCCGTACTTTTCAATCATTTGTGAGCTTCTAAATTGATACCTTCATAGAAGAGATATGGTCCATTCTACAGAGTATCTCCAAATAATGAACCTGATCCCTGTGGTTTGACAGAGGGCCAACCTGTGTCAACTATAATCTCAATGTCATAGACAAGGGTAATTCTACAGACACAGTAAAGGAATTTTCAGTATTGTTCCAAAATTTATGATGAGTGAGAAGGGCTAAATGACTCCTGAGGCTCTAGCATGAATTAGAGTAATGCTGATAAATGTATTTCTCAGTTAGCTTCATTCCTACCTAAAGTTAAAAAATATTCTATGTTTGCTCTTGGTATATTGGTACATGCCATTTAAATAGTCACTGAACAGGCCGGGTGTGGTGGCTCATGCCTGTGATCCCAGCACTTTGGGAGGCCAAGGCAGGTGGATCACCTGAGGCCAGGAGTTCAAGACCAGCCTGGCTAACATGGCAAAACCCTGTTCCTACAAAAAATACAAAAATTAGCTGGGTGTGGTGGCAGGCGCCTGTAATCTCAGCTACTCGGGAGGCTGAGGCAGGAGAATTGCTTGAACCTGGGAGACAGAGGTTGCAGTGAGCCGAGATTGCGCCACTGCACTCTAGTCTGGCAACAGAGAGAGACTCTCTCAAAAAAAAAATAAAAAAATGGTCACTGAACAGATTTCAGGGTTCTTTTCTTTTATGTTGTGTTTCAGTTAACGAAATGATAATGAATGAGGGGACTTAGGCTTTTTTTTTTTGAAGTGGAGTTTCACCTTTGTCATCCAGGCTGGGGTGCAATGGTGCCATCTCAGCTCACTGCAACCTCTGCCTCCCGGGTTCAAGCGATTCTCCTGCCTCATCCTCCCGAGTACCCGGGATTACAGGGCATGTGCCACCATGCCCAGCTAATATTTGTATTTTTAGTAGAGACGGGGTTTCACCATGTTGGCCAGGCTTGTCTCGAACTCCTGACCTCAGGTGATCCACCTGCCTTGGCCTCCCAAAGTGCTGTGATTACAGGTGTGAGCCACCACACCTGGCCTAGGCTTTTTAAACCTTATCATTGCTATTACTTTTTTGTGTAACCTTGAGCAATAAATTTTACCTGTCATGGTTTTCTCTCTTTCAAAATATGGTCTTCTGGCTGGGTGCAGTGGCTCATGCCTGTAATCCTAGCACTTTGGGAGGATGAGGTAGGAGGATTGCTTGAGGCCAGGAGTTCTGGAGCAAGCTGGCCAAAATAGTGAGATTCTGTCTCCACAAAAAAACAAACAAAATAGTGACTTCTGTAAAACAGAGATGGTGATATTCTAAAGTAATCTGCCTCTCTTTTATGTAAGGTTGACTTATTGGGACTCATGAAGAGTCCTTCTCACTAATAATTGTCTTTAAGATTTTTCTTAAATTTTAAAATATTTTAGTTTAAAATACTTATGTTAAAAAAATATGACAACTAAAATAACTAAGTTTCTGAAGAATATGGATTCTGCATTTGAGATTATCTGTCATTTAGTCTGTTAGGCATAATTTATAAAATGTATATATTTTCTTAACATGTTTCTACTTGGAAGAAGTGTTTTAGATTTCCATTGACTTAAGATGAGTTAGCAGAAATGATTTTAAATAGTTCCATATTTACAAGGAATCATTTATTTTTGCACCGTTAAATACTTTGAAAAAGGAGAAAACTTTACTTAGCTTATATAGTCAGAAAAAACTGCTCTAACTTATCTCTTTTCTCATATGCCCTATTCCAGACATTCTTTTAAAAAATATTTTAATAATGTTATCTTTTATTTGAGATTCACAGGGTACATGTGCAGGTTTGTTACATGGGTATATTGCATGATACTGAAGTTTGGGGCGTGACTGAATTCATCACCCAGAAAGTGAGCATAGTACCCACAGTTTTTCAGCCCTTGCCTCCCTTTGTCTCTCCTCGCTCTACTCTGGTAGTCCCCAGTGTCTCTTGTTATCATCTTTATATCCATGTGTACCCAGTGTTTAGCTACCACTTACAAGTAAGAATGTGTTAGTTTTATATTTCTGCATTAATTCACTTAGGATAATGGCTTCCAGCTGCATCCATGTTGTTGCAAAGGACATAATTTTATTCTTTCTTATGGCTGTGTAGTATTCTATGGTGTATATGTACTGCATTTTCTTTATCCAGTCCACCGTTGGTGGGTATCTGGGTTGATTTCATGTCTTTGCTGTTGTGAATAGTGTTACGATAAACATGAGTGCTTGTGCCTTTTTTGTAGAACGACTTAGTTTCTTTTGGATATATACCCAGTAATGGGATTGCTGGGTCAAATGGTAGTTCTGTTTTAAGTTCTTTGAGAAATCTTCAAACTGATTTCCACAGTGGCCTAATAATTTACATTCCCTCCAACAGTGTATAAGCATTCCCTTTTCTCTACAACCTTGGCAACATCTGTTATTTTGACTTTTTAATAGTAGCCATTCTGACTAGTGTGAGGTGGAATCTCATTGTGGTTTTGATCCAAACATTCTTATTACTTAAAGGTTTTATTAGCAAGTATACACCTAGTTTCTTCAAGTAATCAACACTTTATTCTCATTATTTTCAGTAGCAGACTCAATCTTATAAACTAATAAGGATTTTAAAACTTTTAAGTTTTCTTTTAAAACTCTGTGGTTATTAAAGGTTAGTACACAAATTTGGCTACCTTATTAGGAAAGAGCTAATTCTGCTGAAGCATAGTATGTGTACAAAGTTTTGTACAGTGTTGAACAGTCTACAATGTATCTGTTCATCTAACATTCTTATATGTGCTTTTAATTAGTTTGCATGTTTAGAACAAGACTGGCTTAGGTGAAAAAGCATTTGGACTGGAAATCAAGAAATTTGCTTTCTGGTTTTCACTCCTTTATCTTTTAGTGTGATTTTAAAAATTTATTAAAAAATTTTTTTAGAGACAGGTTCTCACTTTGTCACCCAGCTAGAGTGCTGTGGTGTGATTATAGCTCACTGTAGCCTTGAACTCCTGATCTCAAGCAATCCTCCCCTCTCAGCCTCCCAAGTAACTGGGACTGTAAGCACATGCCACAATGCCTGGGTAATTTTTATTTTATTTTAAATTGTTTTTGGAGACAGGTTTTTGCTGTGTTACCCAGTCTGGTGTCAAACTCTTGGCCTCAGGTGGTCCTCCCTCCTCAGCCTCCTGAATAGTGGGGGATTACAGGCACGAGCCATCGTGCCTGGCTTTTAGTGTGATTTTTAAAACTTGTTTCATTTCTTTGGACCTTATATATTATATAGTGACATAACCATATAACTCCATAAGAAACTCATTCGAATATAATAGTATAAGTAGGTGGAAAGTAAAAGGATAGAAAAGATACACCATGCAAACATTAATCGAAAGAAAATGAGGTCAAGAAGATATAGCAAATGTTAAATGTGTGTATGCCAACAGCAGCTACAAAGTATGGGAAACAAAAACTGATAGCACTGAGAGGAACAAAGACAAATCCAGTTATAATTGGAGACTTCAACACCCCTCTCTCGGCAATTGATGGAACAACTGAAGAGAAAATTCAGCAAGTATATAGAAGAACTGAACAGTGCCCTCAACCAACAAGACCTAACTGACATTTATAGAACAAGTTACCCAACAGCAGCAGAATACACGTGTTTTTAAAGTAGCAGTGGAACATTTTACAAGACAGATTGTATCCTGGGCCATAAAACAAACCTCAACACATTTAAAAGAAGTGAAATAATATACAGTATGTTCTTTGATCACAATGGAATCAAACTATAAATAATAAACTATTGATACATGCAACAATTTGGATGTATCTCAATGGTTGAGTGAAGAAAACCAGTCTCAAAAGTTTACATACTGTGTTATTCCATGTATATAACATTCTTTTTTTTTTCGAGATGGAGTCTCACTCTGTCACCCAGGCTGGAGTGCTGTGGTGTAATCTCGGCTCACTGCAACCTCTGCCTCCTGGGTTCAAACTGTCCTTCAGCCTCAGCCTCCTGAGTAGCTGGGACTTCAGGCACACACCACCATGCCCGGCCAGGCTAATTTTAAAATTTTTAGTAGAGACAGGGTTTTGCCATTTTAGCCAGGCTGGTCTCGAACTTCTGACCTCAAGTGATCCACCCACCTCGGCCTCCCAAAGTGCTGGGATTACAGGCGTGAGCCACTGTGCCCGGCCATATATAACATTCTTGAAATGACGGTATAGAAACAGAAAACAGATTGGTGGATTCAAGAGTTTGAGACAGTAGTGGGGAGGGGAGTGGGTATGACTGTAAAGGGGTGGCACGAGGGAGGTGTTTTTGGTGGCACAATAATTCTGTATCTTGAGAGTGGTAGTGATTACATAAATCTACATATGCTGTAAAATGTCATAGAACTAGACACGAGTTGTACCAATGTCAGTTTTCTGGCTGTTACAATACACTATAGTTATGAAAGACGTAAACATTGAGTAAAGGGTGTGCAGGATCTCTCTGTAGTATTTTTGCATCTTTCTGTGAATCTATTTTAAAATAAAAAAGTAAAAATCTTATTGTATATCATACACATACAGGGAAGTACAAATATTAAGCATATAATGTGATTTTTTTTCACAATTTGAGCACAGTGATATAACTAACACTCAGATAAAGGGATAGTTTTCAGTTTGGTTTTTCATAAGTTTAATTAGAAAACTTATTTATAATTTTAGCAGAAAAAATGTTCTTGAATAATGTAAGTGAGTTGATAATATTCACATATCATATAGTAATCACAATTAAAATTTTAACAGAAATATGTCCTGGGAATAACCAGTTCATTATAAATTCTTTATAAATACTAACCTGCAACAAAAATTTATCAATGTGACTTACCTTGCTCAGCGCTTCAGTTGTTAAGAAAAAACACAAAAGTGTTTTCATATTTAGAATGAGAACATTACAGATCAAAGAGACTTGGTAAGAAAGTAGTTTAAATTGTCCATGTAATTCTTTTGCCAGGGTTAACTGTAACAAAGGTGATTCTCATAAAAACTTTCAAGTTGTATGTGTTGGCTTGTTTTGTCTTCACTTTTAGAAATGAAAGTGAGGTATCATAATTTATTAAGTAGATAATGTCACTATCCTGTAGATCAGCAGTCCCTAACCTTTTTGGCATCAGGGACTGGTTTCATGGAGCCCAGTTTTTCCATGGAGGTTGCAGGGAGGAGGATGGTTTCGGGATGAAAGTGTTCACTTCAGATCATCAGGCATTAGTTAGATTCTCATAAGGAATGCACAGGCTAGATCCCTCACATGCGCAGTTCACAGTAGGGTTTGCGCTTCTATGAGAATAGAATGCCTCAGCTGACAGGAGGTGGAGCTTAGGTGGTAATGCTCGCTTGCCCTCCTCACCTCCTGCTGTGCAAACAGTTCCTAACAGCCCGCGGAAAGGTACTGGCCCGCAGCCCAGGGGTTAGGGACCCCTGCTGTAGATGACTACATACATTTATTTATTTATTTCCCTGTCTTATGGTGCTGATTGATAACTACTTCTACTGTAGCTCAGGTTGGGATATATAGTTTGAAAATTGTTGGCATATATTTAGATAGAGAGATACAGTGGGTTAGTAGCTTTCACAAGGAGAAGGAATTAAAATGTTAACTCTATATTTTTTGTTCTAAATATATTTTTAGGATCTATGTGCTATAGTTTGTTTCATTTTTACAAGAATTTCTACTGAACATCTTATTCAAGATGTTGGGATAAAAGATAAATTATTAAAAAGGTGTAGTTATGTATTTCAATGATGAGTTAATATAATGAAATGAATGTAATACTGAAACAGATCTTTTTCTACAACAGCTCTGTCCAATAGAGCTTTCTGTAATAATAGAAATGTTTTATATCTATACTGTCCAGTACAGTAGCCACTAGGCACATGTGGCTAGTAAATACCTAATGTGTCTAGTACAACTTGAGAAACAGAATTTTTAATCTTATTGAATTTTGTCAGTTAAAATTTATTTAATTTTCTTTATTATTTTGTTTTGTTTTGAGACAGAATCTCACTCTGTCATCCAGGCTGGAGTGCAGTGGCATGAACACAGCTTACTACAGCCTCGACCTCCTGGGCCCAAGTGATCCTCCTGCTTTAGCCTCCCAAGTGGCTGGGACTATAGGCATGCACCACTAATGCCTAATTTTTAAATTTTCTGTAGAGACGGGGCCTCACTATGTTGCCCAGGCAGGTTTCGAAATCCTTGGCTCAAGCAATCCTCCCACCTTGGCCTCCCAAAGTGCTGGGATTACAGACGTGAGCCACCACGCCCTCCTTCGTACCCTTTTGAGCTTTAGTATTCCTAGTTTTCATTGTTTAAAAGAACAAGGAGTGTGTATGTGGTTTCTCCTTATTTTTGTTGGTGCTTATCTTTTACTGATTTGGATAATATATTTTATGTAAGCATAGCAAAGAGACTAAGCAACCATACCTTGGTGGTGTAATCATGAGTTAAGTGTGGTTGCTAGCCTGGCATGTTTAAAAACTCTTTTTCTTAAAGAGCTGAACAAATAAGAGACATATAGTGTACAGCTAAATTGATGAGAACAGTTTTGACTCTTTCCTTGGGAAACAAAAGTGTGCTAAGCAGATCAAAATACCTTGGATAGCTTTGAATGCATAGGCGTAGATTTTTACTTCACTGACTCTGATTCATAGACATTTATGCTGACCATTGTCCTACATTCTGAACAGTTTTTTCAGACAAGACTGATTTAGTAGAATTATAGTTTGTCTTAAGGCTCATTTTGATCTCTTTGATGAAAACTTGTGGTCTTCCCAAACTTAATAAGGTGTTCTGAAGTCGTGGTATATATGCTTTTATCCTCTCAGAGGATGATATTTACTTAAAGTTGTTCCTAAATTTTAGGCTACCAGTTTTTTAGGAATATATATATCTTAATCACTTATGTCTTATATAATGATCCTTTATAAATTCTAATGATTATTCAGTTGATAAATTGCCACTGTATGTGTTTTTATAAACTTTAAAAATCTGTGTTTAATTTGTCAGTCTTCCTGAAGAGACTAGGTTGTGGAGAGATTAAGATACAGGGACAAATGTAAACAACTTTTTGAAAAATTTCACTTTGAATGAAAAAGAGATGGTAGCTGGAGGGAGAGGTGTTTTGGTTTTTAAAGATGGATAATATTGGCTGGGCATGGTGGCTTACGCTTGTAATTCCAGCACTTTGGGAAGCTGAGGCGGGCAGATCACCTGAGGTCAGAAGTTCAAGACCAACCTGGCCAACATGGTGAAACTCCGTCTCTACTAAAAATACAAAAATTAGCCGGGTGTGGTGGCACGCGCCTGTAGTCCCAGCTGCTCGGGAGGCTGAGGCAGGAGAATTGCTTGACCCTGGGAGGGAGAGCTTACAGTGAGCTGAGACCGCACCGTTGCACTCCAGCCTGGGCAACAGAGTGAGACTCCCTCTCAAAAATAAATAAATAAATAAATGAATAAATAAATAAATAAATGATGGATAATATAACATATTTATTTGCTGATGGGAATAATTCAGGCTAGAAGGGGAAATTAATGATGTTTGGAGAAGGTCTGGTTATAAAAGTGAAACCCTGGAATATTAAGCACAAAAGATGCTATCCAGAGTGTAATTGCAGAAATTGTGGTAGCTGGGTCAATTTATCCATTCTAAAAAGAAGGAAGGCAGAGCAAGTGAGTACAGATGTAGCTGTTGGGTGGAGGGTAAGTGGAGGTGTCCAGTTGTTTCAATTTTCTTGTTGTGGCAAGATCATCAGCTGAAGCAGGTGGTAGAGGAGAGGACTGTCAGATCTGAAGAGAAAAAAAGGTATGCAGTAGCTATTTAGGAGAGTGGAAGAACTCAAACATTAGTAAAGTGTAGTATGATTATAGGGCATTGTTGAGCATCAGTTTGAAATTTATGGTCATAAATTTGAATGAAAAGCAGTCAATACTATATTTTTAATATAGTTTATAATCATAACAAGCTTAATTTATCATCAGATATTGATAAAGCTGTATATAGAATGTATTTGTGTCAGACTAAATGCCTTTTATTAATCATTCTAACACTCTTAAGAGTGTTATTCTGTTATTCCCATTTTACAGATGAAGAAACAAAACCACAGAAAGGTTGGGTAACTTGGTGAACAACACAAATTGAGATTTAAAAAAAAAATTTTATTATACTCTAAGTTTTAGGGTTCATGTGCACAACGTGCAGGTTTGTTACATATGTATACATGTGCCATGTTGGTGTGCTACACCCATTAACTAGTCATTTAGCATTAGGTATCTCTCCTAATGCTATCCCTCCCCCCTCCCCACAACAGTCCCCGGTGTGTGATGTTCCCCTTCCTGTGTCCATGTGTTCTCATTGTTCAATTCCCACCTATGAGTGAGAACATGCAGTGTTTGGTTTTTTGTCCTTGCGATAGTTTGCTGAGAATGATGGTTTCCAGCTTCATCCATGTCCCTACAAAGGACATGAACTCATCATTTTTTATGGCTGCATAGTATTCCATGGTGTATATGTGCCACATTTTCTTAATCCAGTCTATCGTTGTTGGACATTTGGGTTGGTTCCAAGTCTTTGCTATTGTGAATAGTGCCTCAATAAACATATGTGTGCATGTGTCTTTATAGCAGCATGATTTATAATCCTTTGGGTATATACCCAGTAATGGGATGGCTGGATCAAATGGTAGTTCTAGTTCTAGATCCCTGAGGAATTGCCACACTGACTTCCACAATGGTTGAAACAAATTGAGATATTATAGCACAATCCTGGATATCACCCTTGAGAATTTACATATTAATATTTGCTTCAGATATATATGTGTTTGTGTGCGTAAATGTGTAAATAAGACATAAAAAGAAAAAGCACACTATTTACATGAATTGAACACTATTGCATTTCCTTTCCTGGGCATATTACCTTCCTCTCCTAGAAGCAGCTATTCATGAGTTTAGCGTGTGTAAACTTTCAGTTCTAATAATGATTAAAAAAAATTAAAGTTCTGTTTTATCAGCTTTCCTTATCAGCCTTACCTACTTGAATTCTTTCCATGTTAGTATATAGAGAGTTTATCACCTTAATTGTGGTATGGTATTTCAGTGTATAAGAAACCACAAAATGTTTAACCATTTCCTGTTGGTGAGCATTTAGAGTGTCTCCAATATCTCACCATTACTAACAGTGCTGCAGCTAGCACCCTTTTTGTACATATGTTCTTTCAAGATTGTCCAGGAATTGGAATTCCTAGGTAATAGGGTATGCACACTTTTGATCTTATTTTCAATTTTTATTTTTTTGGGACAGGATCTTGCTTTGTCGCTCAGGCTGGGGTGCAGTGGCGTGATCTTGGCTGACTGCAACCTCCGCCTCCTGGGTTCAAGCGATTCTTGTGTCTCAGCCTCCCGAGTAGCTGGGATCGCAGGCCTGTGCCACCACACCTGGCTAATTTTTTTGTGTTTTCAGTAGAGATGGGATTTCACCATGTTGGCCAGGCCGATCTTGAACTCTTGGCCTCAAGCAGTCCACCTGCCTTGGCCTCTCAAAGTGCTGGGATTACAGGCATGAGCCACCATGCCCGGCCTGTTTTTGGTTTTAATAGATATCTCCCCATCGCCCTCAACAGAAGCTGTGAATGAAGTATATGAGAGTAGCTGATTTCTGCAGTATAATTCTTAGTTTGCAAAACTGCTTTAGAATGCCCAGTACACTTATTCCCACTCCTTATTCATTTTTTTCTTATCTTTTTTTCTTCCATTCTTTCTTTCTAATCATGTCTTCTATTATAAGCGTAGAATACTATTATAGAAAACAAAAGTTTGAAAGCAAAAAAGAAAGGGACCTTTCATGTCCTTACTTTCTGTAGTTCAGTTCAGTCTTTAATTGGTCATATGCTTTCCACATAGCTGTATCTTATTATGTGTATATGTGTATGTGTATATGTGCATATGAGGGTGTGTGTATATGTGTGTATGTATGTGTGTATATGTATATGTGCATTTGACCAGAATACCCTTGATTACTTGTTCATCTTTACTTTTCTTTCAGGGCAAGCTTTACTGCCTCTGACTCCATTTCTGATTCCTGCAATCAGAAATAGATAGTCTACCTCTTATATTATGTATATTTCCTTTTATTAAGACATTAATCACATGGTGTTTATGTGTTTCTATCAGAATTAGACTGTAAGGACATGGGGTTTATCAAGGCCAACATTGTATTGTTTGTGCCTGACACATACTAGGCCTTGGTAAGATTTAAGGAATGAATTGCTTTTGCCAGTGGAGGGCAACATAGCCATGTAGTTTATAAAGTAGTAAATTTATAACAAAATTTTTTTATTTCTGAGGTTGTTGATGTGTGGGGATATAATTTAGAAGCAAAATAATGATGTAGTATCTGGAGACCTGATTAAAAAAGAGTTGGTGTTCAGGTTTCCTTATTTTATCCCCTTGTCCAACTCCACCATTTAATTAATCCTTTGTTTGAAGTAGAAAGGGAAAACTGAGTTTAGATCTCAGTGATTGGTATTGACCTTTTCTTTCATTAGGCTAACTCAAACCCTTTGAAACAGCTCCTCCCTAGGATTTTGAAAGGGAGTGTAAATGAGCCTTCAAACTATTTGTATCTTTCTCTCCTCAGTCACATCTCCCGACCATTGGGAGCTCATTAAATATAATTCTCTTTATTGACTCTCGTTGATGCCAGGTGGTCTCTCTGGTTTTGTGTAGGAGAGATGATGTGTCAATAAGGTCCCCTGTGGCAGAGTCAGATGAGGAGTGATATATCCAACACTGATTCTATAAAGTCAATTAGAGGCAATTTGGGGTTGTTTACGTATATCTGTAATAGGATAGGGGAAAGTTACACAATTCACCTTCTTTGTCGTTCTCCTTATTTTTGGAGTTGGACATATGCATGCCTAATCTAGCAGTCTGACATCACCTTTCAAGAATGAGAAACTACCTATACTTTTTCAAGAGTGATGAGTTCCACAAGGACCCAGGAATTATTAAACCGCAATTACTTTTGCACCAACCTAATACCATATTGTCATCATAAATCACCCCTGGGGACAAAGGGTGGCTGTAGAAGCACTTGAGATAGTTGGTGTCCAAATTTGTGTCTCTCCAGATGTTCTTCGTTTCAGCAGTGGTACTCATCTGTTGAGTCAGAGAGAGCTTTCCATTTAGTTTGTTTTTTATTTATTTTCATTTATTTATTTATTTATTTTGAGATAGAGTCTTGCTCTGTCACCCAGGTTGGAGTGCAGTGGCATGATCTCGGCTCACTGCAACCTCTGCCCCACTGGGTTCAGGTGATTCTTCTGCCTCAGTCTCCCGAGTAGCTGGGATTACAGACTACCATGCCTGGCTAATTTTTATATTTTTAGTAGAGACAGGGTTTCACCATGTTGGCCAGGCTGGTCTGGAACTCCCGACCTTAGGTGATCCACCCGCTTCGGCCTCTCAAAGTGCTGGTATTACAGGTGTGAGCCACCATACCCGTCTCTTTCCATTTGGTTTGGAATAGATACTAAATTCCAAAACGTCAATATTACTGAAAGTTTGACAATGATGACATCTGAATGATACTCTTTCTGCTTTGATGACAAATTATCACCTGTTCTGGTAAATTTCTTGCTGTGCTTACGTTTTTTCTCTTTACTTTTTCCTTATGTTAGTAGATGTTTCCTGGGTCTTTTTTGATACATTGATGTATTTACTTCCATCCATTATTAAAATGGAAAGTTAATTTACATATATATAAAACTAAATTCTGTTTTCACATATTCTAATTTACACATAGTAATTGAAATTTTCAAAATCCAAAGTAGCAGATTATGCTTGTGTTTACTATAAAGGTTATTGCCTATAGTAAAATATGCAATTCTTCTGAAATTGTCTACTGTTGTCAACCAAGAAGATGATGAGTTTAAGTGTTAGAATACAGGTCAAAAGTGTAAGTTCAATACGTTAAACTTAAGTAAACTTGATTTATATTTACATTAATGAAGACATTTTAAAAACTTATTTTCTAGGACAATCATATCCTGATTCAGCCCTTCCTCCACAAAGGCAAGACAGATTTTGTTCTAATTCTGGTAGACTGTCTGGACCAGCAGAACTCAGAAGTTTTAATATGCCTTCTTTGGATAAAATGGGTAAGAAGTACTTTGTGCTTTTCTTCTTTAAAAATTTTGGTGGCACACTAAAGAACTGGAAGTTAGAATAAAGACCAATATAATTGCTATCTCTAGTAGTTCCTAAGGCCAAAATCTCTTTCCTGAAAATGTCCTGGTTTTATGTTTCTTGTTATATTGTACACAGACATGGCATCCAAATATATGTTGGTGGGTTGGTTTGAGCACCATGGAAATAGGTTTACTCCATATACCTATGATGATAAATTTTACTCTGTTCTATGACTAATTTTCTAATTTTTCTAGTCCACTTACATGTGTTCTGTTTAGTAATCAGGGAAATAAGCCAGGCAAATGTGAATGGATACATAAAAACCCACCAGAAAACAATTTAGATGCATGCTCTGTTGATATTGTAATCAGTTATATTAAACATTTCATGCTTAGATATAACTAACATGTACTGAGCAATCTACTATTTGTCAGGCTGTCTTTTACTTAAACTACCTCATAGCAACCCATTAAAGTTGGGAAATAGATGTATGCAGTGTATCAACCAGAAGTACACAACGTTAAGAAAATAAAAATTTTTTTTAAAGTCAAGATTTAAATGTATTGGTAAAAGGTTTCCTCAGGAAAGGACATATATTTATATATTATTAAATATATATAATAAATAATGTTATATATATAATTTTAAAAATATTGATTTTCTGACATAGTAGACTATATAATATAGCTGGGACTACAGGTGTGCACCACCACACATGGCTAATTTTTTGTAAAGATGAGGTTTCGACATGTTGTTGAGGCTGGTCTTGAACTCCTGGGCTCAAGCAATCCACCTGCCTTGGTCTCCCAAAGTGCTGGGATTACAAGCATGAGACACCTTGCTCAGCCTGGAAAGTCAGTATTTTATTTTATTTATTTTTTAATTATTATTTTTGAGACAGAGTCTCTGTTGCCCAGACTGGAGTGCAGTGGCTCCATCTCGGCTCCACTGCAACCTCCGCCTCCTGGGTTAAAGAGAAACCCAGGAGGTTTCACTTGTGTCAAGCACAAGTGAAAAATGACCAGTAAGACAAGGACATTTATAACTGGCTGAAGTCATGGACTTTGGAGTCTAGTTAGTTGGGGAAGGAAGTGAGGGAGGAAACTCAGTGGTCAGAAGCATCAGTGACTTCCAAGGACAGATGTAGTGAGAATAAATGAGAAAGCTACAAGAGGAGAGGTAGTTGTGGTCAGAGAGGATTGCATTTCTTGATGATAACAAAGTTCGGGAACATTTATTTCGGAACAGTAGCTAAATTTCAGTAGCTAGTCTCTCTTACTTAATGGAGGAATAAGGACGGAAGGAAGAAGAGGAGGAAGGAGAAGAGGATAGGAGGCAAACATAAAAGGAGGGAGGAGGAAAAGAAGGAAGGAGGGAGATGCTTCCTCCCAGATGTCTTCTTAGCATTCTGCTCCAGCAGGATTGCTTAGGAACTAGCCAGAGAAATAATTGCCACATGCCATCATAGAACTCTGAGTCTGCCAGAATTTCTAGGGACCTCAAGCTGTTCTTGTGGCCGCAATATAGGATATTGGTGTCCAGCTGGCTTATGTGCCAACAAGGGGAGTGGGAAAATACCAATTTTGTGATCTGGAGATACTCTAGGAATAAAGTGATAAATCATGTACTTTTCATGGTTTAACTTTTATGTCTAGATGGGTCAATGCCTTCAGAAATGGAATCCAGTAGAAATGATACCAAAGATGATCTTGGTGTAAGTATTGAAAGAGTGGAATTGTATGCATGTATTCAGAAGCCTTCTTTTTTTTTTTTTTTTTTTTTTTATGGAGTTTCACTATTGTTGCCCAAGCTGGAGTGCAGTGGCGCTATCTCGGCTCACTGCAACCTGGGTTCAAGCAATTCTCCTGCCTCAGCCTCCTGAGTAGCTGGGACTACAGGCGTGTGCCACCACACCCAGCTAATTTTTGTATATTTAGTAGAGACGGAGTTTCACCCTGTTGGCGAGGCTGGTCTTGAAGTCCTGACCTCAGATGATCCACTCGCCTTGGCCTCCCAAAGTGCTGGTATTACAGGTGTGAGCTGCTGCGCCTGGCCCTGAGCCACTGTGCCTGGCCTGTGCCTTCTAATCTCATGCTTTACTAGAATAGAAATATAGCTAATAATCTAGGTTTTGATATAAAGCTGATTTTCTCTTTTTGATTAATATACTTTCTACTTAGCGTGAAAGCTGTTTCTTTTGTAGATGGTAACCTATGGTGATAAAATACAATTTGCAGACTAGGAGTTTGAGTTAGTTTAAGATTTTAGTTCCCTCCCCATCCTTGGATTTTTATTTGAATATTTTAAAGTATATTTTTGTTTATTAAGATATTGATTTTTGGAAAATATAAACATAGACATTTTGCTTTTTCTTTTTTTCCAGTATATATTTGATACAATAGTATATATTTTAGTGCTCTTGGGTTAAATTTCTGTTTTATCTTTAGCCAGACTGTTACTTTGTTGGTTAAAGCTGTTTTCTGTTGACTTAATAAAATATTTATGATAACTAAAATGTGATAGCTGATACATTACTGTGGAAAGCTGTTTGAATCTTTCTCTAGAGCTTTCTAAGACTATCATGGAATGCTTTCTGTCTAGATGATTTCTTCTAAGCCTGAGATTTTCGGGAAAATGATTGCAAATTTACTGTTTTAGTGACTGCCATATGTCAATTTGTTGTAGAATTTAAATGTGCCTGATTCATCTCTCCCTGCTGAAAATGAAGCCACTGGCCCTGGCTTTGTTCCTCCACCTCTTGCTCCAATCAGAGGTCCATTGTTTCCAGTGGATGCAAGAGGCCCATTCTTGAGAAGAGGACCTCCTTTCCCCCCACCTCCTCCAGGAGCCATGTTTGGAGCTTCTCGAGATTATTTTCCACCAGGGGATTTCCCAGGTCCACCACCTGCTCCATTTGCAAGTATGCTTTTTTAAACTTTTTTTTTAAAGCTCAATATGTGGTTTATTAATCGGAGATTTAATTTTACTATCTGTTAATGTAGTAACACAGTGGAGGAAAGTTTTTTCTAGCATTCTGTGAATCTGAAAATTCTCATTACTTTTCCGAATTGGGAAGGCAGCCAGCCATAAGTGGACTGCAATGAGGTTTCAGCTTGATTCATCTTAATAATATAGAATTATTTCTGTATTTTGGCAGTCAAGAAAATAATGGACTTTTTGCAGGTCTTACGATAAAACTAAAATTATCTGTACCTTATTTGGTAGCAACTGGTTATTCTGACAGTTAGTGAAAATAATAACTTATATTCTAGCATTAAAATTACTGGCTAAGATATTTTTTAAAGTCTTTTTCATAAGTAGTTCTGATGCAGTCCTACTTATTTAAAACTTAAAATGTATTTATTACGTTTGACCGAATTTTTGGATTTATTGAATTCTTTTAAAGCTTCACATAAGAAAAAGGGAATAATATGTTGCTTTTATATTCATACTTTACTGTTTTGAACTATAGGGTTCTGCAGAATAAATATGTGGTTACCAAATACTAGGCTTTGCCTATGAATGTCTCATATAGTCTTTCCTTCCCTTGTTTCTCTTCTCTTTTTAAAGTTAAAGGTGAATTAAAATGAATTTTGTTTGGGGAAATTTTAAGGTGGCCTTTGATATTACTGGAAATGTTTTAGTATAATATCAAATTAGAATTGGGAATCACTAATACGAATTTTAAGTTTGTTGAAAATTATATTACATGCAGATGTTTTTTGAGGACTTTGATAATGAAAGAAAAAAGTGATTTACAGTAAGTTTTATATATTTTGAAATAATTCCTCTTTTTTAAAAAACAGGTGTTAAGATAGGACAAAAATTACATAAAAATTAATGATATTTCCTTTAATCATCTGTATTTGAAGAGGTACGTTTTTCTCAATGTAAAAATTAATTTGTTAGATCAAGTAATTATCTAGTGTCAATTTTCAAATAAAAGAATAGGTAATGGAAGTTATAAACTTAATGATTTATTAGGGCACAGTACAGGTTCTTAAAGTTAAAAAATGTCTTTTACCAATCTCTTTGAACAGTGAGAAATGTCTATCCACCGAGGGGTTTTCCTCCTTACCTTCCCCCAAGACCTGGATTTTTCCCCCCACCCCCACATTCTGAAGGTAGAAGTGAGTTCCCCTCAGGTTTGATTCCACCTTCAAATGAGCCTGCTACTGAACATCCAGAACCACAGCAAGAAACCTGACAATATTTTTGCTCTCTTCAAAAGTAATTTTGACTGATCTCATTTTCAGTTTAAGTAACTGCTGTTACTTAAGTGATTACACTTTTGCTCAAATTGAAGCTTAATGGAATTATAATTCTCAGGATAGTATTTTGTAAATAAAGATGATTTAAATATGAATCTTATGAGTAAATTATTTCAATTTTATTTTAGACGGTATAACTATTTCAATTTGATTAATCCACTATTATATAAACAATAGTGGGAGTTTTATATATGTAATCTTTCAGGTGGGGAGGCTTTAAATTCTGAAGTCTGTGTCTTTATGCCAAGAACTGTATTTACTGTGGTTGTGGACAAATGTGAAAGTAACTTTATGCTTAAATAAATTATAGTTGATTTAAAGATTTGTTTGGCATTGATAATAATAAAATCAGTAGTTTTTCTATAACTATGGCTCTATTAACTTTTTTCCTTTTACCAATAACTTTGAGGTGCAAAACTCAAACTTATGTGGGTCTTTTGTGTTCAATTATGTTATGACAAATGTGCTCTCTTTCTTGTAAATAGACATGAGTGGCCCAAAGCAACAAATTAATACACTTTTAAAAGTCAAAATTGATTATATTTTAAAGATAACCAGGATATTATCTAATGGTGAATTGTAGAATTTTGATCTTCTTATTCACTGAGTTTCTTGCACGGTTTCTTTATTGCTTTTTTTTCCCCGCCTGTTCTTTTGTAAGGTATTTACTATTTTCTGTGGAGGATATTGAGATGTACTACAGGATAACTGTAGTGAATGATGTGTCATCATTTTGAGCTTTGGACTCAATATCTTTAGTGTTTCCCTAAATCAGATTTGTAGGTCATGTTAAGCTTCTTGCACATTAATATGATTATGGAAGGAAAGGCAGTGAAGCATAACTAATAAACATCATAATACTTAACGTTGCCCAGTTGGTTGTTTTAGTATTAGACTTTTTTTTCAATGCCAAAAGATAGAAGATTAAATATTCTTGAATAAAGCAGTGATATATATTGGAACACTTCACCCCAGCATTTCCCCAGGTGTTGTTTGGAACACTGATCTTGTGAAGTATTTTTGCTCCCTTTCTATTCTAACCCTCACCTCAAAAAAAAAAAACAAAAAACAAAAAACTAAAAAGAAATACTTGAACTGAATGCTTGGTTAAAATATTAAGTAAAATGAAGACTGTGAAAATGTAATTACATTTAGTGCTTACCGTGGTCTGAATGTGTTCCCCAAAATTCTTATGTTGAAATACTAACCCCCAAGGTGATGTATTAGGAAGTAGCCTTTTGGGAGGTGATTAAGTTATGGGGGTGGAGACTTCATGAATGGGATTTGTGCCCTTATAAAAGAGGCTCAAGGGAGCTTGTTCACCCCTTCCACCTTGTAGGAGTATGCAGCAAGAAGGTTCCATCTCTGAGGCAGGGAGCTAGAAACCTCACCGCAGTCTCCCAAGTAGCTGGGACTACAGGCGTCCACCACCACATCTGGCGAATTTTTTTTGTATTTTTAGTAGAGACAGGGTTTCACCATGTTAGCCAGGATGGTCTCAATCTCCTGACCTCATGATCTGCCTGCCTCGTTCTGCCAGAGTGCTGGGATTACAGGCGTGAGCCACCGCGCCTGGCCAGTTTATATTTCTTTCTCAGTAAATCCAGTGTCGTAATTCCTGAGTCACTCAGAAGGGAATGTTCTTAAACATCAAAGTCAAATGACCGATTTTTTTTTTACCTTTTATTTTATTCTTCCCTCATTTGGCAGTAATAGGCTAATGATACATTTAGTTTGCTTTATACTTAGGCCAGGTATACAATTTCCCCTTCTTACTGTTCCGATGAATTTTCTTCTTCTTTTTTGTCTCCTCAAATTAACCTTTATTATATCCAGATTTAAAAAAAATTCTCTTCAATATTGTTTTTGGCTTTTTTTTTTTTTTTGGTTGAATACTTTCATCATGGAGGCCTGCTGCAAACCATACTGGTTGCTCTCTTGGCCTGTGAACAGAGCCTGCCTTTTTACTAATTTCTTGGGATTGCTTCTCTGTTCCATGTGAATCATCTATCTTGGTGTTTTTATTTCTTTATTCTATTTTATTTATCTTGTCTTTGGTTTTGTTGGAGTTCACTCTCAAGTAAAATCTTAAAAAAGGATATATGCAATATAAAATGTGAATCCTTTGATGTCTGAAAATCTCAATTCCCCTTCTTCCTTTTACTGGTGTTAGTTTATCAGGGTATGAAATTGTAGGTCAGAATTTGGAGTATAGTCACCTCTTTGGTATCTGTGGGGGACTGGTTCCAGGACCCCCACAGATACCAAAATCCATGGATGCTCAAGTCTCTTATATAAAATGGCTTAGTATTTGCCTATAACTGTACTTCTTCCCATATATTTTAAATCACGTCTAGTTTACTTATTAATGCTGTATAAATAGTTGTTATACTGTATTTTTAAATTACATTTTTAAGGTTATTTAAATAGACTAGAAGTGTATATGTTGTACACAGAATGATATTTTGAAGTATGTATGCATGTAGAATCACTAAGTTGAGCTAGTTAACATATATTTTACCTTGGATACTCATTTTTTATATTGAGAATACTTCAAATTTAATCTTTTAGTGATTTTTCAAGTATTAAGATATTGTTATTAGGGTCTTCAAGTTGTACAGTAGATCTCTTGAACTTATTCCTCCTGCATGACTGAAATTTTGTATCCTTTGACCAGTATCTCCCCAGTTCCTCTTCACCCCACCCCATCCTCTTCCACTGATTCTTTTTCTTTTATTGGCACATAATATTTTACGTATTAGTGAGGTACATGTGAGTGTTACTTGCATAGACTGTGTAATGATCAAGTCAGGGTATTTGGGGGTATCCACCATCTTGAGTATTTATCATTTCTGTACATATGATTATCATTTCAAGTCCTCTTTTGTGATTACTTTGAAATATATAAAATATTGTTACTAAGTATCATCACTATCAAAATTATCAAAGATTAGAATTTATTTCATCTAACTGTATGTTTGTACCCATAACCAACCTCTCTTCATGTTCCCCTCACACCCAAAAGCCCTTTCCAGTCTCTGGTATCTATCATTCTATTCTCTGTGTACATGAGATTAAGTTTTTTAACTCCCCCATATGAGTGAGAACATGTGGTATTTATCATTCTGTGCCTGCCTTATTTCACTTAATTTAATGAATTCCAGTTCCATCCATGTTGCTGCAAATGATGTGATTTCATTTTTTATGACTGAATAGTATTCCTTTGTGTATATATACCACATTTTCTGTTTTTTTATTATACTTCAAGTTGTAGGGTACATGTGCACAATGTGCAGGTTTGTTACATATCTATACATGTGCCATGTTGGTGTGCTGCACCCATTAACTCATCATTTACATTAAGTGTATCTCCTATCCCTCCCCTCTCCCCTGACCCTATAACAGGCCCTGGTTTGTGATGTTCCCCTTCCTGTGTCCAAGTGTTCTCATTGTTCAATTCCCACCTATGAGTGAGAATATGCGGTGTTTGGTTTTTTGTCCTTGCGATAGTTTGCTGAGAATGTTGGTTTCCAGCTTCATCCATGTCCCTACAAAGGACGTGAACTCATGATTTTTTATGGCTGCATAGTATTCCATGGTGTATATGTGCCACATTTTCTTAATCCAGTCTATCATTGTCGGACATTTGGGTTGGTTCCAAGTCTTTGCTATTGTGAATAGTGCCGCAGTAAACATACATGCGCATGTGCCTTTATAGCAGCATGATTTATAATCCTTTGGGTATATACCCAGTAATGGGATGGCTTGATCAAATGGTAGTTCTAGTTCTAGATCCCTGAGGAATCACCACAATCACTTCCACAATGGTTGAACTAGTTTACAGTCCCACTAACAGTGTAAAAGTGTTCCTGTTTCTCCACAACCTTTCCAGCACCTGTTGTTTCCTGACTTTTTAATGATCACCATTCTAACTGGTGTGAGATGGTATCTCATTGTGGTTTTGATTTGCATTTCTCTGATGGCCAGTGATGATGAGCATTTTTTCATGTGTCTGTAGGCTGCATAAATGTCTTCTTTTGAGAAGTGTCTGTTCATATCCTTCACCCACTTGTTGATGGGGCTGTTTTTTTCTCGTAAATTTGTTTGAGTTCTTTGTAGATTCTGGATATTAGTCCTTGTCAGATGAGTAGATTGCAAAAATGTTCTCCCATTTTGTAGGTTGCCTGTTTATTCTGATGGTAGTTTCTTTTGCTGTGCAGAAGCTCTTTAGTTTAATTAGATCCCATTTGGCAATTTTGGCTTTTGTTGCCATTGCTTTTGGTGTTTTAGACATGAGATCCTTGCCCATGCCTATGTCCTGAATGGTATTGCCTAGGTTTTCTTCTAGGGTTTTTATGGTTTTAGGTCTAACATTTAAGTCTTTAATCCATCTTGAATTAATTTTTGTATAAGGTGTAAGGAAGGGGTCCAGTTTCAGCTTTCTACATATGGCTAGCCAGTTTTCCCAGCACCATTTATTAAATAGAGAATCCTTTCCCCATTTCTTGTTTTTCTCAGGTTTGTCAAAGATGAGATAGTTGTTGATGTGTGGCATTATTTCTGAGGGCTCTGTTCTGTTCCATTGATCTATATCTCTGTTTTGGTACCAGTACCATGCTGTTTTGGTTACTGTAGCCTTGTAGTATAGTTTGAAGTCAGGTAGCGTGATGCCTCCAGCTTTGTTCTTTTGGCTTAGGATTGACTTGGCAATGTGGGTTCTTTTGGTTCCATATGAACTTTAAAGTGGTTTTTTCCATCTGTGAAGAAAGTCATTGGTAGCTTGATGGGGATGGCATTGAATCTATAAATTACCTTGGGCAGTATGGCCATTTTCACGATATTGATTCTTCCTACCCATGAGCATGGAATGTTCTTCCATTTGTTTGTATCCTCTTTTATTTCATTGAGCAGTGGTTTGTAGTTCTTCTTGAACAGGTTCTTCACATCCCTTGTAAGTTGGATTCCTAGGTATTTTATTCTCTTTGAAGCAATTGTGGAGTTCACTCATGATTTGGCTTTCTGTTTGTCTATTATTGGTGTATAAGAATGCTTGTGATTTTTGCACATTGATTTTGTATCCTGAGACTTTGCTGAAGTTGCTTATCAGCTTAAGGAGATTTTGGGCTGAGACAATGGGGTTTTCTAGATATACAATCATGTCCCCTGCAAACAGGGACAATTTGACTTCCTCTTTTCCTAATTGAATGCCCTTTATTTCCTTCTCCTGCCTGATTGCCCTGGCCGGAACTTCGAACACTGTGTTGAATAGGAGTGGTGAGAGAGGGCATCCCTGTCTTGTGCCAGTTTTCAAAGGGAATGCTTCCAGTTTTTGCCCATTCAGTATGATATTGGGTGTGGGTTTGTCATAAATAGCTCTTATTATTTTGAGATATGTCCCATCAATACCTAATTTATTGAGAGTTTTTGGCATGAAGGGCTGTTGAATTTTGTCAAAGGCCTTTTCTGCATCTATTGAGATAATCATGTGGTTTTTGTCGTTGGTTCTGTTTATATCTGGATTATGTTTATTGATTTGCGTATGTTGAACCAGCCCTGCATCCCAGGGATGAAGCCTATTTGATCATGGTGGATAAGCTTTTTGATGTGCTGTGGATTCGGTTTGCCAGTATTTTTTATTGAGGATTTTTGCATCAATGTTCATCAGGGATATTGGTCTAAAATTCTCTTTTTTTGTTGTGTCTCTGCCAGGCTTTGGTATCAGGATGATGCTGCCCTCATAAAATGAGTTAGGGAGGATTCCCTCTTTTTCTATTGATTGGAATAGTTTCAGAAGGAGTGGTACCAGCTCCTCCTTGTACCTCTGGTAGAATTCGGCTGTGAATCCATCTGGTCCTGGACTTTTTTTGGTTGGTAAGCTATTAATTATTGCCTCAGTTTCAGAGCCTGTTATTGGTCTATTCAGAGATTCAACTTCTTCCTGGTTTAGTCTTGGGAGGCTGTATGTATTGAGGAATTTATCCATTTCTTCCAGATTTTCTAGTTTATTTGCATAGAGGTGTTTATAGTATTCTCTGATGGTAGTTTGTATTTCTGTGGGATCAGTGGTGATCTCCCCTTTATCATTTTTTATTGTGTCCGTTTGATTCTTCTCTCATTTCTTCTTTATTAGTCTTGCTAGTGGTCTATCAGTGTTGTTGATCTTTTCAAAAAACTAGCTCCTGGATTCACTGATTTTTTTGAAGGGTTTTTTGTGTCTCTATCTCCTTCAGTTCTGCTCTGATATTACTTATTTCTTGCCGTCTGCTGGCTTTTGAATGTGTTTGCTCTTCTCTAGTTCTTTTAATTGTGATATTAGGGTGTCAATTTTAGAACTTTTTCTGCTTTCTCTTGTGGGCATTTAGTGCTATAAATTTCCCTCTACACACTGCTTTGAATGTGTCCCAGAGATTCTGGTATGTTGTATCTTTGTTCTCATTGGTTTCAAAGAACATCTTTATTTCTGCCTTTATTTCGTTATGTACCCAGTAGTCATTCAGGAGGAGGTTGTTCAGTTTCCATGTAGTTGAGCAGTTTTGAGTGAGTTTCTTAATCCTGAGTTCTAGTTTGATTGCACTGTGGTCTGAGAGAAAGTTTGTTATAATTTCTGTTCTTTTACATTTGCTGAGGAGTGCTTTACTTCCAACTATGTGGTCGGTTTTGGAATAAGTGTGGTGTGGTGCTGAGAAGAATATATATTCTGTTGAATTCGGGTGGAGAGTTCTGTAGATATCTATTAGGTCCACTTGGTGCAGAGCTGAGTTCAGTTCCTGGATATCCTTGTTAACTTTCTGTCTCGTTGATCTGTCTAATGTTGACAATGGGGTGTTAAAGTCTCCCGTTATTATTTTGTGGGAGTCTTAGTCCCTTTGTAGGTCTCTAAGGACTTGCTTTATGAATCTGGGTGCTCCTGTATTGGGCACATATATATTTAGGATAGTTAGCTCTTCTTGTTGAATTGATCCCTTTACCATTATGTAATGGCCTTGTTTGTCTCTTTTGATCTTTGTTGGTTTAAAGTCTGTTTTATCAGAGATTAGGATTGCAACCCCTGCCTTTTTTTGTTTTCCATTTGCTTGGTATATCTTCCTCCATCCCTTTATTTTGAGCCTATGTATGTCTCTGCATGTGAGATGGGTTTCCTGAATACAGCACACTGATGGGTCTTGACTCTTCATTCAGTTTGCCAGTCTGTGTCATTTAATTGGAGCATTTAGCCCATTTACATTTAAGGTTAATATTGTTATGTGTGAATTTGACCCTGTCATTATGATGTTAGCTGGTTATTTTGCTCGTTAGTTGATGCACTTTCTTCCTAGCCTCGATGGTCTTCACAATTTGGCATGTTTTTGCAGTGGCTGTTACAGGTTGTTCCTTTCCATGTGTAGTGCTTCCTTCAGGAGCTCCCGTAGGGCAGGCCTGGTGGTGACAAAATCTCTCAGCATTTGCTTGTCTGTAAAGTATTTTATTTCTCCTTCACTTATGAAGCTTAGTTTGGCTGGCTATGAAATTCTGGGTTGAAAATTCTTTTCTTTAAGAATGTTGAATATTGGCCCGCACTCTCTTCTGGCTTGTAAAGATTCTGCCGAGAGATCAGCTGTTAGTCTGATGGACTTCCCTTTGTGGGTAACCCGACCTTTCTCTCTGGCTGCCCTTAACATTTTTTCCTTCATTTCGACTTTGGTGAATCTGACAATTATGTGTCTTGGAGTTGCTCTTCTCAAGGAGTATCTTTGTGGTGGTCTCTGTATTTCCTGAATTTGAATGTTGGCTTGCCTTGCTAGACTGGGGAAGTTCTCCTGGATAATATCCTGCAGAGTGTTTTCCAACTTGGTTCCATTCTCCCCGTCACTTTCAGGTACACCAATCAGACATAGATTTGGTCTTTTCACATAGTCCCATATTTCTTGGAGGCTTTGTTCGTTTCTTTTTATTCTTTTTTCCCTAAACTTTTCTTCTCGCTTCATTTCATTCATTTAATCTTCCATCACTCATACCCTTTCTTCCAGTTGATCAAATCGGCTACTGAAGCTTGTGCATTCGTCACGTAGTTCTTGTGCCATGGTGTTCAGTTCCATCAGGTCCTTTAGGGATTTCTCTGCATTGGTTATTCTAGTTCGCCATTTGTCTAATCTTTTTTTTGAAGGTTTTTAACTTCTTTGCCATGGGTTCGAACTTCCTCCTTTAGCTTGGAGAAGTTTGATTGTCTGAAGCCTTCTCTCAACCCGTTAAAGTCATTCTCTGTCCAGCTTTGTTCTGTTGTTGGTGAGGAGCTGTGTTCCTTTGGAGGAGGAGAGGCTCTCTGATTTTTAGAATTTTCAGTTTTTCTGGTCTGTTTTTCCCCCATCTTAGTGGTTTTATCTACCTTTGGTCTTTGATGATGGTGATGTACAGATGGGGTTTTGGTGTTTATGTCCTTTCTGTTTGTTAGTTTTCCTTCTAACAGTCAGGATCCTCAGCTGCAGGTCTGTTGGAATTTGCTGGAGGTCCACTCCAGACCCTGTTTGCCTGGGTATCAGCAGTGGAGGCTGCAGAACAGCGGATATTGGTGAACAGCCAATGTTGCTGCCTGATCGTTCCTCTGAAAGTTTTGTCTCAGAGGAGTACCTGGCCGTGTGAGGTGTCAGTCTGCCCCTACTGGGGGATGCCTCCCAGTTAGGCTACTCGGGGGTCAGGGACCCACTTGAGGAGGCAGTCTGTCTGTTCTCAGATCTCAAGCTGCATGCTGGGAGAACCACTACTCTCTTCAAAGCTGTCAGACAGGGACATTTAAGTCTGCAGAGGTTTCTGCTGCCTTTTGTTTGGCTGTGCCCTGCCCCCAGAGGTGGAGTCTACAGAGGCAGGCAGGCCTCCTTGAGCTGTGATGTGCTCCACCCAATTCGAGCTTCCAAGCAGGTTTGTTTACCTGCTCAAGCCTCAGCAATGGCGGGCACCCCTCCCCCAGCCTTGCTGTCGCCTTGCAGTTTGATTTCAGACTGCTGTGCTAGCAATGAGTGAGGCTCCGTGGGCGTAGGACCCTTTGAGCCAGGCGTGGGATATAATCTTCTGGTGTGCCGTTTGATAAGACCGTTGGAAAAACGCAGTATTAGGGTGGGAGTGACCCGATTTTCCAGGTGCCATCTGTCACCCCCTTCCTTGGCTAGGAAAGGGAGTTCCCTGACTCCTTGCGCTTCCCAGGTGAGGCGATGCTTTGCCCTTCTTTGGCTCACACTCTGTGTGCTGCACCCAGTGTTCTGCACCCACTGTCCGACAATCCCCAGTGAGATGAACCCGGTACCTCTATTGGAAATGCAGAAATCACCTGTCTTCTGCGTCGCTCACACTGGGAGCTCTAGGCTGGAGCTGTTCCTATTTGGCTATCTTGCCCCAGCCCCCTATACCACATTTTCTTAATTCTTGTGTCCATTGATAGATGCTTAGGTTGATGACGTGTCTTTGCTATTGTCAGTAGTGCTGTGATAAACACACAAGTGCAGGCCTTCCTTTTATATGCTTATTTCTTTTCCTTTTTATAAAGACCCAGTTAATGGCATTGCAGGATCATACAGTAGTTCTAATTTTAGTTTTCTGAGAAATCTCCATACTCTTTGCCATAGTGGTTATACTAATTTACATTCCTACCAACAGTGTATAAAAGTTCCTGTTTCTCCGGATCCTCTGCAGCATGTTTTTTTTTTTTTTTTTTTGTCTTATTAATAGCCATTCTGGCCAGACGCAGTGGCTCATGCCTGTAATCCCAGCACTTTGGGAGGCTGAGGATGAGCTCAGGAGTTGGAGACCAGCATGGCCAATGTGATGAAACCCTGTCTCTACTAAAAATACAAAAATTATCTGGGCATGGTGGCGTGTACCTTTAGTCCTAGCTACTTGGGAGGCTGAGGGATGAGAATCATTTGAACCTGGGAGGCAGAGGTTGCAGTGAGCCAAGATTGTGCCACTGAACTCCAGCCTGGGCAATAGAGCCTTGTCCAAAAGAAAGCCATTCTAACTGTGGTAAGATGATATCTCACTGTGGCTTTGATTTCCATTTCTTTGATGATTAGTGAGGTTGGACATTGTTTCATATACCTGTTGGCCATTTGTATGTCTTTGAGAATTTGAATTCATGTCCTTTGCCCATGTTTTAATGTTTTTTTTTTTGTTTGTTTGTTTTTGTTGTTGTTGTTGTCTTTTGTTCTTTTAACCATTGAGTGCCTTGTGTATTCTTGTGTATTCTTTATATTAGTCCTTTGTTGAATGAATAGTTTGCATATATTTTCTCCCATTCAACCACTTGTCTCTTAATTGTTGATTGTTTCCTTCTGCCTTTGTGCTGTGCATAAGCCTGTTAGTTTATTATAGTCCCATCTGTCCATTTTTGTTTTTGTTACCTGTGCTTTTGAAGTCTTAACCAGAAAATCTTTGCTTAGACCAATGCCCTATAGTGTTCCCCTTATATTTTCTTCTAGTAGTTTTATAGTTTTGGGCCTTATGTTTAGGTGTTTAATCCATCTTGAGTTTAATCCATATGGTGAGAGATAAGGGTCTGGTTTCATTCTTCCGCATATGGATATCCAGTTTTCCCAACTCGATTTATTGAGAGTGTTCTTTCCTCCAATGTATGTTCTTGGAAACCTTGAAAATCAGTTGGCTGTAAATACATGGATTTATTTCTGGGTTCTCTACTCTGTTTTATTGGTCTGTGTGTCTATTTTTATACCAATACTATGCTGTTTTGGTTACTATAGCCTTGTAATATATTTTGAAGTCAGATAATGTGATGCCCCCACCTTGATCTTGCTCAGGATTGCTTTGGCTAGTTCTGGCTCTTCTTTGGTTTCATATGAATTTTAGGATTGTTTTTCTATTTCTGTGAAAAATTATGTTGGTATTTTGATAGCAATTGCATTGAATTTATAGATTGCTTTAGGTAATATGGACTTTTTAACAATATTATTCCAATCCTGTGATGATGGGATGGGATCTTTCTGTTTATAGCCTCTTTAACTTCTTTTATCAGTGTTTTGTAGTTTTCCTTGTGAAGGCCTTTCACCTCCTTGTTTATATTTATTCTTTGGTGTTTTACTGTTTTCTTTGTGGCTATTGCTCTGACTAGGACTTTTAGGTGTGTGGTTTTTTTTTTTTTTTCCTGAGACAGAGTTTCGCTCTTGTTGCCCAAGCTGGAGTGCAATGACACCATCTCGGCTCACTGCAACTTCCGCCTCCCGGGTTCAAGCGATTCTCCTGCCTCAGCCTTGTGAGTATCTGGGATTACAGATGTGTGCCACCACGCCTGGCTAATTTTGTGTATTTTTAGTAGAAATGGGGTTTCACCATGTTAGTCAGGCTGATCTCGAACTCCTGACCTCAGGTGATCCACCCGCCTTGGCCTCCTAAACTGCTGGGATTACAGGCTTGAGCCACCGTGCCTGGCCTTTTAGTACTATATTTGATAGGAGTCATAAAAGTGTCTTGTTCCAGTTCTTAGAGGAAAGGTTTACAATTTCATTTTGGTATGATGTTAGCTGTGGGTCTGTCAGAAATAGCCTTTATGATGTTGAAGAATGTTCCTTCTGTATTTAGTGTTTTGAATGTTTTTATAATGAAGGGATGTTTAATTTTATCTTCGTCTATTGAGATGATCTGTTTTTTGTCCTTCATTCTGTTCATATGATGTATCACATTTATTGATTTGCATATGTTGAACCATCCTTTTATCTGTGGGATAAAACCCACTTGAATATAGTTTATTACTTTATGATATGCTTTTTGATTCAGTTTGCTAGTATTAATATTCGTTGAGTTTTACATCCATATTCATCAGAGACATTGGCCTATAGTTTTGTTTTTTTGTTGTGTTTTTGTCTGGTTTTGGTATCAGAATAATGCTGACCTTATAGAATGAGTTAGGGAAAATTTCCTCCTCTTCATTTTTTTGGGAATAGTTTGAGGAGAATTGGTGTTAATTCTTTATAAGTTTGCTAGAATTTGGCAGTAAAGCTGTCTCAGTCTGGGCTTTTCTCTGTTTGGAGACTTTTTATTACTGATTTAATTTTGGTACTTGTTATTGGTCTGTTCAGGTTTTTGCTTTCTTTCTCATTCAACCTTGGTAGATTGTATTTGTCTAGGAATTTATCCATTTCCTCTAGGTTTTTTCAGTTTGTTAGCATGTTGTTCATAATAGCCTCTGACGATCTTTTATATTTCTGTGCTATCAGTTGTAATTTCTCCTTTTTCATTTCTGATTTTCTTTATTTGGGTCTTCCTTTTTTTCTTGGTTAGTCTAGCTAGTAGTTTATCCATTTTGCTTATCTTTACAAATACCCAACTTTTTGCTTCACTAATCTTTGTATTGTTTTTCTAGTCTCTATTTTGTTTAGTTCTGCTCTGATCTTTATTATTTATTTCCTTCTAATTTTGGGTTTGGTTTGTTCTTGCTTTTCTGTTTCCTTGAGGTGCATTGTTAGATTGTGTGAAATTTTCCTACTACTTTTATATAGATGTCTGTTGCTATAAAATTCCCTCTCAGCACTGCTTTTGTTGTATTACATGGGGTTTGGTGTGTTGTGTTTGTGTTTTCACTTGTTTCAAGAAAACTTCTTTATTTCCTTCTTAATTTCTACTTTGTCCCAGTGGTCTGTCATTTAGGAACATGTCATTTAATTTCCATGTATTTGTATAGTTTCCAGAGTTCCTTTTTAATTTCCATGTATTTGTATAGTTTCCAAAGTATTATTGATTTCTAGTTTTATTCCATTGTGTTCTGATAAGATATTTGGTATAGTTTCAAGTATTTTAAATTTGTGGCCTAACATATGGTGTAACCTGGAGAATATTCTATGCCAGTGAGAAGAATGTATATTCTACAGCTGTCAGATAAGATTTTCTGTAAATATCTGTTATGTCTATTTGGTCTAAAGTACAGTTTAAGTCTAATGTTTCTGGCCAGGTGCTGTGGCTCACACCTGTAATCTCAGCACTTTGGGAGGCCAAGGTGGGAGGTTTTCTTGAGACCAGGATTTCGAGACCAGCCTGGCCAACATGGCAAAATCCTGTCTCTACAAAAAATACAAAAATTAGCTGGGTGTGGTGGAATGTGCCTGTAGTCCCAGCTACTCGGAGGCTGAGGCATGAGAATCACTTGAGCCTGGGAGGTGGAGGTTGCAGTGAGCTGAGATTGCGCCTTTGTTCTCCAGCCTGGGTGACACAGCGAGACCCTGTCTCAAATAAAAAAAATCTGATGTTTCTTTGTTAATTTTCTGTCTGGATGATCTGTCTGATGCTGGGAGAGCAATGTTTTGTTTAAGTCCGTAACTATTACTGCATTGGTGTCTGTGTCTCCCTTTGGATCTAATAATATTTGCTTCAGATATTTCTTCTAGGTGCTTCATTGTTGGGTACATATGTATTTAGAATTGTTATAATCTCTTGCTGAATTGATTCCTTTATTGTTTTGTAATGTTCTTCTTTGCCTCTGTATACTGTGTTTGACTTAAAGTCTGTTTTATCTCATGTAAGTACTCTTGCTTGCTTTTGGTTTCTCTTCACATGGAGTATCTTTTTTCAACTTAAAAAGCTGAAGAGTAAAGCTTTCAGTCTATGTGTCTTTACAGGTGATGTGATTTTCTTGTAGGCAGTATATAGTTTGGTTCTGGTTTTTAATTCACTCAGCCAGTCTACACCTTTTAAGCGGAAAGTTTAATCTCTCTGTGTTCTAGGTCATTGTTCATATGTGGTGAACTTATTTTTGGCATTTAAAAAATTGTTTTCTGGGGCCGGGCACGGTGGCTTATGCCTGTAATCCCAGCACTTTGGGAGTCTGAGGAGGGTGGATCATGAGGTCAAGAGCTCGAGACCATCCTGGCCAACATGGTGAAACCCTGTCTCTACTAAAAATACAAAAATTAGCTGGGTGTGGTGGCGCGCGCCTGTAGTCCCAGCTACTCAGGAGGCTGAGGCAGGAGAATCACTTGAACCCAAGAGGCAGAAGTTGCAGTGAGCTGATATCATCAACATCATTGTGCCACTGCACTCCAACCTGGCGACAGAGCAAGACTCTCAAAAAAAAAAAATTGTTTTCTGGTTATTTTGTATGTCTCATGTTTCTTTCTAGTTTATTGTGGTTTGTTGGTTTTTTTTTTGTTTTGTTTTTTTTTGTAGTGGTAACATTTGAATCCTTTTTGTTCCTTATTTGTATTTGCTTTACCAGTAAGTTTTATACTTTTGTATTTTCATGGTGATAGGTTTTGTCCTTTCCCTTCCATTTATAGGACTCCCTTAAGCATTTCTTGTAGGTCTGTTCTAGTGGTGATGAATTTTCTCAGTTTTTGCTTATCTAGAAAAGACTTTATTTTCCCTTTTGTTACGAAGGAATACTTTGCTGGGTATAGTATTCTTGGCTGATAGTTTGTTTTTTTTGTTTTGTTTTTGTTTTGTTTTGTTTTGTTTTTTTAGCACTGCAATATATTATCTCATTGTCTCCTGGGCTATAAAGTTTCTGCTGAGAAATCTGTGGTTATTTTGATGGGGATTCCCTTTTATGTAACTAGATTTTTTTTTCTTGTTGTTTTTGGAATCCTCTGTTTTTGACTTTAAACAGTTTGACTATAATGTGCTGTGGAGAATACCTTTTTGAATTTTACGCATTTGGGATCTCTGAATTTCCTGTATTTGGATGTTTAAGTCTCTTGTTATATGTGAGAACTTTTCAGCTATTATTTTATTAAATAGGTTTTCTTTTTCTTTTTTTTAAATAATTGGGGTTTTGTTGTTTTTTTTTGTGATGGAATCTCACTGTGTTGCACAGACTGGAGTGCAGTGGCATGATCTTAGTTCACTGCAACTTCCACCTCCCAAGTTCAAGCAATCCTCCTACCTCAGCTCCCCAAGTAGCTGGGATTACAGGCATGCGCCACCAAGCCTGGCTAATTTTTGTATCTTTAGTAGAGACGGGGTTTCACCATGTTGTCCAGGCTGGTCTCGAACTTCTGACCTCAAGTGATCTGCCTGCCTCAGCCTCTCAAAGTGGTACAGGCATGAGCCACTGCACCCGGCCATTAAATAGGTTTTCAGTGCCTTTAGCCTTCTCTTCTTTTTTCTGGAATACCCAGAATTCAAATATTTGGTTACACTATGGTGCTCTGTACATCACATAGGCTTTGTTCATTCTTATTATTTTTTCTTTTTTTTGCATGTGTGTGTTACTGAGTTATTTCAAAAGGCCTGTGTTTAGGTTCTGAAATTCTTTCCTCTGGTTGATCTAGTCTGTTGTTGAAGCTTTCAGATGTGTTTGTAATTTCATGTATTGAATTCTTTCATTCTAGGATACCTGGGTTTTTAAAAATACCTATCTATCTATCTATCTATCTATCTATCTATCTATCTATCTATCTAGTAATTTCTCATTTATATCCTGAATTGCTTTTCTGATTTCTTTGTATTGTTCATCTGTGTTCTCTTGCATCTCACTGAGCTTTAATAACATTATTTTGAATTATTTCTCCAGCATCTTATAAATTTCATTTTTATTGGAATATAATGCTGGAGAATTATTTTGTTTCTCTGGCTGTGTCACATTTTCTTTCTTTTTTATGTTTTTTGTCTCCTTTACATTGATATTTGTATGTCTGGTGTAACAATCACTTCTTCTGATTTTTTGTATTGGCTTTTGTAGGGCCAGACTTTTTCCTAAAAGTGTGCCTGTGTTGTTGGTTGGGTAGGGCACTTTAGCTTTGATTCTGGGTGCATGCAGTAGTGTAGTCTCTATGCAGTTTCTTAGACTTTAAGCAGCTTCAGTGGTGTTTGTGATTTCATCAGTCGCTTAGGCTGTAGTTGTTAGTGGAGACTGTGGTGAGGTTTTGCTGGATATAGGGATGCCAGGTGGGCCAGGCCGTCCTCAGGGCCCAGTAGTGGGAATAGTGAGCTGAGTGTGCCTGTCCTTGGGTCTCTGGGTGTCCATACACGGGTACAGGTATTAACAGGTCCGAGTAGCCTATTCTTGGGCTTCTGGGTAACTTTGTTGGGTGCTGGTAGTTGCATTGGTGGGCCAGGCGGGTGGGTTGTTGTGCCCCTGGGCAGTGTGTGTATCATGAGCAATGTCTGTAGTGGTGGTAAGACAACTTTTGAGTTTCCAGGTGGCACACACTTGTTTTGGAAATGGCTGTGTTGGGCTGGGTGGGCCAGTTCCCAGGCCCTCAGGGCACGTGCCAGCGAGTACCAGCTGTGATGTTAGTGGCAGGCTAAGTGAGCCCATCTTCAGGCCCCTAGGAGGAGTGCACAGATGCCAGCAGTGGTGGATGGGTTGGGCTGATCCCCACGCCCTTGGATGGTGTGTTTGGAAATAGCCTGTCCTCAGTCTGTCCTGTGGTATGCATGGGTGCAGTTTGTGGTGGACAGATCGGGGTGACCCTTAGGTTTCCTGGCAGAGCACTTGGATGGTGGCAGCTGCATTGTGGTGAGTGGAGAGAGCCCATCCTCAGGGCACACACTAGTGCACTGTTGTCCTTTTGCTGGTGGGGATGGGGTTGCTGTCAGTGCTCACAGCTGCAGGTAGGCAACTCGTAGGCTCTAGGGAGGACAAACTTCAACCTCTGGCATTGGTGGCAACAGCAGAAATAGTTCTCAGAGTGTGTGCAAGTGCATGGCCGCTGTGCTGCTGAGGGGCAGAGAGTTGCTGCCAGTGGCGCACGCTTGGGTCCCTGGTGGCAGCAGCAGTGTGGCACACTGGAAAGCCACGCAGTTGTGCTGTGGCCCTGCTGCTGATGGAGGCAGGGTTTTTATCAATGGCAGTAGCTTTAGGCAGGCAGGTTTCAGGCTCTGGGGAACTTGCAGCACTTTGGCTCCCTTTGTCCTGGGGGCAGCCTCCCTTGTGTGCTACAGTGCCCTATCCTTGGGGTGCAGGATACTGTGTGTGCTAGAGTGTTGGCGACCCTGTCATTCCACTGAGTCCAACTGATACTATGCCACTGCAGTCATTCTGGTGAATGCAGGGGAATATCAGTGCAGCTTCAGGGATGTGGAGATGCAGGGGCTGTTGAGCCCTAGAGCAGAAGGCCTAGTCTGGTGGGGCTGGATTTTGAAATGGTGCTGTGCTGCACAGCTTGGATTTCAGGGACTGTGTGTGGTACTCGGCATGAGCTCCCTCTCTAGAGCAATGCTAACGTGCTATGTCTAGGCAGCTCCTTATGCTAGCTAGTCTGAGGGTTCTGTCCTGTGGCTAATGTTGCAGGAGTTTGCAGTGGGAATGTGGATACCTGGGGATCCCTCACCCTTTTCCTACACTGGAGAGCCTCTTTGGGCACCCAGCTGAGCTGGCTGCCAGACTTCCTTCTCCTTCCATGCCTCAGGTATTTCCTGTCACTTCTCTATTCCATTCCAGTGTTCTCTCTTAGGTGATCTATTCAAAGTGTGATTATCTACATGCTATTTTGGTTCTTTGTGGAGGAGGCAAATGTCAGATGCCTCTCGTCTGCTGTCTTGAAGCCCCTTCTCTTCTCTATTTGTATTATTTTTTATTGTCGTCGGTTTTTTTTTCCAAATATTGTGATCTGTGGTTGATTGATTCTGTGGATTCAGAACTCAAAGTTACAGAGGAACTACTGCATATTGCTTTCTAAGTATCAATTAATATCAATATATTATCTTTTAATGTTGTTGGTGAGAAGTCTGAAGGAAATTTCATTTTGTTCCCTTTGTTGGTAACCTGATTTTTTTCCTATGGAAACTTGCTTTTTTCCCCCCTTTATCTTTGGTGTTCTGACAATCACAATATAATGCATTTACATGTGAGGCTCTTTTCAATTATTGTTTTGTTAAGGTTCTCTGAGAAAGATTCCAAGATTGAATTAGACAATGAAGAGATTTATTGAGGAAGAACACCTGTGAAGGATTAAGGGGCGAGAGAGCAAAATTAGATTGGAGAGGACCTTCAGACAGTGATTCAGGTCTGTCATCAGTGAATGGAGAGAGAGAAGGAAGAAAAATTGGGTGTAAACAGTCTTAGTGCATCTCTGAGAAAGTCTCAGGCAGGGCAGTGGCAATTCCCAGGGTAAAAATTGCCTGTTAGAATAGTCCCTCATTAGGTAGGAATGGCTCTATTCTGGTTCCCCTGCTGTGTTCTGTCCTTGGCTTGGAGAATCTCCCAGGAGGAACCTGGTTTTTGTGTGCGTGCTGAAGGCTAAAGAGCTGTACTCCTCATAGCAGGATTTTTGCAGAGGAGAGACATGATTTGGTGTACCGTGGCTGCCACCTTGTGTTAAGGCACTTACTCTGAAGACTCATTTTCTGAAATTCTGGGAATTTTTTTTTTTAATCTTTGGAAAATTCCTTTTCTACTTTTCTTATATTTTTAGTCTCTACTTTTTTTCTTTTTCTTTTCTTTTTTTTGTTTTTTTTTTTGGTAATTTTTGACCCATAGGTAATTTAGTCTTTCAACTTTTGTTCTGAAAATTTTTTTCAATTATATATTCCAGTCATTCTCTTGAAATTTTTTTCAGTAAACGTACGTTTAATCTTCAAGAACATTTTTATTATACTTGTTTCTTTAGTTCAAACTTTGTTTCACAGATGTTGTCCTTTTTGTAAAGATTTATTATCTTCTTCAATCTCTCTATATTAGAGCTTTCTAAAAGTTGTCTTCTAAATTATCTGTTTCCTCTGGAGTTAATAATTAAATTCCATTTGCTTCTCTTGGGTCTTCTGTCCTCACCATGCTTGCTAAGTCTGAAGTTATCCATGTTTCAGAAAGATGAACTAGTTAACTAGTACTGGCTCATATTTTTTTAAATGTAAGATGGACTGTTTTCCTGTTACATGGCTTTCTCAAGTGAGAATTCAGACTGGGAGATCTTTTTTCTTGTGGGTAGGGCTTGGGGAGGGGAATCTGTGACTGACAGGGTTTGCCTTGGGTTGAGCAGATAGGGATCTGGTTGGCAGGGTGAAGGCTGTTCAGATGCCGGAAAGAGATCTAGTCACACTAGAAGCCCTTGCTTGTTCCAGTTTAATTTCTTTAGGGAAGATCTGTCCGGTGTTTTAGCTAGAGGCAAATCCAGGCTCACTGCCTTGTGCTTGGGATTATAGGACTAGAATGGTAGTACCTACAATTAGGTATTCTATATACAGATCTTTAATCTCCCTCTTTTCACACTCATCCTTAATTCTGTGTATAGTATAGGGTACACATCTTCAGGTTCCATCAGGTAGACTGGCTTCCAGCCCCTGGTAACAGATTCTAGGCTGTGGCTTTCTCTAGTTATTTTATCTTCAACCTAATCCTCTCTGCTCCTCCTCTCCTCCAAAAAAATGGAAAACCTCTTATTTGTTGGTGGCCTCCTTTATTCTTTTTACTGTTATGGGATTTCAGTCAGCTCTTTGTGTTTTTTTCAGTGGGGTCTCAGGAGGTGGGCAGATGATAAATGCATGTGCTTTGTCTGCCATCTCAAAGCTTCAGTTTTCTATTGTTAATTGTTACCACCTTCTGAAGTGATAGCGACATGAATAGGTAAAAGTTCAACTGAGCATTATTTTGTTTTGTTTTGTTTTTCTCCCCCCTATGTTGGCAGTTGTTTTAAAAAACAACACCCCGTTTATTAGTTTCTTCTTTGTTCATCATTTTGCTTAATAGAAGTTACACAAAATTGGGGGCGATATATTGTCTTTGCAGACTGTCATTTGCAGAGGAGTCATGAATAATGATTCCAAAGCCCCTAGTTTAGCTCCTGAATCAGACAAAGAATAAATGACAACATAAGAATGAATTTTGTTTACAGCAATATTATAATACAACATTGAATTACTGCAGTGAAGTGGTTGCAGTTTTCACAATAAAATATTACTAGCTCAAACACTAGACAAACTAAAATCACCCGACTGCTTACAAACCGAAGTGATCAGTGCAAGCAGTTGTTGCCTCAATAGCGAAAAGCAAAATCGGTAAGGCTTTTCTGGCAGTCTCTGACATGAACGCTCCATCTCTGCTCAGTGAGGACCTGGGCAGCCACACTTTGAATCTTGGTCTTCCTTTTTATCTAAAAGGGTGAAGTAGATCCCCAGCTTTCTCAGTTCTCCCACCAGGTCCTCATTCTGGCACATCTGCAGAAGAATGTTACAGCCCCTGACAAACTCTCCATTGAGGTATGCTTGTGGGATGGTGGGCCGGTTGGAATAGTCTTAATGCCCTGTCGGAGCTTGAGGTCACCCATCACTTTGTAGGCCAGATTGTCATGGAGACTGCGCAGTTGTAGGATATGCACCACCGTGTTGCTGAAGCCGCATTGGGGCTGCTCCGGCATCCTCTTGAGGAAGTCCAGCACCTTGTCCTTCACCAGCGCCTCTCTGCTGCCCGAGTCTGTCGCACGTGCTGCATGCCCAGCACAGCAGAGCCACCACTTCGCTGCTCATCCCCACACATTTGCTGGAGCCCACAATGGCCCAGGCCCTCGAGCATTATTTTGAACTGAAATACAGTAGACTTGAAAATTTCAAGAAAGACTACTTCTGGATTCTATTTGGATAACTTTTCCCGTTGCTTTGATCTTACAGTCTTTTAAATAGAAAACTAACACGTGGTCCTTGAAGAAAAGTTGGAAAACGGTCAGATAGAAGAAAAATCAATAATCCAAGGCCATCACCAAAGCAGAATTGCATTTTGCATTTACATATTTCCTTCAAACTTTTATTCAAGTATCTTTTGAATTGTTGTAATTATGTGTGTCTGGAATTTTACTTTTTTTTCCTGAAACTTAATCCTCTAACGTAAATCATTTTTATGTTACGTAGTCATTTGTAAACTTCACTTTTAGTGTTTGTAAATGGTCCATTTTGTGAATATAGTTTACTTGACTATTCTTTTCTTGGTGAGCACTTACGCTGTTTTCATTTTTTAAAAGGATTTTTAAATATATATGATGATGTAATATTAAATATCTTTATTTATTCACTTTTGTTTTCTGGATTTAGGATAAGTTTAGGAATGTATTCCCAGAATTGGGGCCAGAATTTGGGGAAGGGGAGAGAGGGTAGTTAAGAAAAAGGGAGAAGATCATATTCTTTGGAACCAGGTTGGTTGCAAAAAAAGACAAGACTTTTTTAGGGCCAATTTGTAGACTTGGTTAGATGCTACACAATTATTTTGTGAATATAGTGAGTGATTTTTAGTCTGTTTTTGCAGATGTGGTTCAGGGTTCATCGTGTGTCTATTTAGACGAGAATCCAGTGTTATAATCATGACAAACTAAACCTCCTGCTTTTTCAAATTAGCAGCTACTTTTACAGATTTTGATATGAGTGCTACAAAAGAGATGATGGGTTTTTTGTGTAATAGGAGAATGCTCTGATAATTTTGTATAAAGAGCAGTTAAGCATGTTATACATTGTGTTAGGTTTCTTGCTTGCAAGACGGAAATACGACTCAAACTGGTTTGAGAAAAATAACTGAATATTGTTTTTTGTGACTAAGAGTTTCAAGGTTTCACAGTTACATCTAATGACTTAAATTATATTATGAAAACATGGTCTTTCTGTCTTAGTCTCCTGGGCTTTACTTTTCCTCTGTTAATTTCATTCTCAGGCACATTATCTTTCTGTGTAGGGGCAACATCTCTAAGCTTACATGGTATTTAGTATTTACTACTTCAGAAGGGGGAGAGAGTCCTTTTTTCTTTTTTTTTTAAATTGGAAAATTTTAGCAAAAGTCTTAAGGATGGCTCTAACTCTTCTGTCTTGGGGTGAATTTCCATCTCTGAACAAATCCCCTTGGCTGGGGTATGGGATCGGGAGCTTCCCCCTGTGGCTGGACAGGGTAATCCTCATCTGAATGATGTGGAATAAATTTCTTATAAGTAGAGGGATTCTGTTATAAGAATGGAGTACTGTGTAGGCAGAAACAGTAGGGTCTATTTCACATAGGAATAAGCTTATTCCTCTTTTCCTAGAAAGCCAAGTGTGTGTTTTAAAGGTTCCCACTTGCTGAGTAGTATTGACTCAGTTTTGTGTGAAAACGTAAAAAAAAAAGTTGATGCAGGATAAATATGAAGTCTCATTTTTCAATTTCAATTATTTTAGAAGTTGTTCTTACATCAAAGATCTATGAGTTATAAGTGAGTAGAGCATAAGGTGAGTCAACAGTATAATGTGGAAGCTAGAACAATTAAGGATGTATATAATAGAAGTTCAGTTTCCAAATCGGACCAGGCAGCAGTTTTTGGAAAACTTTGTTCTGTTCTGGGTACCATATGTTAAATGTGCCTGCAGATTGCATGAACTTCGTAAATTTTAAATAACTTGAGGGTATGTTTAGTTGAGAAGAGGAATCTAAGAGTATAGGAAAGGAAAATATCCTTGGTGCCAGAATTTTAAAAAGGATATTAAAACCTTTTTAATGAAAAATGATAAAAGGATATTAAAACCAGATATAAGTTGTATGGACTAGTGTTTTAATGTATAAATGGATATAGAGATTCCTGCACAAATCTAGGACTTTTAAAGGAGTGCTAAAAACTGAATGTAACATATCTGGAGTACTTGGCAGAAACTGAACTGTAGTAATACTTAAGACTAGTTGTGACTCACAGCTTGTCCATAGACAAGCAATTCCTACTGAAATTGAGGATGCAATAAAAAGTGTGTGTATTGTATATTTCAAAATAGATAGAAGAGAGTAATTCAAATGTTCAAGGGGATTGGGTTTAGAGATGGAAATTTACCCCAAGACAGAAGAGTTAGAGCCGTCCCTAGCACAAAGACAAATATTTAAGGTGATGGATATCCCAGTTACATGGATTTGGTCTTGAACTACATGAACATATTAAATTAGCACATGTACCCTAAATACGTACATTTATTGTGTTTCAATGAAGAAGTGAAAAAGGATTTAATTATGGTTTTAGGATATCACTAAGAAAATATTCCAGCATGTCATGTCTTTTTAAGTGTATTTATCTGTAATTGCTTTATCAATGTAAATACATACTGGCTTTCTATGTTAAAAAGCAAAAAATTCTTGGCCAAAAAAAAAAAAAAAAAGCATGCCACTGAGGGAAAACCAGAAGACATAATAGTCTGGAAAATTAGCAACCTACCTAATTGAATTAAAAGAAAAACTTGAATGAGATTTTAAAGTATATTTTAAAAATAATTTGAAAGATAAAAGAATAAAAGCCACAAAGAGCAGAGCATTATGAAACAGGCTGAGGTATCGTTGATAAGAATCCATTAGGATGTGTAGAAATGAGAAAATAGGGCTAGGCGTGGTGGTTCACGCCTGTAATCCCAGCACTTTGGGAGGCCAAGGTGGTGGATCACCTGAGGTCAGGAGTTTGAGACCAGCCTCGCCAACATGGTGAAACCTTGTCTCTATTAAAAATACAAAAATTAGCTGGGCATGGTGGTGTGCACCTGTAATCCCAGCTACTTGGGAGGCTGAGGCATGAGAATCACTTGAACCTGGGAGGCAGAGGTTGCAGTGAGCTGAGATCATGCCATTGCACTCCAGCCTGCATGATAGAGCAAGAGTTGGTCTAAAAATAAAAAATAAAAAATAAAAAATGAGAAAACAGTCATAAGAAAAAAAACAAACTCTGGCCAGGTGCAGTGGTTCATGCTTGTAATCACAGCACTTTGGGAGTCCCACATGGGAGAATCACCTGAGCCCAGGAGTCTCTCCCAGCCTGGGCAACATAGCAAGACTGTCTCAACAAGCAAACTCAAGGTGTGAGACTGGACCCAGCTAAAAAGAGAATATGTGAAATTACCAGAGTATGTTAACAGATAAATAAATGGAAATTATGGGGGAGGTTAAGGGACAGAAGATAGAATGAAAAGTCCAATATGAGCCTTGTAGGAGTTCCAGAGTGAAGACTGGAAGAGCAGCAACATTCAAAGAAATGGTAGCTGAGAATTTCTCAGAGTTGATGAAAAATGTAATTCCTCAGATTGCAGAAGCACTTTGAGTCCAAAGCAGATAAATAAAAGTAGATCTATACCTAAGGTCATGCCATTGGAAATCTACAGAATACTAAGGAAATTTGAAAGCAACCAGCAGGACAAATTACCTATAAACAGCAAACTAATAGCCTTCTCATCAGTAATTATACAGGTCCAAAATTATGTATATACAGATGCTAACACATGGTAAATGTTCAATGAGTGATAAAATATTAACTTTGAGAACAGATATGATGATGGCTATCTTTTTTTGGAAAAAGGAAATGTGATCTTTCAAAAGGCAAAACATCAGAGAATCTTGGGGTTGGAGAAGACTGAAAAATGACTCAGTTCATTTCTATAGATATAAATATTTTGCTTAACCAGGGCCAGTGTGTGTTCATCCCAAGAGATCTTGTCTAATATTCAAACAGGCAGTTAAGGAGGCTGTCCTCTTCCTATCAAGGTATGTGTTCACATGGAAATTAGGCAGCTATTTAACAGGTCTGAGGGATGTTTCTGTATTGAGACTGACCCAGTAGCCTCTGCGATTACTTGCAATAACATCTCTGGATGTTAGTAATATGAGAAACTCATTTTGCGTGTAATACTTCATATTTTTCAAAACAATCCTGTGAAGGAGTTAAGGCAGGTATTTGAATTCTCATTTTAGGTAAAACCTTAGGAAGCAACTCTTTTAAATTGGGTTTTATAACTAAAACTGGCTCATGATGATGTGCTTTAAAACTTTCAGAGTGTGCTTCATTTCTCACTTCTGAATCATGGAGGTTTGGACATGGCAAAGAAAACCAGGGATTAGACTTGGATTGGTATGAGGTAAAGGAAATGTGTAATCAGGAAATAAATATTCTTCCTGCTGCTTGTTAGTAAGGGAGAAGCATGTGCTCCCAATTAAAACTTAAGAGCCTTCTGTTTTCTAGATTGTTTTTCATTTATGGACAAAGCTATTCCTTCAATTCTAAGGAATTGGCTAGGCAGATGAATAATTGGCTCTGTTGATTAAAGTTGCATTTCTAGTATTTTTAATGGTATTACTGAGAATGTTATCATTAGTTCATACTTTATTCATTATTTACCTTGGATAGAGTTTTTGCCATGTTAAATTCAGCCTGAAATGGTAAAGCTTTTAGAAACGTTGTAAAATGAGAGCATTAAAAGTTGTGGATCCAGGCCAGGCATGGTGGCTCACACCTGTAATCCCAGCACTTTGGGAGGACGAGGCAGACGGATTGCCTGAGCTCAGAAGTTCGAGACCAGCCTGGCCAACATGGCGAAACCCTGTATCTACTAAAAATGCAAAAAATTAGTCAGACATCGTGGCGCATGTCTGTAATCCCAGCTACTCAGGAGGCCAAGGCAAGAGAATTGCTTGAACCCGGGAGACAGAAGTTGCAGTGAGTGGAGATCAGGCCACTACACTCCAGCTTGTGTGACAGAGCAAGAGTCTGTCTTTAAAAACAAAACAAAACAAAATTGTGGATCCAGTTGAGGGATGAGAAGTTCAAGGAAACAACCTGAAAATTAATATTTTGTTATTGCTTCACTGAACAAAATCATGTAACTGAAGTTAATCTTTCATAAGCTCTTGAAATTATGAATCTTGTTTAGAGAAAAACTATAGTTTCATGAGCTTTTTAAAGCAGGATATTGTTATTTTAGTTATATAGTTATCTTTTTTTGGTAACCTAAAGCAAACAGTGAAAAATTGATTTTTTTATTTTTATTTTTAGACAGGGCCTGGCTCTGTTGCCCAGGCTGGAGTGCAGTGGCACAACCTCAGCTCACTGCAACCTCCACCTCCTGGGCTCAAGTGATTCTCCTGCCTCAGCCTCCTGAGTAGCTGGGATTACAGGTGCCTGCCACCATGCCCAGCTAATTTTTGTATTTTTAGTAGAGATGGGGTTTTGCCATGTTGTCCAGGCTGGTCTCAAACTCCTGGCCTCAAGTGATCTGCCTGCCTTGACCTCCCAAAGTGCTGGGATTACAGGAGTGAGCCACTGCGCCCAGCCAAATGGTTTTACATTTCTTTATCTATAAAGTGAGGGAATTAGACAAGTTGATTTCTAAACGATTTTTCAATATTGAAATTAAATGAGTTTAACATGATAAATTATTGTGTCATGCTGTGGGTTGATTTAGTGTTTTTAAAAGTTAAATGTTTGAAACTAATATTTTAATATATAAATGTTTTTAAAGATAGCTCTATCATTTAAAAATTATGTTTAATATCAGTAGGTTTAATATAACAAATTTATGAAAACAGAAAACATGGCCAATTTTAAATCTTTATTAACTGAAACATAAGAGAATGTACTATTTCAAGCTAAAGGTGAACTAAGTATTTAGGAAGAGAGTTTGTTTTTTCAATCTCATGTAAAACAAAAAGTATGTGAGACAAATCTCAATCAGTTTAGAAGTTTATTGTGCCACGATTGAAGACACACCCAGGAGACAGATCTGTGCCTTTCTCCACAGATGATTTTGAGGGCTTCAATATTTAAAGGGGCAAAGCAGGCTGGAGGGGAAATAGGAAGTGTAGGGTCACATTACTGAATCCACAGGTTGCAAGATAAAACCACATAGGGGAATAGTGAATTATGTATTCGTCTTATGCTCAGTAAATCTGTGCTGTACACAAGATAAGGTGATAGAGTGGAGATATTTGACCTTTATCTGTAGCTATCTGCTTAGGAACTAAAGGAAAGGCAGTTGCTTGCATGACTCAGCTTTCAGCTTAAATTTTTCCATTTGGCCTAGTGAATTGGAGTCCCGAGTTTCTATTTTCCTTTCACATTTCTCCCCACTTTTCTTTTTAAAATCTTTCAGATAAAGCATTTTAGAAGAAAATGACTCTCTGGTCTTGGGTTTTGTCTGATCTTTTGTGGCTAGGACAGTTTATTCCTAGACGAATAGGTCTCATGTTGTTAGGAAGCTAATTTTTTGGCAGGTTGTGAAGTCTCATGTCCTACAAAGAGAACATAGGGGGAGGAAGAAAAAAAAAAAAAAGAACAATCCTGGAAAACTGACAAAGGCCATATTACTCTGAAGTCCATTCATCAGTAGGCAGGTATGAAAATGGTTTATGTATATAAATAGGTTGCTATTGTTTTCTTCTGAAGTTTAAGTTGTCTAGCTTCAGTTCACAGGGCTTTAAGAAAAGCAAAGCTTAATTTTTAGTGATTTCAAATCAGGAAAAATGGAAAAAAAGAAGGAAAAGAAATAAGGAAAAGAAATTGAAAACATTATTTTGGAGAGTCATAGCCAGCAAAAATTTTAGAATTCAGTCCAAATTGTAGAAAATAATAAAAATGAAAACATTAGGCAAGGCTGGAGTCTAATAACAGGTATACTATAATTTAATTTGAACAGGATTTTTCTCTCTCCAATAACCCAATTTTACTTAAAATCATAGAAGGACCAACTTACTTGTAAAATACATTTTAGACCTATTACACTTGGCTTGATTATTTGCATAAAGTACAGCAAGAATAATCATTTGTTATACAGGCTCTCTCCCTTTTTTTTTTTAAATTGGCTTTGCTGGAAACTTTTTTTTATAAGGAATCTAAGATTTAGACTTTCTTAAAAGCCTTGAGCCCAGCCGAGGATTTATCTGTGCCTTCAAATACCTGTGTGAATTGGGTGAATTCTTCTCTTTTTGAGGTCCCAAGAAAACTTGGGGTTCCTGGGCCTGTCACCAAGTGACATTCTTTACTTACCACAGATCAGGACCCTGTAAAGAACAAGGTATGAGGCCAGTTTTTCCAAGGGGCTCCAGTTATGCACTTGTATAAAAGAAAATACATTCTTATTGAAGTTATGCAAATAACTGTATTTTCATAAATTAAGAATTCTCACAAATTAGTTACCAAATTTTGTCAAGATCAGGTTGAGTGAAAGGAATTATGTTTTAAATTTTTCTCATAAGAGTATATGTTACTGAATTGTTAAAAGCTGCAAATAGCCTAAAAGAAGAAAAAGTTTTCTTGACTTTGAAAAACAAAAAGAATCAGCAAATGTGTTAAACAAAAAGTCATAAAAGATTATTTCCAGTCTGCTACTAGTTCATCCCATGCAGTTAACTCCTACTGTGCTCAATATTGGATCAGCAAACCTCATGAATACATCAGCTCTTCATGAGAGTGCTGGAAGTTTTCCTCTTTATTCCAATGGCACCATCTCTAAATTTATCCATAAATCTATATCTAAGAGTACTCCTTAGAGTTCTATAGCTGATTATAAACTGCCTTATAAAAGGATCAAAGTAAAACAACAATTGTGGATGACAAAAGTCTTAGAACAGCCATGGTTAAAGACACAACTGACAAGGAAATTTAGTTACTTCTTTGGCATACAATAGTTTTACATAATCATAATTACTACTGATAACATACACTAAAACATCAGAATCACAGGAATCTCTTATGATTTTGGCACATATACTAATAACACATTTATATAAATGCAGTCCAAAGAAGGCTAAACAAAATTTCATATTTGACAATACTTCCTGTATGAATTTATTATACCAAACAAGCCAAATGTGTCTCTTGGACTTAAGGGTGCTTAATACCAAAAAAATTAATGAAGACCGAATTTAGAATTTGATTTTGGAAAGTTTGTCAAATATAAAGAGTTTAAAATACTTGATATTGCAAAATAGGATCACAGGTCATTGTAAAATAAGTCATTCATTTAGCCAAAGTGATAAGATTTTGTTTAAAAGGCAAAAATCTTTATTCTTTGAGAGGGGAGACTTAATTCCTCAAACAATACGCCAAAATAAAGACAGCATAAGGCCAATTAAACCTGTCTCTCAAATCTTATAAACCTATTAAATTTTAATCATCTCGACCATAAGATGGAATTTCCATAAACCTTTTTATAGTCTTTTATAATTTTTTTTTTTGGTTAAAAAGTGGGTTAATGCTCCAAGAAAACCTTGTTAATCTGACATGGGGCCCAGATGCTGGTCTTGCATTAGTGTACCTTTGGTACTAATGTTTAATTTATAGAGAAACTTTGAACTAATTTTCTCTCTCAAAATCAGCCCTTACCATCTTATGCACCCACCTCTTTCAGGATAGTCCCTGGGCCTAGAGTGGTTGAATAGTTTTAATTTCTGGCCCTGTGCCTCATGAATGCAGTTCATGATGTAATAACCTTAATTTAAAACCTTAAATCACCTTAAATTTAAAAATGTTTTAATCTCAGTTTTCCTAAGGCAAACTCCCCTCTCCCGTCGTACAAAACAAACAACGCACCACCTTCTGCAGTGTGATTGCTTTTCAATATGGGGAGTACATTTAGATAACTTGCAAGCTAGGCTGGGGGTGGTGGTTCATGCCTGTAATCCCAGCACTTTGGGAGGCTGAGGCGGGTGGATCACCTGAGGTCAGGAGTTCGAGACCAGTCTGGCCAACATGGCAAAACCCCACCCCTACTAAAAATACAAAAATTAGCCAAGCATGGTGGTGCGCACCTGTAATCCCAGTTATCAGGAGGCTGAGGCAGGAGAATTGCTTGATCCTGGGAGGCAGAGGTTGAAGTAAGCCAAGTCACACCACTGCATTCTAGCCTGGGCAACAGAGCAAGACTATGTCTCAAAAAAAACCCAAAAACCTTAAATTACCTTAAATTAAAAAATGTTTTTATCTCAGTTTTCCTAAGGCAAACAAAAAACAACAACAACAAAAACCCCACCACCTCCTGCAGTGTGATTGCTTTTCAATGTGGGGAGTACATTTAGACAACCCACAAGTCAAAACTAATGAGAAGGATACTTAAATAGAAGGAATATGTCCTGAGTTGTAAGTGAAGGCTTTCGGTTTCATAAAATAATTTAGATATATTAAGCCAAGAGCATAGAATGTTATATTGAAAGAAAACATTTCCTTCAGACCTTTAAGATAAAACATTTTTAGCATCAGGTCACAACAGCAATTAAAACCTGAGGAAAAAAGAGGAGCTGGAGCAACTTATTATCTCAGGTCTTCTCCAAGGGGAGAGAAAGCTGAAAACAGAGAGACACAATAAAAGTTAAACTTTTGGGTCAAACAAAAAATTTTGTATATTAAAGGAACAACTCAGATGAAAACCAGATAGTGAAATTGACATCTCAAAATATAGAGAGAAAGTCGGTGGGCTAGAAGGCAATTAAAAATTGATGCTGGAGTGCTGTGGCTCACACCTGTAATCCCAGCACTTTGGGAGGCCAAGGAGGGCAGATCACGAGGTCAAGAGATAGAGAGCATCCTGGCCAACATGGTGAAACCCTATCTCTACTAAAAAGACAAAAATTAGCTGGGCATGGTGGCATGCCTCTGTAGTCCCAGCTACTAGGGAGGCTGAGGCAGGAGAATTGCTTGAACCCGGGAGGCGGAGGTTGCAGTGAGCTGAGATCGCACCACTGCACTCCAGCCTGGCGACAGAGCGAGACTCAGACTCAAAAAAAAAAAAAAAAAAAAAAATCGATGCCAAGTCAAACATAAAATTATAGAAATCTACCATAGGATTATATAAAGAGACCAATTTTATTTAGATTGCTAGTTTTAAATTTAGTCTCTATCTAGATTTCTGAGCTCTGGGCAGAGCCCACACTGAAACCCTGGTTCTCCAAAGAGAAAGATATCATGGGCCTATTCCGAAGAGACTAGGCCATGTAGTGCTTTTACAGTGCATTTTGTTACAAAGACTTTTCTGTAAGTCTCTAAACTATGTCCTTTCTTAAACACCCAAGAGCAGCCCCTGTGGTAATAACTATTTTAGTAAAAAAAACAAAAAAAAAAAAAACAAAGGTAACAATACAAAAGCAGGCAGTTTAAAAATCTGAGAAACTTGTCTGTTTACACTCTTGGGGTATCATAAGGAAAAACAGAGCTTCTCCCTAAAAAGGAGTCTGGCATCTTCTTTGTTTTCATTAAGGAATCCTAGGCTGTTAGAAATTGTTTTAGGTCCTTCATGCAGCAGAAGGTGGTAAGAGGAAGGAAAGATAGGCAGAAGTAAATGGAGAAGACAGAATTCAGTCTACTGAGAAGAAATAAAACCTTTTTCTCAAAAAAGATTCTAGGAGAGAAAGAAAGCATAAAGGCCTTTTAAATACACACACACACATCTTGATAGCAGCTTTTAAGGTGACTTTCAACCATCAAACTGTTTAAAACATCCTTTTATATCTCATTACCATATTTTAGCTGGGACAAATTGCTTATATTTAAAAAGTAACATAAATATGAAAATATAAAGCCAGAAAGGACTTGATTTAAGGACCAATCCCAGCTGTCATGGTGAAAAAAGGGCAAAAGAATGAACCACACTGTGGGGCGATGGCCGAAGCTCTTTCGGTTTCGCTTGGCTAGCAAAAGGTGGCCTTGTTACATAAATAAAGTCCCTGTGTAGTCAATCTTTTTTCTTTTGCTGGCTGTTTTTTTTTTTCTTTTTCTTTTTTTTCCCCAGCTGTGGGAATCTAACCAATTCAGAGGCCTTACTCCTCCTAATTTGGAATGTTCCTTTGCATTTGATCAAGTCAGGTAGAGTTGGTCAAACCCAATGGGAAAAAGACTGAAAAAACAAAAACAAAAAAACCAGAAACAAATCAACAACAACAACAAGAACAATTAAACAACACAAATGATGCTTGCACAATTTATATGACTACTGAGCTCTTAATGGTAAGGAGAAATTAAGACTAGCTGGTTGTTAATCTTAACCTTTAGTTATTAAGGAGAATTTCTAAGACAAACCCTAGTTCAGCTAACTAGGAATGGGGTCCAGGCTAAAGACTGTTCTCTAGTGTCCTAGAAGCAGGAAAAAAACTCAAACTTGCCTTCCCTATTGGAAGCAAGCTGAAACTCCAGAAAGATACTGCCTGCTCTCCATCGTCAGGGAAGCAGGAAAACTCACCTTTCTTGTTGGAAGCGAGTAAAACTCCAGAAAAGGAGTTGTACAGCAAAATAAACCTTAGATCTCAATCAAATTTTGGGAGATCAGGGATTCTCTGGAAGGGAGAGCTCACAGGCCTCAGCAAATCATCCTATTTGAGCAATAAAGACAGCCCAAGCTGGTACCAAGCATCGATAGGAAATTTGTTAAAGGTCAGGGGGACCTCCACTGAGCCCCTTCCTGGTCACAAATTTGTAAACCAAAAAGTTCCTGAGACAAGTCTCAACCAATGCAGAAGTTTGTTTTGCCAAGGTTGAGGACATGCCCAGGAGACAGCTTTGTACCTTTCTGCAAAGATGATTTTGAGGGCTTCAGTATTTAAAGGGGAAAAGCAGGCTGGAGGGGAAATTGGGAGAGTATGGTCACGTTACTGAATCCACATGTTACAAGAAAAAAGGAGCAGGTAGGGGAATAGTCAATTATGCATTTGTCTCGTGCTCAGTAATTCTGCGCTGTACACAAGATAAGGTGAACATAGAGTGGAGATATTTGACCTTTATCTGTAGCTACTGCTTAGGAACAAAAGGAAAAGCAGTTGCTTGTATGACTCTGCTTTCAGCTTCAGTTTTTCCTTTAGGATAGTGAATTGGAGTCCAGACTTTTTATTTTCCTTTCACACTCATAAGAGATGTCTAGTAACAAAAATGTGTTCTAGTTTATTATTTGAAATACTATTTATTATTTATAATTAGGTACAATAACAAGATAAGAATTGGACACTCTTTACTAATTGAACAGCTTTTAGACATATATCTGCTATGGCCACAGTTTTTTTTTTTTTTTTTTTTTTTGGTAAGAGATATAACTTTTGTTTTTTACAGTAGGCCTTCTGTGGGTCCTGATACAATTCCCAAACAATGGTGGAAATTATAAAGAAACAGATGATATGACTATTACCTGTAAATCATGACCAGAAATATAATACAGACCTACTTCATTTTATTACACTTCATTGTGCCTCACAGATACTGTGGTTTCTTGTTTGTTTGTTTTAACACATTGAAGGTTTGTGGCAACTCTGTTGAGCAAGTCTATCAGCACCATTTTCCCAACAGTTTGTTCTTGCTTTGTGTCTCTGTGTGACACTTTGGTAACTCTCATAATATTTTAGACTTTGCATTATTATTGTATCTGTTATGGTTATCTATGATCAGTCATCTTTGATGCTACTATTGTTATTTTGGTGTACCACAAACCACATCTATAGAAAATAGCTAACTGAATTGACAGATGTATGTGTTCTGACTACTTTCCCCATCTCTCTCCCTCTCCTTGAGCCTCCCTACTTCCTAAGATACAATCATTAAAATTAGGCCTATGACTAACCCTACAGTGACCTCTACGTGTTCAGGTGATAGGAAAAGTCCTATGTCTCTCACTTCAAATCAAAAGCTAGAAATGATTGTTTCATGAGGAAGGCATGTTGAAACTAGGCCTCTTGTGCCAAACAGCCAAGTTGTGAATGCAAAGGAGAAGTTCTTGAAGGAAAGTATAGGTGCTACTTCATTGAACACATGAATGATAAGAAAGTGAAATGGCCTTATTGTTGATATGGAGAAAATTTTAGTGGTCTGGATAGAAGATGAAACCAGCCACAGCATTCTCTTAAGCCAACATCTAATCCAGAGCAAAGCCCTCACTCTCTTCAAGTCTATGAAGGATGAGAGAGGTGAGGAAGCTGCAGGAGAAAAGTTTGATGCTAGCAGAGGTTGGTTCATGAGGTTTAGATAAAGAAGTCATCTCCCTAAAAATGCAAGATGAATCAGCAGGTGCTGATGTAGAAGCTGCAGCAAGTTATCCAGAACGTCTAGCTAAGCTCATTGATGAAGGTGGCTACACTAAACAGCAGATTTTCAGTGTAGACAAAAACAGCCTTCTGTTGCAAGAAGAAGCCATCTAGGACTTTGATAGCTAGAGAGAAGTCAATGCCTGACTTCAAAGCTTCAAAGGGCAGACTGACTCTCTTGTTAGAGGTTAATGCAACTGGTCACTTTAAGCTGAAGCCATTTGCAATTCCAAAAATCCTAGGGTCCTTAAGAATTATGTTAAATCTGCTCTGCCTGTGCTCCATAAATGGAACAACAAAGTGTGGATGTCAGCACGTCTGTATACAGCATGGTTTACTCAATATTTTAAGCCCACGACCTACTGCTCAGAAAAAGGCTCCTTTTAAAATTACTTCTCATTGACAATGCACCTGGTTATTAAGGAGCTCTGATGGAGATGTGCAAGGAAATTCATGTTTTCATGCCTGTGAACACAACACCCATTCTGCAGCCCATGGATCAAAGGGTAATTTCGACTTTCAAGTCTTATTTTTTTAATTTTTTTTTAAGTTCAATGTGGTTTTATTTAAACGTGTACAGCTGAAGGAGGGGTCTGATCTTTTGTTAGATGAAACCAATTTTCACAGTATATATTTGGCCATTTTAGCTTTGTAGTGAATAATAACAGAAAATGAAGTTTCTGTTCAAGATCCTCACTCCGGCACACTCAGCCAGGTGCCTGGCAAGATGACACATTTCCTGGTCTGAAGCTCACAGCCAGTCCTCTCACCTAAGTGGAACACCAATTCTCCAGACATACATACATGTGCACGCGCACACTCACACACACACACACATCTTATTTTCACTGCTCTACACAGCGCCCTGAGAATCCTTAATTTTAAAGTTGGGAAAAACGTGAAAGGATTCCTTAACTCATTGTCTGTGACAAATCCAACTACCTTTTAACTCTTAACAATTGCAAGTATAAAATACTTGAAATTTATGAGATGCTCCATTTAATGGAACAACTCAAATGCTAAAAAATTAGGTCAAGTAACATGCTTTAATATTTCTAAATGTTACTTAAAACTTATTAAGACAAGATAGCAGCACATTCTTGGTATTATAAACTCCTACTGACGACTGCTACTTGATGGCCAAAACATCTAAAAAAAGAAGAAACCATACTGGTATACAACAATGTCTGCAGGGAATGTCATGTTGTACATTTTGTTAACTGAAATTAAACCTGACAAACCCAAAGATCTACAAAACCAACACCCATGTCATTTTAAATGATGAGGTAGGTTGTTTCCTATGCAGTAAAGTGAAGATAACAAAAAAATCCACACAACTTCCAAATCCTCTTTAAAAAAAAAAGTTCAGGTTATACTCACTTGCACAAACAAGACATTCATAAACTATAAGGTGGAGAGGTCATACTCAGGCAGGTTCTGTACTTGATGTGTTACTTGGAGATTCAATCATCAGTCTTGGGTCAATCAACTCTCTCCAAAATACAGTGATCTTGCTCTCCTGTGTCACAGCGTAGTCCACTATCTCTGTTCCATTTTCATTGTGATAAACCAAATCAAATTTCCCAGGTTCTCTCAAGGCGGGTAAGGATGAAACAATTTCTATATCTACTTGCTGGGTCTCTGGATTGGGGCTTAATATTCTTCTGGATGTTAGTTCTAAAAGCTTAAATGCAATCTTTTCTTCAACTTGAGGGGCAGCTGCTAACAGTGGTAACAGACTATAGTCCTTCTTACGTGTCTCTACCGGATTCTGGATAATAGTAGATGAATTTGTTACCAGGTCATTTAATTGCTGTTGCCTCTGGTTCTCAGTGCTTCTATTTACAACACAGGAAACAGGATGCCCTTGTCCTCGACCTCTCCCCCGCATGCCCCGTCCCCTAGCTCCCTTTCAAGAAAAAAGGTTATCTCCTCTACCCCATCTTCTTCCTAAACTGGTGGGGAGAGACACACTGAGAGGAGGACCAGGAGCCTGTCCGCCACCATTTGAGCAAGAACGCCTCCATCCAGCAGCACCTACAGTCTGTCATGACAACTCTGGGCCCGGACAACCTCTTCTTGCAAAAAGGCCTACTGTCTTTAAGAAACCCGCAGCACACTCCAGGGTGCTTGATGACATCAAGCATTGGTCATCTGACTCTGAACTAGAGTCTGAAATAGGAAGATGTTGTTCCAGAGGTCTTGCCCTTGCTGGGGGTAAGGCTAAAGCCAGATTTTATACCCAGTTTGTCTGCAGTTGTATTTTTGGTAGAGGGTCCTTCCTTTGATAACTCAGTCGGTAATTTCTCTGAGGAATTTCTGGCCTCCAAAGTGACTGTGCTGGGACCATCACTGATAGCTTCATCACAAGACTCAGACTCCGAGGAGGAACTGGGACTCTCTTTTGAGCAAACGCTTACACTACGTTTCCTTTTGGCTTTAACAAGGCTGTTTCTAGCAGAACCTTTTGGAGAACTACATCTCTGATTGGCCCAGTCTTTTACTGCCTGTACTTCAGGAGACTTGGGATTCTTGGCCTTTTTTTTTATATTCACATTTCTCCTTTTTCTTTGGTGATTTTCTTTTGGTCTCTTTGTTATCATCACCTGCTGTGCCACAGTGGGCTTTCTTTTTTCTTTTTTTTCTTTTTTTTTGGCTGGCAGTCTGATCTGTGACAGCTTTTGGTTCCAGATCAAAGACCTTCTCATTATTGTTATTGTTTTCTTGCCTCTTCCAATGCTTCTTTGAATATTTGTAATCTGGTTCAGTTTCTTCATCCTCCTCTAACTGAAATGCCCGCTTCTTTGCTTTTCTAAGTGATAGATTAGTGTCACCATTACTGATGACCATAGAATTCTCAGCAACTCGTCTCTCTTCTACTTTAACTCTGAGGCGGTCGTTCTCTCTCACCAGGCGCACGCTCTCCGCCCGGGGCAGGAGCCCCGGCTTCAGGTAGGGGCCTAGGAGGGCCCCAGAAATGAAGCCGAAGCATTGGCGGATGAGACTAACGAGATCTGTGACGACTCGTATCTGTTCAAGTGGAACAGAAGCCAGAAGGCCCTACAGTGCCGGGTAGCTGGCGGCGGGTAATCAAATTGAAGCCTTGGCCTAACTGTCTCGGAGGCTGCCATCTTGCTTGGTGCTCAACGGAAGCCGACTTTCAAGCCTTATTGTTTAAGGAATACATTTTATAAGACTATAGCTACCATAGATAGTATTTCATCTGATGGATTTGGGAAAAGTAAAGTGAAAACCTCAAAAGGATTCACCCTTCTAGATGCCATTCAGAGTATTTGTGATTCATGGGAGGAGATTAAAGTATCAACATTAACTGGACTTTGTAAGGAGTGGATTCCATGTTTAAGGAGTCCATTCCATGGAATCCATGGAATGATTTTGAGGGGTCTAAGACATCAGGGGAAGAGGTCACCGCATATGTGGTGGAAGTAGCAAGAGAACTAGAATCAGAAGTGGAGCCTGACAATGTGACTAAAGTGCTGCTGCAATCTCATGATAAAACTTGAACAAATGAGGAATTGCTTCTATGGATCAGTAAAAAAAGTGTGTTTTTGAGATGGAATTTACTCCTGGTGAAGATGCTGTGAACATTGTTGAAATAACACAATACTTCAGATATTCCATACACTTAGTAGATAAAGCTGCCGCAGAGTTCGAGAGGATTGAGTCCAATTTTGAAAGAAGTTCTGTGGGGAAAAAGCTATAAAACATCATGGCATACTACAGAGAAAATGTCCACAAAAAGAAGGAATGGATGCGGCAGATTTCACTGTTGTCTCATTTAAGAAATTGCCAGAGCCACCCAGCCTTCATCAACCACCACTGCCATCAGTCAGCAGCTATCAACATGGAGGTGATATCCTCCACCAGGAAAAAGATTATGACTCGCTGAAGGCTCAGATTATTATTAGCATTTTTTAGCAATATTTTAAAAGTTAAGGTCTGTACATTTTTTAGACATAATGCTATTGTACACCTAATACATTTCAGTATAAACATAACTTTTATGTGCATTGTGAAACCAAAAAGTTTGTGTGACTTGCTATATTGCATTATTCTCTTTATTGTAGTGGTCTGGAACTGAACCTGCAATATCTCCAAGGTAGGGCTGTACCATAATGCCGAGTTCCCCCATCTGCTAATCATTTATTGCCTTATGGAAAAACAATTGTTTTCATCAGAAATTAGAATTTAACTTTGGTCAATATACAAAGCTGTTGATAAAGTAAGGCATACCCATGTAGAGTATTTATTGACAGCTATCCAAACAATCTTACATTTTTTCCTTCATGTTTTTCTTTTCAAAGAGGCAGTTTTATTTTGCTGCATTGTTACTGTAATTTCAAACTTTATAGTTTAAACCTGTTTTTTCATGTCTTTCCATATCCCTTTAAGTCTAAATTTTATGTCCTTACCTGATTTCCCTCTGAAAAATGTTTTCCAGAGATGTAGTGATATTGTGATATTAATGCTAACCCAAATGTTAATATGCCATTCATTTGAGAAATATATTTGAGAGTCTTCTGTGTGCTAGTGTGTCTGGAATTGGTGGGTTCTTGGTCTTGCTGACTTCAAGAATGAAGCCGCAGACCCTCGTGGTGAGTGTTACAATTCTTAAAGATGGCGTGTCCGGAGTTTGTTCCTTCTGATGTTCGGACGTGTCCAAAGCTTCTTCCTTCTGGTGGGTTCCTGGTCTCGCTGGCTTCAGGAGTGAAGCTGCAGACCTTCGCAGTGAGTGTTACAGCTCTTAAAGGCGGCGGGTCTGGAGTTGTTCATTCCTTCCATCTGGAGTTGTTCGTCCCTCCCGGTGGGTTCGTGGTCTCACTTACTTCAAGAGTGAAGCTGCAGACCTTCCTGGTGAGTGTTACAGCTCATAAAGGTGGCACGGGCCCAAAGAGTGAGCAGCAGCAAGATTTATTGTGAAGAGCGAACGAACAAAGCTTCCACAGTGTGGAAGGGGACCCGAGCAGGTTGCTGCTGCTGGCCTGTACATCTGTGCGGAAAGAAATGGGCTTTCATTTTCAGGAAAAGAAACATGGCCAGTGTGATATGGAGTAGAGTGAGCACAGGAGAGCCTGAGAGATCAGGTCAAGAAGTAGACAGGGCAGGTCATGCCTATCTTTTTTTTTTTTTTCCCCAGTATCTGTGTGAGAGATAGGTTATGCCTATCTTGAAGGCCATGTTAGGAAGTTAGTATTTTATTCTAAGAACAACAAGATGCCAGTGGAATATTTTTATATGACCTAACAACATATAAAATGAAAAGCACTTTTATTTGTGTGTGGAGAATGGACTGAAGGGGAGAAAGATGGAAAGTAAAGAAATAAACTGAAAGACTATTGAAATAGTACAGCTGAGAGACAGTGGTGGCAAGGAGAGATGGAGAAGGAAGAGAAGTGGATGACCTTAGGATATATTTTAAAGTTATAGCCAAGGGGTTGCTGGTGGATTAGATGTAGAGAGTGAGAGAAAAAAGGAATCAAGAGTGACTCTTGGTTTTTGATTTGAGCAATTGGATGAACAATAATGCCATTTATGGAAATGGGAAAAACTGGGGAGAAAAGTTCTGGAGGGGGTGAAAATCAAGAATAGAGAATTCTTTTGAAGAATACAGAATAGAGATTAAGTTGGAGAGGCCCATTTAGTCATCCAAGTGGAGATACTAAGAAGGAAGTAAACTGTGAGTCTGGAGCTTATGGAGGAGGGCACTTTAGGGCTGGGGAAACTAATCTGGGAGTCATCAGCTTACAGGTAACCATGCCAGTGGATGAAATTATGTGGGGAGTGAATGTAGAGTTGTGAAAATTCTCACAGTTTACATCAAGTACGTATGGAAGCTGCTTAACACTTTCAATTTAGAAACCTTTGTGATACATCTGGGAAGGTAAAAAAAAAAAAAAAAAAGTGTCCCCGAAATGCCTGAAAACCATGCCATCCCTTTCTGATAAATTTAAGCCTTGCAGTGCTTCTTCCAAGCCAAACATCCTCTGGCATGGTTTCCTCCTCCATGGGTCTAAAAGTTTTATGACAAAATAGAGAAATATATTTTTAATTAAGGGGATTAACCTCAGAGTGAGTGAGAACCTTCCTGCTTAGATTTGATTAATGTTTCTGGCATTATTCTAGTAAGAGAAATTTTATCAAAGGGAATGAGTGTCAGTCTGTCTCGGACTATGTTTTACTTTTTTTCCTGTCACTTAGCTTACTTGACTGATGCTGCCGCTTAGTTTTAGGAGACCTTTGCATTAATCTGTTTCTCAGTAGGCTGTGCTATAGGTATGTCTTACAAACAGGCAGCATAATTTGGCTACTTACAAAGATAATCCTCTCAGGTTACTTTTCTGGATTTGAGTGTGACTTAGGAAACCTTGCATGAAATGCTATTTATCTTCCTTCAAAGGTGAGGATTTACTGGGAATGGATTTTTCTTGTGCTAGAACACCCTTCCTAGATTACCTTCAGTTCCAACTATTTAAAACAGCATTTCAGAAGATTTAAAATATTTTAATATTTGAAAATATTTAAAATTCTGTCTGGAATGCTCTAGTAAGCCAGAAAAATTCTAGTGACAATGTTGGAAAATTCTAGTGACAATGTTAACATTTATCCCATGAGGCTAAATGTGACCTGTGTGTTTCAAAATATTCAGGTGCAGCAGAGCTTGGAAATATATAAATTAAAATGATTTCTTCCTGTATGTTTCAACTCCAAAGCTAGTTTTGATGCTTTAATTTCACATATATTCTAACAGAGTACATGATATTTAGTCACATGTTGAATTTGTACAATGCATTATGCATTAGCTTTTAAAAAGTTTTCATACCTATTTGTGGTGGCTTTATATCCAGTGATTAGGCAGGACAGCTGTTAAAATTCCTGCCACAGACAGAACTAGTAATGTGCCTGGGCTGGAATCCAGAGTATATTTCTATAAGATAAGGACCCTTAAGCAAACAACAAACATAACTACAATACCAGTGTCCACCCTTTAAAATCCCAATAATTTCCTACCATCATCAAATGTCACCTAACATCCAGTAACTTAATAACATAAAGATCCATTCATATTTTTGCAATTGTCTTTAAAAATTTTTTTTTGTTTGTTTGTTTGAATCAGTATCTAAGTAAGGTCCAAATAGTATCCTCAGAGTGTCTGTTTTACTTTTGTCTTTAAATCCATGCAAAAAAATCTTAAAGTCTAACTTATATGTTTTAGTAAGATTATAGTATAACTGTTATATATTATCAAAGAATCTACTATGTCAAAAGAGAATTTATTTTGGAGAAAAAATCAGGTAACTATGTAGATCTGAAAAAGTTTGATCTGTCAACTTTATAACCTGTGGATGATACGATGCGAAAATAGTCTGTTGATTTTATTAATTTAGTGGAAAACATGATCAATTCAGTCAGCTCAGGTATTAACAAATTATAAAATTAATTAGCCTTTAAAAAATGTCTTCTATTTGTTGGGTCCACAAATATAGCCAAGATAATATTTATAAAGGACCACAATTATATATTGACCACAATTATGTGTAAGACCACTTCAGGCCAGGTGTGGTGGTTCACGCCTGTAACCCCAGCATTTTGGGAGGCCAAGGTGGGCGGATCAAGAGGTTAGGAGATTGATACCATCCTGGCCAACATGTTGAAAGCCCGTCTGTACTAAAAATAAAAAAATTAGCTGGGTGTGGTGGCGCGTGCCTGTAATCCCAGCTACTCTGGAGGCTGAGGAACGAGAATCACTTGAACCCGGGAGGTGGAGGTTGCAGTGAGCTGAGATCGTGCCACTGTAGTCTAGCCTGGCGACAGAGTGAGACTGTCTCAAAAAAAAATAAAAAACTAAAACTAAAACCACTTGAAAATCTTTAATAATGTCATCTCAGTTGAGTAGTTCTTAAGCTTTCAGAAATAATTACAACTATAGTGCAGTGCCTATTCTAATTTTAGAGCTATCTTGTCTAACAATTGGCTCATCACATACCAACTATGTATTCTTTTTTTTTTTTTTTTTGAGACGGAGTCTCGCTCTGTCGCCAGGCTGGTGGCAGTGCCACGATCTTGGCTCACTGCAACCTCTGCCTCCCGGGTTCAACCGATTCTCCTGCCTCAGCCTCCCGAGTAGCTGGGGCTACAGGCTTGTGCCACCATGCCCAGCTAATTTTTCTATTTTTAGTAGAGATGGGGGTTTCACCATGTTGACCAGGATGGTCTCGATCTCTTGACCTTGTGATCCGCCCGCCTCAGCCTCCCAAAGTGCTGAGATTACAGGCATGAGCCACTGCACCTGGCCAATTATGTATTATTAAAAATTAGAATAAAATTATACGCATAGATTAGGTTATATAGTACACACACACACTTTGTATGTTAGATGTGTTAGGCATAAATTCATACACCTACATGATGATTATTCTGTTGCTTTGTGATTCCATAGATTTGGTGATACTGATAAATATACCAAGGGCAGTTAATGCACTTCAAGAAATACAGCAAGAATACTGGTACATGGAGAATATGGATGGAGCTTTAATATCTGTAAATTTTACAAACTAAGTGGAAAAATAGAATTATCTACCTAATAGTAAGGTAATCGTAGTCTTTAGGATCAGCAGGATAAAAGTCATGTAATGTAGGAGTTCTATCTTCTGGGTTTAAATTCTACCCAAACTCTTACTGGTTTTACAACTTAGACACAATTGTTAATTTTTCTATGCCTATTTCCTTATATGTGAAATGAAATGATATCTACTCCAGGGTTGCTGTGAGAATTAAATGACAAAATACTTGTTTGTCAAATGCTCAAAACAGTGCTTTGCACACAGTAAATATTTAATACATATAAGTTATGGTATTTCTTAGTCTATTTATCAACATTGTTTCTCAGAGAATTTACTTAAGTGATTTTTTTTTTTTTTTTGCAGTGGTGCGATCTCGGCTCACTGCAACCTCCCCCTGCTGGGTTCAAGCTTCTCCTGCCTCATCCTCCTGAGTAGCTGGGATTACAGTTGCCCGCCACCACGCCCGACTAATTTTTGTACTTTTAGTAGAGATGAGGTTTTGCCATGTTGGCCAGGCTGGCCTCCAACTCCTGACCTCAGGTGATCCGCCTGCCTCGGCCTCCCAAAGTGCTGGGATTATAGGCTGAGCCACCACGCCCGGCCTTAAGTGTGTATTTTTTAGCTAAAGGCTAGTCTTTTAAATATATAGTATTATTTTAGCCATCTTCAGTAGAAATATTTCCAAAATGTATTAAATGCTCCATTAATTTATGCCAATATTCTGAACACAGTGTAATTTTCATATTGATTCAAGTTCATTACAAATACTTACCATTGCCCTGTAGTTCAGGTTTGTTATAGGGGTGTTGAAGTCTGTTTCAAACTCCAAAATGGCCTAAGACTGATTATGCTCTTGCTTTCACATGTGTAAGCTTGCATGCCTTTCACAGTCACCCCCTTCCTTTCCCTTTCTAACCCACTGTAGACTGAGAAACCTGATGAACAGGTTTATTAGAATTATGCTGAAAATAAGACAAAGTGAGCTAGCAGGAATTGGAAATGGCTCTTCTGAGTGTGACACCTTTACCCATTAGTCAGGGACTAATCCAGCTCCACGAGTCTTTTATACTTATTTCTGGATCCTTGGCTACACTTCAAATAGCTGAGGTTGTTGGATATAATGTCCACATTAAATAAGTATTAATCTAATGACAATAGTGCTTTAAACTGAAATATGGTAGAGTCAATTACAGTGCCATTTTGCAGCTTTACTGAGGTGTGATTGGCAAAACTTGCATATATTTAAGGTACACAATGTGTTTTCATATATATATATACTGAAATGATTACAATACTCAAGCTAATTAAAATATCCATCACTTCACATAGTTACCATTTTTGGTGTGGTGAGAACACCTGAGATCTACTCTCTTAGCAAATTTCAAATATACATTATTAACAGTAGTCACCATACTGTATATTAAATCTCCAGAATTTTATAATTGAAAGTTTGTACCCTTTGACCAGTATCTCCCCTTTTCCCCCACACAGTGACATATTTTGAAAAATCTATTCAGAACTTTCCTACAAACAACTAGGTCTTAAGCTCTCAGTAGATCTTTGAGCCTCTTTCAAGTTACTGTGATTCAGTAATGCATGAAAGGATAGAAAGCAATACTCTGTCCTCCTGCCTTGGTCACTGCTATGGTTTGAATGTGTCCCCTCCAAAATTCACAGTTTAGTCCCCAATACAACAGAGTTGGAAAGTGGGGTCTTATGGGAGAAGTTTATTTAGGTCATGAGGGCTTCACCCTCATGAATGTATTATTGCCCTTATAAAAAGTGCTTACAAAAGTAGATTAGCTCTCTTTCTGCCATGTGAGATTACACTGTTGCTTCGGAGGATGTTGCATTCAAGGTGCCATCTTGGAGGTGGAGATAGGGCCCTTACCTGACACCAAACCTGTTGGTGTCTTTATCTTGGGCCTCCCAGCCTCCAGAACTGTGAGAAATCAATTATTAATATTCTTTCTAAATTACCCAGTTTCAGATCTTCTGTAATAGCACAAAATGGACTACAACAGTTGACTTTAGACTCAGCATTATGAAACAAGTCAGTCCATGAACATTCATTTGTTTGTAACTTGGATCAGTAAATTACAAATTATTTTTTAAAATAGGAAATAACAAAATAATATAATGAATGCCCCATTACAGATAAAATTACCTTCATGCCCATCCACACTGATCCTTGTCCTCATGCCTGCCTCATAGGTAAGCACTCTTGTGAAGAGGGTGTGAATGTTTTTTGTTTTTCATTATGAGAGAGTATATATTGAAGGATTCATTCAGAGCTAAAAGGCAAATAAACTGATAACTGACAATATACAAGCTTAAGGAGGAAAATGAATGACAAAATTTCTAGTGATCAAGAGTGAGTGAATTGCATTTTAAAAACAGTTGGTAAGTAGGCTGGGTGCAGTAGCTCATGCGTGTAATGCCAGCACTTTGGGAGGCCAAGGTGGGAGGATCGCATGAGGTCAGGAGTTCAAGACCAGCCTGGCCAACATGATGAAACCCCAACTCTACTAAAAAAAATACAAAAATTAGCTGGGCTTGGTGGCATAGGCCTGTAGTCCCAGCTACTTGGTAGGCCCAGGAGATGGAAGGTGCAGTGAGCTGAGATCGCACCACTGCACTCCAGCCTGGGTGACAGAGTGAGACTCTGTCCAAAAAAAAAAAAAAAAAAAAAAGATGGTAAGTACTAAATTACTATAGCATTTAGATTCCATTATACATATTTTAAGAAGTCATGTATGTAATTTACTTTAAACTGCTGATGTTTATATCTGCTAAGATTATGACCAATGTTACATGTTTAACTTAAAAATATGCAAAGGGGTACATTTTTAGGGGCTAGGAAAACAAGTTAGAAAACATGGGATTAGAGAATACATCTAAAAGTGAAAAATCTGGGTTACAGGGCACAGGCAACTTCAACTTTACAAGATATTGCAAGTTTGCTTTCCAAAATGGATATATCAGTTCAAGTTCCACCTGTGTTTCCTCTTCCTTGCCAACACATGGTATATCTTGCCCTTTTAAAAAAATCTTTCAGAAAGGATGATTCAAGTATCCTGAAAACTTACTCATAATACATCATCCGTTTCTTTCCACAACCAGCAAACCAAATTAATTAGTATACTGTACCAGGGGTGATACCCTGCAAGGACACCTAATGAGTCCTGGGGTGGCTGGAGCCTGGGTTGGTTGCCTTCTGATGCTTTCAGGCTCTTCTGAGCAGTGGGAGTGGAGCTGATTCTGAAAGTAGGCCCTGGACAGAGAGCAAACTCAGATACTCACTATTCCTAGCCAGATGAGTCACTGTCCATCACAGAAAAGGGTGGGGGGGGGGGGGGGGGGGGGCGTCTACAAAGCTGTGAAAGAAATACGTTCCAGGTGTCCAAAGAGCAGGAAGGAAGCCCAAGTGTGAGGCCCCCAGGTGTGGCTAGTTGGATTTGAAAGGGTTGGGAGCTGGAGGTGGGAGGAGGGCTCCCTGCAGCCTCTAATTGCCTTCACATATATATAAAGTTGGTGGCTGTTTACTCTTCAGTGGTGTCTCACCTAGCAGTAGGATTATGTAAGGGAGATTACAAATTAGAGCATCATGATTTTAAAATAATTGTAATAAACATCAATTTGAATTTGAACTTAACTCACAACATTATTTCCCAAAGAAGGAAGCGTTAAATTTCTTAGTTTCAACTGCATAAATTAACGAATGGTTATTTTTAAAAAAGACCTAAAAATTATTACCTGTTTGTGGGGTGTTTCTCATTGGTGACAGTATTAAAACATTTTAATCAAATGTCAATTAAATCAATTAAAACATCTGGCAAGATTTTATTTGAAAGTTCCATACAAATTCAGTATTTTTCCTCAAATCTTCTACATTTTTTCATCAATTATATAATTTAAAAAAAGTAATTTTTTTCTCTAATTCTTTCTGGTTTATACCAGTATGCTGTACAATATTTTCTATGTGTGCTACAACATGACAAAGGTTGGGAAACATTGATACAATGTGGTATGGTCCCTGGGTATTATTCACATCTGCTGTGTTACTCCATTAGCACTGTGTTATGTTACTGGCTTCATAAGGATCCAATATGACTCATGCTCTAAGTCCCAAGCAAGTTTCCCCATCTTTGTGTTCAATTTCTGCATCTTTGTGGTGGGGAAATGGAAAGTAATTTTAGATAGATATGTAAATTTCATATAGTTTAATAAGCTATGTTTTGAAAATATTTAATACCTTGGTTTAAAGATGATCTTGTGTATCTGTGAGCTACTGAGCTAACAGCAATGGAAAATTTCAATGAAGAATCGGAGTTTTAGCTAGCCAAGACCAATCCTTCATTTTAGAGATGAGGAAACCAAAGCTGAAAGAGGAGTCTGTGCTCAAGTAGAGCCAGAGCTTAGACTAGAAAACAGATGTCAAGCCTCCCAAATTTAGAGCTTTACTACAATAACCTTAACTTGCATGCTATTCATATTAGTAGACTTTCCTTTTTCGTACATTTTGGGTACGTCTTAAATATATACTTAAACATGTTGATTCATTCAAAGGACTCAGATGTGTCCAGGAAAGTAACGAAGTGGTAAGTAAAAAGTATAAGGACAATTATTTGTGAACACCAGATTATTCCAAGATAAAGCAGTGCCTGGAAGAGTCAATGTCTGGAATGATAAGGAAGGGAAGATGGAAGGAAGAAAAGAAGTCCTTTTGTTTCCTATGAATAAGAGCTGTGAGTCTCAACAACCAAGAACAGAGATCAGAATACCAAAATAAATAAAGGAATATAGGGGTTTATGAAGAATTTAATATTGGCATATCTAAGTATTTTTGCATTTGGTATAGGAATCTTCTTTTAAAAAAGCAGCCCCTCTAGTCTATAAATTAAGTTTTACCATATTGATAATGTAATGTATTCTAGGTGCATAATATACTGAGATTTTGTGCTAAGAAATCCAGTGTTTGTTTGCTTTTAAGCTTGTATTTTGTCAAAGTGAATTTCTGTAAAAAAATCTTCCAAACTATTCAGCTAAGACTTTTTATAATGTATCTCAAATTTAAGCTTTGCTGCACCAGAATACAACCAGAATACTAACACATTATTATACACAATATAAGGATTATTGCAGTTTATTTAACACTAAAAGTAGTCATGCTTCATATACAATAAAATATATTACAATGATCATTTTTAATGCTTTATTCATTGATTAAAAGAATATACATTTAACATAAACCATACAACATCAGTCATCAGGTCAAACATTCAGCTGGTTTCCTTACAGTTTCTGTCAGGAGTTATTTTATCTGATCACATTTATAAGATAAAATCTCACCACATCTGGCATTTACACACACTGTGCCAGTGGATTCACACTACTGATGTACATATAAAATCCGCATGGTATGTGCTCACTGGAGACAAAACAGTGCACACCTGTCAAAAGGTCATTTTAATATAAGATGGTAAAACCATTTGTAAAACACATATAAACTTTTTTCCATAAATAGAATCATATCTGGACATCTGTTGCATAAATTGTGTTTCCAAAGCTTACAATAGAGCAGCCAGGTCTCAGCACTGCTGGGCACCCAGGTTGGCTACTTACTTTATTATTGCAGACTGTCCTTTAACATTAAATGCACAACATTCGTACCACTTAAAACTGGGGTCAGGTGGAAGTCTCACAGAGACCACGTCTGTACCGCGGTTGCCCTGAAACAGTTAATAGGCTTTTAAAGCCTCTCAGATATAACAAGGTTTTAAAACATACTTCATGGAATGTTCTTCATGTATCATAGCAGCTCATACCTGTGATAGAACAAGCTTTCAGTTTTTCCTTTCTTTCCTTTACATTCACTATTCACAGTGAAACAGGTGCATGTTTTTTTTTTCTTTTTTTTTTTTTTTTGTTTTGTTTTTTCAGAGTTCTGAGGTTGCTGACTGAGCCACAGCACAGCTGTGTACCACAGGTCGAAATTCGACCTTAAATATTACAATCTAGCAGTATCTGGCTGGCCAGAGTGGGCCGGCCCCTGCCAGCATGTGGGCACTTCTTCATTAAGTCTATTCTTTGGCAGCTGACACGCGTGCTGACAGAGAAAAATCCAGTGACTTGTTGCTAGGGATTTCACGACTAATGTTTTTGCAAGCATGTGTATTTACAACTCTGTGTTTTTATTTCCTTTAGGAGATTTTACTCTGAAATACAGTTTCTTTCTTCCCCCACTATTTGAAATCTGGGCTAAATGAATGTGTAATGTAATTGATGAATAAAATTATGTCAGATATAGTTAAAAAATCCAACAATTTCAGTATTCGTGTTTACGTAAATGCATTTTTTTTAAAAGGATTAAGCAATGTTCTAACCTAGTACTATACAAAATTCAAAATGGTAACTGGTGATATCAACTATTAGATATGTAATGAAAGTTAAAGTCTTGGCTTTTCTGTTACAGATAATTCATTTGGGATATTATTTATCTTCCATTTGAAATCAAAATTAATGAAATGCTATCAGAATGCATGGATGCAGTGCATTGCATATAAATCTACCAGGCTATGGATATATATCTATATATGTATAAAAATATTTTGGCTCCTGAGCTCTGAACTCTGACACACAAAGAATAAAAACGTCAAAAAGGCAGAGTAACTCAGTGAAAAATAAAGTTAGCCAGCAACCTCAGACAATCTTCGGCTGTATATCCTTAAGGTTTGGTAACAAGTCCATTAACCGTGAAAGCCCTATACATTGTCACTTTGAACTTCTAAACCAATACCCGACTACGTTCTTTGATCAAGAAGTAGAATATACATATATAATTCTATAAAGCTAATACTGATTAAACACAGCACAAAAGGATTAATTCACACTACTGAAAAAAAAACATAATAGGACCCTACTTGCATATGTAACCACAGGAATTCTACATTAAAAAAAAGCTAAATGTCTTCACTGAAGCTTTGCATCTCTCTGTAAAAATGACGATTTGGTTCAGTGAAGACACTGAGTGATTCGATGTCCATGACTGCATGCCAAGGTTGACCCAGGCCCAGGGATACCTGCTCAATAAGGTTATGCACTGGATCTACATCCTGGTCGGCCAGTTCACCTTGGTCAAAATCAATGCTTTCTTCGGTGACTTCAAGCACTTTCAGATCAGAGCCCCGAAGACGAGCAATGGCAATGAGGTTGTGTGCCCACACCGTGTAACCTGAAAAATAAACAAAAGACAACACTGTAATTTCCTTGCATTTCCTTTTCTCTTTGGTAAGTCTGTCTTTTCCTCATTCAAAGCTTCTAGAGAAGCTTCAAATTTGTATCTCACTTACCGTTTTGGTCTTTTTCCTTTAGAAATATATTGAAATTGGAAAAGGAAACATGGTTGTATAGCCCAGAAAAAAAAAGGCTAGAAGTTGTGTTCAAGAGTTACCGCTATAGGTGGTGAATTGGCAGGTGATCTAATCCTTTATGACACTACTTCATTCAGTAAAATAGACATTTAAAGTATATACAAATAAATTTTATAGCTTTGGGTAAAGATGTACCATAAGGATGAAATTTTTAGTTCATATATGCATGTATCTGTTAACCACACGTGGTAAATGTATTTTTCATTTGTGAAAAATCATCTCCTATAATGCTTTGCGAAGTTATGTAGTGACACTTTAAAGGTAAACTGTTAATTGTCAGTAGCAAATACGTAAATTATAAAACAATCATGTGAATGATATGCACCAACTTCAGAATAATAACTACTTCTGGGAAGGAATAAAGAGGAATGAATACGGGGAGCTTTAGCATAAAGAAGAAAAAGGCTTTAAAAAGACTGGCTTAAATTAACTTTTAAATAACCTGATATGTCTTTAGCCCATTGTGTTTAGCACTTTCAGTATTGATCTAGTCTTTTCTGCTACCTCTGATGACTGGCATAAAGCAAGACTTGAAAAGCAAGGCATACATTCCCAAATACAAATGCACACTAAAAAAAAAATAATGAAACAGTGCTAGTAGGATAGCTAATAAGAGAGTTTAAGACATTCTTATAGACTACTTTGTAATTATCTTACAAGTATCCGAAAAGGAAGTAAATTTATTTGTCAGAATACCAACTCTAGATCCAAATGAGAACAGGTCACATTAAAATGAAAGAAGCATATCAATGGAACCATCGTTAAAAAAATTATATACATTAATACTTTGATACCAAGAATCTAAAAGATGAGGTAGTGAGCATGAAAGAAATCATACATTCTCTTCCCCCGCACTATGTTTTAAGGGGTCGTGTGATTAGAGGAAATATATCTACCACAGGTATGTGTGCTTTCTTAGCTAAATTAATTTCACTGATTTTTTATGAAATACTGCCATTCACATGATGGACAAAAAAGTAACAGGGAAGCTGGAGCAGAACACTTGGGTTTGAATATGATTTTCCTTTTGTAAGTGATATATCTTGCAAACTTTAAAAAGCATAAGAATCTGTATATCAACTTGATACAAGATTTCTTGATACTATAAAGGTCAGTGCTATCTCTTTACTGGCAGAAAATGTTTTCGGTCTAATTCCAGTATCAGATTACAATGAACAAGATCACCTACCATGAATTGCCAGAAGAGAGAGCTTTGTGCACCTCCATGCTAATAAAACCAACGGATCTTCATTTCGGTTGTCACTAAGATCTGGAAAACCAGATGTGTCAATCACATCATTCATTAAAATAAAATGAGTGAGGAACTTGTCATATTGCCTGGATATAAGATCAACAATAGCCCCTGAAACACAAGTGATATAGCTATCAAAATGAATCCTCTCTAGTGGTATACTGGGTTTCAGAATCTTTAACATATCTTCACTCTTGATATCAAAAGCCATTATATAGACCCGAAAGCTGGTGCTCTTTCGTGACAGGGCTTTCCAATGCTCATCATTTGGCATGTTGTCCAGAGACTTGTGCATTACAGAAACATTGTGAACCAGAAGAGACAGTCGTTGCAAAGGCACATGGTTGCTATCAGTTAAGACTCTTGCCATCTCAGCTGTAAAGTCACAAAAATCCAAGGCAAGTGAGTGCAGATTCACAAATCGCTCCAGTTCAACTGCAGTAATAAGAGTGCTGTTACCAGGAATATTATTGTCCAGTAAACTGAGGTGCTCCATGGTGTTGGCAACAGCATTAGAGAGAGATGACAGTGATGTTGGGGTTACTATTTCCAGCATAAACCCACAGGACAGCCATTTCAGTTGCCTACTATTACTCAGGATTTCTTCAAACAGTTGCTGAATTCTATAAGGAAAACACATGCCACAGTGATCCCATTAACATTTAGTTCTAATCTTTTAACACTGACTTTTGAAAATAGGCAATGAAAAGCATGCAATTTTGAGATCTATTTTTCCTCATTAGGTAATTTCGATTCAACCCACAGTAAATACCATTAAAATTCACATTAAAATATAATGAATAAGGTATATTAAACATAAAGATCTATTAAACACGTAGAAATATGTTCCTCATCCAAGAAAAGCACCACTTATACCCGTTTAGTAGAAAAGTAGGATAACATACAATTTATGTTATAGCAAAGGCAAGTAGAGGAATAATTTTAAATAGCAATAATTATCCACTAAGTTACTTGATTTTTCTTAAAGATTTATGAGATGGAATGGCAGATGCTGATCACTGTATTTCACCATTAAAACATTTCCAGGACCTATGTTCCTTTTAGGAAAAAAATCATTACTCTTCTGTTTGTATCTCATAATTTCTTAGGAAAAACATATTATTAATAGTACAACCTCCTTTCCATTAACCATATAACTTACTGTTTAATTTTTTTGCCATCAGGGTCCACCTTGCTGAGGTATGTATTTGACAAACTTCCTTGCTGTTGTAGAACACTTATGTCTCCAAAAAGACTAAACTTCTGAAGGTTCCTACAAGAACAATCATTTAAAATGATTTGCTAAATAATTTATACTTAAAAAATATAAATATAAAAAATAAGAATATGCAAAGGGGATATTCTAGGAAGGTTTCTATTTTATAACTCAATTAGAATCCAGTTAAGTACTTTCAGATTGCTTTATACATATATTCAGATTTTTTTTTTTTTTTTTTTTTTTGAGACGGAGTCTTGCTCTGTCACCCAGGCTGGAGGGCAGTAGCGCGATCCCGGTTCACTGCAGGCTCCGCCTCCCGGGTTCACACCATTCTCCTGCCTCAGCCTCCCGACTAGCTGGGACTACAGGCGCCCGCCACCATGCCCGGCTAATTTTTTTGTATTTTTAGTAGAGATGGGGTTCAGATTTCTTTATACATACAAAGCAACATGATACAGGAGAAGTGGCATAAGCTTTAAAGAACAAGGACCAGGGTATAAAGATTGGTTCAGGAACTAAATTTATAATGACCATGGAAAAGTCTCTTAATGTGCGTGAGACTCAATTCTTCATCAGTAATAACAATACCTACCTTATAGGGTTTAAGGATAAATGACACAATGATATATGACAAACTATGTAAGCTCTAAATTTTATAGAGATGATAATTACAATATAAACATGTCTCAAACCAGTTAATTTAGTCAACATGTTAAATGCTCCAGGGTAAGTCACTGCCCTGAAGATATCTACTCAGTTAAGAAATATTCCTTAACTGAAATCTAAAGAGAACCTTCTCCAGTTTTATGATCAAACCATACAGCTTATGAACAACAGAAGTAGAAAACTATGTAAGGCCAGGTGCGGTGGCTCACACCTGTGGTCCTGGCACTTTGGGAGACCAAGGCGGGGGGAATCGCTTGAGGTCGGGAGTTCGAGACCAGCCTGGCCAACATGGCAAGACCTTGTCTCTAATGAAAATACAAAAATTGGCTGGGCGTGGTGGTACATGCCTGGAATCCCAGCTGAACTGGGAGGCGGAGGTTGCAGTGAGCCAAGATCATGCCACTGCACTCCAGCCTGGGAGACAGACTCTACCTAAGAAAACTAGAAAACTATGTTAAAATCTTTTGGTTTTAGATAATTTTAGCTACAAAACATATAGTTTTCTGATAGTAAAATTGTAAATAAAATAGGAGAAAACTGGATGAAGAGAAAACTCCTAAGTCCAATAATAACGAACTAGATATTTCATTTATAACATAAAACTTAGGGATAATTTCAATTAAAAAATGTATCATCTACAACAGTGATACAAGATTTAAATAAATGAAAAATACCATTTCTTTTTTTTTTTTTTTGGACACAGTGTCTCACTCTGTTGTTCAGGTTGGAGCGCAGTGGTATGATCACGGCTCACTGCAGCCTCAACCTCCTGGGCTTAAGTGATCCTTCCAGCTCAGCCTCCTGAGTAGCTGGGACCACAGGCATGTGCCACCATATGTGGATAATTTTAAATATTTTGTATTTGTTGGACTCTCAAAGTGCTGAGATTACAAGTATGAGCCACCATGTCTGGCCTGAAAAACACCATTTCTTGATGGTATGTCACATTTTCTCAAGTAAATCACCTTAATTTCACGGAAAAGCCCAATGATTCTAAAATTTAGCTTGAGGAATAATCATTAATTCGTTTATTCATTTAACCAACAATTCCCTGAGGGCCTACGAAGTACCAGGAACTGTGCTATATACTAGAGACACAATAGTGATTCAGTGCTGTGAAGGACAAGTACATGGTGCTACATATCATGGGCATATTTGACACTGTAAGGGAGAGCAGGCGTCCCTAAATTGATTTAAATGGATCTTTTTTTTTGTTTGTTTGAGATGGAGTCTCGCTCTGTCGCCCAAGCTGGAGTGCAGTGGCACGATCTCGGTTCACTGCAAGCTCCGCCTCCCGGGTTCATGCCATTCTCCTGCCTCAGCCTCCCGAGTAGCTGGGACTACAGGCGCCCGCCACCATGCCCAGCTAATTTTTTGTATTTTTAGTAGAGATGGGGTTTCACCGTGTTAGCCAGGATGGTGTCGATCTCCTGACCTCGTGATCCACCCGCCTTGGCCTCCCAAAGTGCTGGGATTACAGGCGTGAGCCACCGTGCCCGGCTTTAAATGGATCTTAAGAATAAGTGGAAGTTAACCAGGAGAAGTAAGGTAGGGAGACAGCATTATAGGGAAAAGGAAAAGCATTTGCAGCACTTGAAGAGATCAAAGCGAGCTGAAAAGAATCCAGAGTGACTGGAGTACAGAGAGTAAGTGAACATGAAATGATGACGTAGAGGTAGACAGGGTTCTATGTCAAAGAAAAAATTTTGTAAGCTGCTCAACAATCATTTTAAGAAAAGAATAGGCTGGGCGCGGTGGCTCACACCTGTAATCCCAGCACTTTGGGAGGCTGAGGTGGGTGGATCACGAGGTCAGGAGTTCGAGACCAGTCCGGCCAACATAGTGAAACCCCATGTCTAATAAAAATACAAAAAATTAGCCAGGTGTGGTGGTGTGCTCCTGTAATTCCAGCTACTTGGGAGGCTAAGGCAGGAGAATCGCGTGAACCTGGGAGATGGGAGGTTGCAGTGAGCCGAGATCACGCCATTGCGTGTGATTCTGTCTCAAAAAAAAAAAAAAAAAAGGAATAAAATGATTAAATTTCTGTCTAGAAAATGTTACTGTGGCATTAGAAGAGTCTGGAAGGATGCCAGAACCAAAGTGGGGAGATGAGTTAAGAAAGTATTTTAGTAATAGAGATGAGAGATACTGGCACCTTGAACTGGAGTTTTGTTGGTCAATGTAGAGAAAATGGACAGCCTCAAGCTACATATCAGAGGTAAAATGGACAGGAATAGGTGCTGGATTAGCTATAGGGGGTGAGGGGACAGTAGGCAAGAATAACTCCTAAATTTTCTGGGTTGTGTTAACATGGTACAGTTTCTTTCTTACTGGGATAGGGAATATTAGAAATGAAAATCAGGGAATTTTTTGGGGGGGTGTGGAGGCATGGTGGTGAAGTAAACAATGAGCACTATTTTGCACATGTTGAACCTGAGGTGCTTTTAAGATAGTCAAGTCTTCCTAATCTTAGAATAGCAATAAATTAGGAAGTGATACATTTTTGACTATATAAAAATGAAAAACTTGATATCCAACAGCATACCTCACTAAAAAGGGCAAACCAACATTGTGAGAAAAATGTGTAACAAATGCTACATTTTAAAAAATTCATATATAAAATCACCCCACATAAGAAAAATATGAAGAATCCAAGTAGTAAATAGGAAAAGGTTATAAAACAGCCAATGTAGAACATGTCAAGGAAAACATCACAGGAATTACTAATGGAAATAATCTAATTTTTCTTGACCTTTAAAAAGTTTTAGTCACTCTGGTAAATCTAATCAACTTGACATGTGATTCTAAACTGTATTTTAAAAAACATTTCAAGGAGACATCGAACAAAAAAACCGTATTTTTTTCTGTTACAGAAAGGATATAAAACTGTTCTTGTGAGAATGGCTTCCATATTAGACTCCAAAGAATACATTACTAACATATATAAGTATGTCTGCTTTTAAGGTTTTTATCCTTTCTTTATTCTAAAGTTGCTACCATATCCATAAATTATAAAGACGTTAATTTGTTTTCCATAAGTTTTCTTAAAAAGAAAAATAAAAAAAATTAAAGGCTTCTAAAAGAATGGATATTTGGCTTTGGAGAATATAAGGTATTATATAAAGTAGAAAAAATATGTCACACAATTTCTAATAATACTCAGAGGGGACAGTCATACAGTCTCAGTATTTTTCTCCTTTCAACTCAACTTTCATTTATTTGGTGGTATTAAAATACACATGTAAGAGACTTTTACTTCTTCTACAAAGAAACACTAAGGACAACGGCCTTCCCTCTGTAAACAACTATAAAACTAGAGAAAACAAAATAATTGTTTTCAGACATTGGACAATAAGCAATATAGGACTGTGATCCTGAAAGATGGGGAAAAAATGAGGTGTGTATTATAAATTGCCTCCGATTATGGTCTGGAGAGAGTTTTCAGGTTACAACATAGCCTGGTAGTCTCCCTGAATCGAGGAGACAAGAGATTTTGGGGAGTTTGCAGTCTAGAATTTTAGGGCAGAGTACCAGAGACAAACTGTACAGAAAGAGCTTCACAGATTTGCAAAGACTTCATATTACCCAGGTTTTTGGCTGAGTAATGATTTGTACATGTGTTGGGCAAAACTACAAGTCTGAAGAGAGAACCGCTGGAAAGCAGTAGAGTCCACACAGTGGTAAGGTAACACGGCTCACAACTAGGAGAAAAATCCATCAACAGAAATATACTCAGAAATGGCAGATGAAGGATTTAGGGAAAGAACTTAAATCAGCTATTAAAACTATACTCCATAAAACTATTCATCCATAAAAAGAATATGGATTGGAAAGAAAGAAGCAGAAGTGTCCTTATTTGCCAATTACATGATCATTTACACAAAAATTCTAAGGAATCTAAAAAAAGCTACTATAACTATGAGTTCAGTAAAGTTAGCAAGTTTAGTAAGGTCACAGGATACAAGGTCAATATATAAAAATCAATTGTATTTCTACATGCTAGCAATGAACATTTGGAAATTAAAATTTAAAAAACAACTTTTTACAGTAGTATCAAAAATACAAGATATTTAGGAATAAACTGAACAGAAGTATCAGTCCTATACACTGAAAACTACAAAACATTGTTGAAATAAATCAAACAAGATCTAAGTAAATGGAATGCCATGTCTGTTGGTTGGAAGTTTCAATACTGTTAACATGTCAATTCTCCCCAAATTGATCAACAGACTCACACAATCCTAATAGGTACTATGCTTTACAACAGATCTCTAGAAATTTTTCATCTTGCAGAACAGAAATTTTATACTCATTGATTAACAGTTTTCCATTTTTCCCTCCTTACAGCCCCAGCAATCACCATTTTATTCTCTGCTTCTGGGAGTTTGACTATTTTAGATACCTCACATAAGTGGAGTCATGTAGTATTTGTCCTTCTGTGACTGGCTTATTTCATGTAGCATAATGTCCTGTGGGTTCATCCAGTTTGTTGAATATAGTAGGATTTCTCTCTTTTTTAAAGGCTTAATATTATTCCATTGCATGTCTATATCACATTTTCTTTATGCATCTTTTGATGGACATTTGGGTTGTTTCCTTATATTGGCTAATGTGAATAATGGTGCAGTGAACATGGGTGTGCAGATATCTTTGAGATCCTGATTACACTCTTTTTGTATACATATCCAGAAATATTCCATTATTGGATCATACGGCAGTGCTATTTTTGATGAATCTCCATACTGCTTTCCATAGTGGCTGCACCATTTTACATTCCCACAAACAGTTGTATAAAAGCTCCAATTTTTCTACATCCTCACAAATGTCTATTTATTTAGAGACGGTCTCACTCTCGTTGCCAAGGCTGGAGTGCAGGGCACCATCTAGGCTCACTGCAGCCTCAACTTCCCAGGCTCAGGCGATTCTCTCACCTCAGCCTCCTGAGCAGCTGGGACTACAGGTGTGCGCCACCATGCCTGGCTAACTTTTTTTGTATTTTTTAGTAGAGACAGGGTTTCAGCATGTTGGCCAGGCTGGTCTTGAACTCCTGGACTCAACCAATCTGCCCATCTCAGCCTCCCAAAGTGTTGGAATTACAGGCGTGAGCCACCATGCCTGACCTTAAATTTATTTTTGATAATAGACATGCTAAGATGTGAGTTGATATCTCACTGTGGTTTTGATCTGCATTTCCATGATTAATGAAACTCAGCATCTTGCCATATGCCTGGAGGCCATTTGTATGTCTTCTTTGGAGAAATGTCTATTAGTCTTTTGCTTGTTTTAAAATTAGGTTAAATTTGTTATTTTGCTATTGAGTTATACGAGTTACCATATTTTGGATATTAACCTTTTACCTTGATAGATGGTTTGCTAATATTTAACTTCCATTTCTCTTTGTTTTTTGGACACAGAGTCTCACTCTGTGGTCCAGGCTGGAGTGCAATAGCACCATCTCGGCTCACTGCAACCTCTGGCTCCCAGATTCAAGCAATTCTCCTGCCTCAGCCTCCCAAGTAGCTGGGATTACAAGTGTGCACCACCATGCCTATTTTTTTTTTTTTTCAGTAGATACAGGTTTCACCATGTTGGCCAGGCTGGTCTTGAACTCCTGACCTCAAGTGATCTACCTGCCTCAGCCTCCTTACTTTTATCTCACATTTTTTTTCTTTTAGACAGGGTCCTGCTGTTTCCCAGCATGGAATGCAGTGGTGTAATCATGGCTTACTGTAGCCTTGATCTCCTGGGCTCAATGGATCCTCCCACCTGGGCCTCCCAAGCAGCTGGGACTACACATGCATGCTACCACACCCAGCTACTTTTTGTATTTTTTTGTACAGATGGGGTTTTATCATGTTGTCCAGGCTGGTCTCGAGCTCCTGGGCTCAAGGAATCTGCCTGCCTCGGCCTCTTCAGCTTGCTTTTTAATTTTGCTGATTGTTTCCTTTTCTGTACAGAGCTTTTATTACGATGTCCCACTTGCCTATTTTTGGTTCTGTTGCCTTTGTTTTTGGTGTCAAACCACAAAGTCATTACCAAGACCAATGCCAAGAAGCTTTCCCCCTATGTTTTCTGTGAGAAGTTTTACAGTTTCAGAATTTATATTTAAGTCTTAAATCTATTTTGCTTTGATTTCTGGCCATGGTCTACGATAGGATCCAATTTCCTTCTTTTGCCTGTGGATTTTCAGTTTACACAACACCATTTGTTGAAGAGACTATCCTTTCCCCATTTTATGTTCTTGGTACCAAAGATCAGTTAATCATAAATGAGTGGGTTTATTTATGGGGTCTCTCTTCTGCTCCACTGGTCTATACATCCATCTTTATGCTAGCACAATACTGTTTTGATTACTGCAGCTTTGTAATATATTTTGAAATTAGGAAGTATGATGCCTCCAGCTTTGTTCTTTTTCAAGACTGCTCTGGCTATTCAGGGTCTTATGTTGTTCCATATTAATTTTAGGGTTGTTTTTCTATTTCTGTAAAACATGCCATTGAGATTTTAATAGAGATTGCATTGAATCTGTAGACTGCTTTGGGTAGTATGGAGATGTTAACAATACTATTTCTTCCAGTCATGAACATGAGATGTTTTTCCATTTATTTGTATCTGCTTTAATTTCTTTTATCAGTAAAACAGAAGACTTTCACCTCTTTGGCTAAGTTTATTCCCTAAATATTTTGTTCTTTTTGATGTTACTGTCAATGGGATTTTCTTAATTTCCCGTTGAATATATAGAACTGCAACTGATTTTTGTATGTTGGTTTTGCATCCACCAACCTTGCTGAATTTATTAAGAGTTTTTTTTTTGGTGGTGTCTTTAGTGTTTTCTATATATAATGCCATGTCATCTGCAGACAATTTTAGTTTTTCTTTTCAGATTTGGATGCTTTTATTTTTCTTCCCTAATTGCTCCGGCTAGAGCTTCCAATACTTTGTTGAATAGAAGTGGCAAGAGCAGGCATCCATATCTTGTTTCTGATCTTAGAGGAAACGGTTCCGGTTTTTCACTATTGAGTATGATATTAAGCTGTGGGCTTGTCATACATGGCCATATATGGACTTTAGTATGTTGAGGTACATTCCTCCTATGGTTAATTTTTTGAGTGCTATATCATGAAAGAATGTTGAATTTTGTCAAATGCTTTTTCTGCATCTATTGACATGGTCAAGATTTTTATCCATTCTGTTACAATGTGGCGTAGTATATTTATTGATGTGCATATGGTGAACCATGCCTGCACCCCAGGGATAAATCCCATTTAGGATATACGATCCTTTTAATGTGCTGTCAAATTTAGTTTGCTATTTGTTGAGGATTTTGGTATCTATGTTTATCAGAGACACTGACCTATAGTTTTATTGTTAGTGTCCTTGTCTGGCTTTGGTATCACAGTAGTGCTAGTCACATAAAATGAGTTTAGAAGCGTTCCCTCTTCCTCAACTTTTTCGAAGAGTTGAAGAAGGACTGGCATTAATTCTTCTTCAAATATTTGGTAGAATTCACCTGTGAAGCCATCCAGTCCTGGGCTTTTCTTTTTTGGGGGAAGGTTTTTAATAATTATGGATTCACTCTCATTTGCTATTGGTCTGATGGTATTTTATATTTCCTTCATGATTCAGTTTTGGAAGGTTTATGTTTCTATGAATTTATTTATTCTTCTAGATTATTCAATTTGTTGGAAATGAAGGCTCACAGGAGTCTCTTATAATCTTATTGTATTTCTGTGGCATCAGTTGTAATGTCTCCTCTTTCACTTCGAGTCTTTTTTCTTACTCTAAAGGTTTGTCAATTTTGTTTACCTTTTCAAAAAGCAATGCCCAGCTTTGTTAGTCCTTACTACCGCTTTTTCTAGTCTGTATTTATTTCTGCTGTAATATTTATTATTTCCTTTCTTCTGCTAACTTGGGGCTTTGAACATTGTTTTTCTAATTCATTAGGGTTTAAAGTTACGTTGTATGAAATTTTTCTTTTTTCTTTTTTTTTGAGACAGAGTCTTGCACTGTCGCCAGGGCTGGAGTGCAGTGGTGTGATCTTGGCTCACTGCACCCTCCGCCTCCCAGGTTCAAGCGATTCTCCCGCCTCAGCCTCCTAAGTAGCTGGGATTACAGGCGACCACCACCACACCCAACTAATTTTTTGTAGTAGTAGAGACAGGGTTTCACTATGTTGGCCTGGCTGGTCTCAAACTCCTGACCTCATGATCTGTATGCCTCGGCCTCCCAAAATGTTGGGCTTACAGGTGTGAGCCACTGCGCCTGGCCTTTTTCTTCTTTCTTAACATAGGGCATTTTTTGCTATAAATTTTCCTTTTAGTATTGCTTTTGCCACTTGCTATAAGTTTTGGTAAGTTGTTTTTTATTTTTATTTGTATCAAGATATTATTTGACTTCCCCCCCCTTTTTTTTTCTTGAGACAAGAGTCTCGCACTGTCACCCAGGCTGGAGCGCAGTGGCCAGATCTTGGCTCACTGCAAACTCTGCCTCCCGGGTTGAAGCGATTCTCCTGCCTCAGCCTCCCGAGTAGCTGCGACTACAGGTGCATGCCACCATGCACAGATAATTTTTGTATTTTTAGTAGAGACAGGGTTTCACAATGTTGGTCAGGATGGTCTCGATCTCTTGACCTCGTGATCCGCCCGCCTTGGCCTTCTAAAGTGCTGGGATTACAGGCGTGAGCCACTGGCACCTGGCCTTGACTTCCCTTTTAATATTTATTGACTGTTTAATTTCCATATATTTGTAAATTTTCCTTTTATTGATTTCCAGTTTTATATTATTGTGGTCAGAAAAGATATCTGACATGATTTCAATCTTCTTAAATTTGTTAAGACTTGTTTTGTAGCCTAACATGTGATTTATCCTGGAGAATGTTCCATGTGTGCTTGAGAAGAATGTGTATTCTGCTGTTGTTGGATGGAATGTTCTGTATATGTCTGTTAGGTCCATTTGGCCCATAGTTTGGTTAAAATCCAGTGTTTCCTCACTGATTTTCTGTCCAGATGATTTATCCATTGTTGAGAGTTGTGTCTTGATGTCTTATTTTATTATTGTATTGTTGTTTATTTTTCACTTCAGGTATGTTAATATTTGCTTTACATATTTAGGTGCCCTCATACTGGATGCATATATATTTATAATTGTTTTGTCTTCCTGACTGACCCTTTTATCATTCTATAATGACCTTGTCTCTTGTGTCAGTTTTTGACTTAAAGTCTATTTTCTAAGATATAAGTATAGACACTCCTGCTCTTTTAATTACTATTTGCATGGAGTATCTTTTCTCATTTCCCCGCTTTCACCCTGTATTTGTCCTTAAAGCTGAGTGTCTTACAGGCAGCACATGGTTGGATCCTGTTTTTTAATTCATTCAGCCACTCAATGACTTTTGGTGATGGAATTTAATCCATTTATATTTAAAGTAATTAATAATAGGTAAAGACTTACTATCGTCATTTTGTTCGTAGTTTTTTTCATTCCTTTCTTCTCTTGCTGTCTTCCTTTGTGATTTGATGATTTTTTTGTAGTGCTATGTATTTATCTTTTGTGTATCTACCACAGGCATAACTTGCAGATATTGCAGGTTTACTTCCAGACCACTGCAATAAAGTGAATATTGAAATAAAGAAAGTCACACAATTTTTTGTTTTTCAAGTTAACATAAAAGTAATGTTTACACTGTAATGTAGTTTATTAAGTGTGCAACAGCGTTATGTCTAAAAAAGCAATACATATACCTTAGGTAAAAAACACTTTATTGCTAAAAAATGCTAACAATCACCTGAGTCTTCAGCAAGTTGTAATCTTTGGCTGATAGAATGCCTTGTCCCAATATCGGATGGCTACTCACTGATCAGGGTGATAGCTGAAGGCTGGAGTGACTGGCAATTTCTTAAAATAAGACAATGAAGTTTGCTGCATCTGTTGACTTCCTTTCATGAAAGATTTCTCTGTAGCATGCTATGCTGCTTAATAGCTTTTTATCCACAGGAGAGATTGTTTTTACAATTGGACTCAATCCCCTTAAACTCTGCTGCTACTTTATCAGCTAAGTTTACGGAATATTCTAAAGTCTCTGTTGTTATAATTTCAACAACATTCACAGCATCTTCATTAGAAGTAGATTCTAATCTCAAAAACCACTTTGTTCATCCATAAAAAGCAACTTCTCATGCATTCCAGTTTTATGATGAGATTGTAGCAATTTAGTCAAATCTTCAGGCTCCACTTCCAATTCTAGTTCTCTTGCAATTTTCACCACATCTACAGTGACTTCCTACACTGAAGTCTTGAACTCCTCAAATGATCCATGAGTGCTGGAATCAATCTCTTACAAAGTCCTGTTAATGTTGATATTTTGATCTCCTCCCATGAATCATGAATGTTCTGAATGGCATCTAGAATGGGTGAATCGTTTTTATAAGGTTTTCAGTTTACTTTTCCAAGATCCACCAGAGAAATCACTATCTATGGCAGCTATAATCTTGTAAAATGTATTCCTTAAATGATAAGACTTGAAAGTCAAAATTAACTCTTGGATCCATGGGCTGCAGAACAGATGCTGTGTTCGCAAGCATGAAAACAACATGAATCTCCTGGTTCATCTGCACCAGAGCTCTTGAGTGACCATGTACATTGTCGATGAGATGTAATTTTAAAAGGAACCTTTTTGTAAGCAGTAGCTCTCCAAAGTGGGCTTAAAATATTCAGTAAATCATGCTGTATACAGATGTGCTATCATCCACGCTATGTTGTTCCACTTATGGAGCACAGGCAGAGTAGATTTAGCATAATTCTTAAGGGCCCTAGGACTTTTGGAATGGCAAATGAGCACTGGCTTCAACTTAAAGTGACCAGATGCATTAACCTCTAACGAGAGTCAGCCTGTCTTTTGACGCTTTTAAAGTCAGGTATTGGCTTGTCTCTAGCTATCAAAGTCCTAGATGGTATCTTCTTGCAATAGAAGGCTGTTTTGTCTACACTGAAAAATCTGTTGTTTACTGTAACCACATTCATCAATGACCTTAACTAGATCTTCTGCAGCTTCCACGACAGCACCTGCTGATTCAGCTTGCATTTTCAGGGAGGTGACTTTTTTCTTTAAACCTCATGAACCAACCTCTACTAGCTTCAAGCTTTTTCTCCTGCAGCTTCCTCACCTCTCTCAGCCTTCACAGACTTGAAGAGCATTAGAGCCTTGCTCTGGATTAGACTTTGGATTAAGGGAATGTTGTGGCTAGTTTCATCTTCTATCCAGACCACCAAAACTTTATCAGTAATAAGGCCATTTCCCTTTCTTATCACTCATGTGATAGATGGAGTACCACTTATACTTTCTTTCAAAAACTTTTCCTTTGCATTCACAACTTGCCTGTTTGGTACAAGAGGCCTAGTTTCTGGTCTATCTGGGCTCTTGAAGTGCCTTCCTTATGAAGCTTAATCATTTCTAGCTTTTGACTTGGAGTGAGAGACGTGGGACTCTTCCTTTCACTTAGCAATTAGAGGTCACCGTAGAGTTATTAATAAGCCTAATTTTTTCTTTCTTTCTTTTCTGAGACAGGGTCTTGCTCTGTTGCCCAGGCTGCAGTGCAGTGGTGCAATCACAGCTCACTGTAGCTCTGATTTCCCAGGTTCAAGTGATCCTCCCACCTCAGCCTCCCAAGTAGATGGGAACACAGGTGCACACCACTATGCCCAGCTAATTTTAAAATATTTTGTAGGGATGGGGGTCTATGTTCCCCAGGCTGGTCTTAAACTCCTGTGCTCAAGTGATCTTCCTGCTGTTGGGATTACAGGTGTGGGCAACTGTAATTGGCCTAATTTCAATATTATTATCTCTTAGGGATTTGGGCAGCTCAATGTGAGGGCAAGAAATGGGGGAAGGGCTGGTCCGTAGTCAGAACACACACACAATTTATAATTAAATTAGCTATTTTCTACAGGTGTGGTTCGTGGGGCACCAAAATGATTACAATAGTAACATCAAAGATTACTGATAACAGATCATATCAGATATAACAAGGGTGGGCTCAGTGTGGTGGTTTACATCTGTAATCCAAGCACTCTGGGAAGCCAAGGTGAGGATCTCTTTAGCCCAGGAGGTGAGGCTGCCATTACCCATGATCATGCCACTGCACTCCACCCCGGGTGTCAGAGCAAGACACTGTTTCTAGAAAATGACGACGACAACAACAAGAACAACAAAGATATAACAAGAAACACAATGTGAGCACATGATATTGGACAAATGGTGCCAATATAGTTGCTTGATGCAGGGTTGCCACAAACTTAATTTGTAAAAAAAACATAATATCTGTGAAGTGCAATAAAATGAATCATAACAAAACAAGGTATGCCTGTATGTGTTTTTGCTGTATGATTACCATGTGGTATATATAATAGTGCATTTTAAGATAATAATATAATTGTATGCAAAAACTGTACACATTTGCTCCTGCATACGTTGCTACTGATGTTCTAATTTATGTATTTTAATATTACATATCCACCAATTAATTATTGGAGTTATTCTTCATGCTGTTGGCTTTTTCTTTTTTTGAGACAGAGTCTTGCTCTGTTGCCCAGGCTGGAGTGCAGTGGTGTGATCTCGGCTCACTGCAACCTCTGCCTCCTAGGTTCAAGTGATTCTCCTGCCTCAGCCTCCCAAGTAGCTCGGTTTACAGGTACCCCCTACCATGCTCGACTAGTTTTTGTATTTTTAGTAGAGACAAGGTTTCACCATGTTGGTCACACTGGTCTTGAACTCCTGACCTCAGGTGATCCACCTGCCTTGGCCTCCCAAAGTGCTGGAATTACAGGTGTGAGCCATGGTGTCCGGCCTAATACCATTGGCTTTTAACATTTATATCAGAGTTACAGTGATTTATTAACCAGTAGTACAATACAATATTATTCTCTATTTGTTTATATATTCACTAGTGAGTTTTTTACTGTCATATGCTTTGTGTTATTTATTGTTCCTTTGTTTCATGTTGAAGAACTCCCATTAGCATTTCTTGTAAGGCAGTTCTAGAAATGATTAAACTCCTTTAGCTTCTGTTTATCTGGTAAAATCTTTCACTCCATTTCTGAGGGATAGCTTTGCTGGGTACACTATTCTTGGTTGACAGTTTTTTTTTTCTTTTCTTTCAGCGCTTATCTCACTTACCTTTATGTCTTTGATTTTTGACAATTTGATTATAATATGTGTTGGTGTAGACCATTTTGGGTTCATCCTGTTTGGCACTCTTTGACCTTCATGAATCTGAATATCCATTTCCCTCACCAGATTTGGGAAATTTTCACTCATTATTTCTTGAAACAGCTTTCTGCTCCTTTTCTACTTCTGGGTTGTCCATTCCTTATCTTTGCTTGATTGAATTCCACAGCTTCACTCCTTTTCATTCTTTTTATTTTGCTCTGCTAATTTGATAATTTCAAAAATGACCTGTTTTCGATTCTTTCTTCTGCTTGATCGATTGTCAGCTGCTTATTGAACTCCTGTAGTCAATTTTTCGGTTCAGTTACTGTATTCTTCAGCACCAGTATTTGTTTCTTTTTTATTGTTTCCCTTTGTTAATATCCTTACTTTGCTCATATATTCTTTTCCTGATTTCATTTAGTTTTCTACCAGTGTTTTCATGTAACTCAGTGAGCTTCTTTAAGAGGATTAATTTAAATTCTTTGTAGGTAATTAATACATCCACTTTTTTTTAAATTGGTTACTAAAGAATTATTTTCTTCCTTAGATTCTGTCATGTTTTCTTGATTTTCCATGTTCCTTGTATGGCTGCATTGTTGTCTGTGCCTTTGAAGAAACAGTACTTTTTCCAGTCTCACAGAGTACTGTTTGCTGTAGAGGGTACCCACTCATTTCCCTTTATTCCTAGTTGTCACAGGCATCCAGGCTCCACCAGTCCTTTAGTAGGTGGCATGAATTGAGATGGAAACGAGCCCTTTGGGTACCACACTGAAAGGTTAGAGACAAGGCTCACTTCATTTCCCTCCTAAAGGGAAAGGTTCCAAGCCTTTTCCCAATCTTGCAGAACAGTGCCATCTGTAGGAGGCCACTCACCCTTCTTTTGTTCTCAGTTGTTTCAGGCATCTGGGCTCTATCAGTTTTTCAGCACTGGATATGAGGTGAGACAGAAATTGGCAGGGGTGCACTGAAATGCCAGGAGGCCAGATGGCCAAGTGCAAGCTCCATTCTTTCCTTTCCCAATGTGGGAGAAGTCATGGGTGATTCTCTTTGCTCTGAACTAAGCTAGTTTGCGGGAGAAGCTGATGTGGGCAAAGTGAATTTGCTCTCCTTACCTATCATGGTTTCTCAGTTATGTATGTGGCTGGGTGCTACAACTTATTAACTGGATTCTGCATTTCTTATAAAGGTATTTTAGTACAAGTATTGTTATTTTTTTTTTTTGAAACAGAGTCTTGCTCTGTTGCCCAGGCTGGAGTGCAATGGCACGATCTTGGCTCACTGCAACCTCCACCTCCTGGGTTCAAGCAATTCTCCTGCCTCAGCCTCCCAAGTAGCTGGGACCACAGGCATGCACCACCATGCCCAGCTAATTTTTGTACTTTTAGTAGGGATGGGGTTTCACCATGTTGGCCAGGCTGGTCTTGAACTCCTGACCTCATGATCCACTCGCCTCGGCCTCCCAAAGTGCTGGGATTACAGGCGTGAGCCACCACGCCTGGCCCAAGTATTGTTATCTTGATGTTTCTATGGGAGAGCAAAGGCTAGGACTTCCTACTCTGTCATCGTGCCCTCATGACAGGATTTTTGAGTATGTGAAAAAATACATGATATAATCAATGGAAAAAGGTATAAAACCATACACAGACTGTTATCCCAATTTTGTAGAAGGATGCATCACATTTTACCCAGTGATCATATCTGGTGGACTTTTTTTTTGTAATTTTCAAATTTTCTATTATTATTATTATTTTTTTGAGATGGAGTCTTGCTCTGTCACCCAGGCTGGAATGCAGTGGCGCGATCTCTGCTCACTGCAAGCTCCGCCTCCCGGGTTCACGTCATTCTCCTGCCTCAGCCTCCCGAGTAGCTGGGACTACAGGTGCCTGCCACCACACCCGGCTAATTTTTTGTGTTTTTAGTAGAGATGGGGTTTCAACGTGTTAGCCAGGATGGTCTCGATCTCCTGACCTCGTGATCCGCCTGCCTCAGCCTCCCAAAGTGCTGGGATTACAGGCCGGAGCCACTGTGCCCAGCCTCAAATTTTCTATTATTACAAGCACATATTACTTAAGAACTCAGAAAAACATGTCAAATTTGCTTTACATAGCCTTTAAGTTCATAAGAACTTAATTTACTTCAAAATCGTTAAAAAAATTAACAAACTGCAGCTGGGCGCAGTGGCTCAGGCCTGTAATCCCAACACTTTGGGAGGCTGAGGCAGGTGGATCATGAGGTCAGGAGATTGAGACCATCCTGGCTAACAAGGTGAAACCCCGTCTCTACTAAAAATACAAAAAATTAGCCAGGCGTGGTGGCGGGTCCCTGTAGTCCCAGCTACTCGGGAGGCTGAGGCAGGAGAATGACGTGAACCCGGAAGGCAGAGGTTGCAGTGAGCCGAGATCGCGCCACTGCACTCCAGCCTGGGTGACAAAGCGAGACTCCGTCTCAAAAAAAAAAAAAAACAAAAAAAAAACAAACTGCATCACAGTAAAACTTAACAAGTTAATGTAAAGATACTCTCTGGAATAGTTCCAGCTATATAATAATTTAAAATGTTCTACCAATGTTAGAAATATGCCATTCAAAGGGAACTGAACAAAAATTCTAATTGCAGCAACAAAATGGTAATAATCCCTTTACAGTATGGTTCACAATACATGCACAAACTTTCCCTATATATGTAATGAGAGATATACTTTTAAAGCCAGAAGATTTGTGGGATTATCGAATTCATTCCTCTCCTGTTGTAGATGAAGAAATTGAAGTGACCTGTTTCAGACTACAACACTAAAGTACAGCAAGGTAGAGAATCGAGGTTTTAACTTCCACTAAGTGATATTTCTTGTAATTAACCCAGGTGTTTGAATACAATGCTTTCATTCAAGTGATAGGAAAAATTATAACTCACGTATTTCAGAGCAGTATAGGATGAACATTTGCAAAAAACGCTTTTAGGTACTTATTTTTCAATTCAAAATGAAAATGTATTAAGTGATATGGAAAACAGTAACTTTAAAAGTTAGAAAACCATAAAAAAAATGACAACTCAAGGGCAGCTTTCAAATACATGGTGTTGAAATTAGATTATAGACCACATGGTAAAGCCAAGGAAACTGCATATAGCCTCTAGGTGGCTCATTATTGTTTCAGATAGTAAAGAGACTGAGAAGAACATCTAGGCAGCAACACTGGAACAGAACCTACTGGGCTGTGGTAATAAACAGATGTCTCATTTTGAGGCCAGGAGACTACACCAGTAATAAATAAGGGAATTGTGCTACATAATCCTTTTAATTAAGGTGAACTCAGTAACCTGAGTTTATTTACTCATTCATTTATTTATTGTTGAATAGCAAGTGAACTAAAGAAATCAATAGGGTTATTTCCCGCAGAATGTCCACAAATAACACTTGCTTAAAAGACATGTAACAAAAAATACTGGAAAAATATTACAGTTGGCTAGAAAGTTTCTTCTTTCATCTTAATTCTTCAAATTAATGTACTTTGATTCCTTTGGTAATACTGATAGGATATAAGCTATTTACTAGTCCCTATGTAAATCCTAAAATGTGTTGTGAAATATCACAAAGTCATAAACAGTGCTTGATAATCTTTCTAAAGCATGCAAAAGGCCATATACTATCATCAAAAGAGAATGAATTTCTTCTACTTAATTTTGTCCTTAACAGTATTTTTAAAAGTAATGAGTTCCAGATCTCGAGCTAAAGCACATCCTTAAGCACTTACAACTTAGAAACAGCCTACAGACTGCTCTCCTACTTTTTGCTTATTTAATTACTAAAATATGTATATTGTGTGCCAATGACATGAAAAGTTATGGTGGTTAAGTTCTAAATATCTGTGGGCTTATTAGATTCTTGGAGTAGAAATAAAGGTTTTAAAAATAAACTTGGTTTTAAAAATCAGATGATACCAAGGAATTACTGATAACTCTGTTATCAATGGTATTGTGGTTATACATAGAAATGTCCATAATTTTCAGACCTGCATACTTTAGTAAAGGTAAAATGGCAATGATATCTGGGAATTGCTTTAAAATACTTCAGTGCAGAAGAAAGCGGCTGGGCGCCGGTGGCTCACGCCTGTAATCTCAGCGCTTTGGGAGGCCGGGGCGGGCGGATCACGAGGTCAGATCGAGACCAACCTGGCTAACACGGTGAAACCCCGTCTCTACTAAAAATACAAAAAATTAGCCAGGCGTGGTGGTGGGCACCTGTATGTAGTCCCAGCCACTTGGGAGGCTGAGGCAGGAGAATGGCGTGAACCCAGGAGGCAGAGCTTGCAGTAGGCCGAGATTGCGTCACTGCACTCCAGCCTGGGGGACAGAGCGAAACTCTGTCTCAAAAAAAAAAGCAAGCAAGCAGCAAATGTGGTAAAATCTTCAAAAATCTTCAAATTACTGAATCTGGGTGATGGTATTAATGGGGGTTCATGTGTCTAGTTTTAGTGTGTGTTAAAAATTTCACAAGTAAAATTAGAAAACAAGGCAGTCACTTCTCTAATTGTGGAACCCTAATAATTTCACTTACTCTGTGCTTCAGTTTCACCATCTGTAAAATAGAAATAATAGAGAAGCCTAACTCCTAGAGTTGCTGAATACTGCTGTTAATATAGGAAAGCTGGTTTAGGATTTTAGGGGATGTCAAGAACACATCCACTCCGCCCTCTGAAGCATGGCACTATGAACAGGCATTACCCAGCCCTGTGACCCTGGTGGTGACTCCTGTGGTCTATGTGTAGATTCTAATAGGACATCGGTATGAAGGTGGGTGGCTTGAGAAGGTGGCATTAAGATCAAAGACTCTTGCCTCAGGTGACTATGTTTCTTCTTTTCCTTGAACAAAAATTCTCCTTTTGAGGTTTTGAAAAGTAGGATTCATTTTTGAAGTTACCAGCAACAGTTGAATAACAAACCAGATTAAAAGGTAGCCCAACTCTGGCCCTTATTTCTTCCCTTTTTTTGTTCACCTTAAGGAGTATACGTGATGAGCATCTACATGGAAAGACATATTTACCTTGGTCTAGTACCACAGGTGATTAGACCACTGATTTGGATGCAAGGGGAGGGAAAAATCAGCATAGGGAGTACCACTGGCTTCTTCCTTTCTGCTCAGTCCTACCACATATGGACTTCATATGAGTCCATAGCTCATATGAAGGTTAGACCTAGGCAAATTTCAGGGCATAATGAGTTTATACGAAGCAGAAAAGTCAAAGAGAAAAAAGAAGAAAAATAAAAATTTCAGGTGACCATAGTAAGGAAGACCACAAAGTTTCTGGGAGCAATTAAACAGACTAACCCAAATTTATATAACATGATATGAACAGAACACTGCTGTACAAGTGCTTGGTGATAAATGAGTTAAACAACAAAGTAAGTTATGTTTTCACATAATAAACTGTATCCAAACCCTAGCTATTTGAGTACAAATCACACACACACACACACACACACACACACACACACACAAACACACGCACGAGTAAGAATAACCAAAAAGGGGAAAAATATTTTTAGATGTATTTAGGGAATAGCAATTAGAAGGGCATTGTAATGTTAGAACATCATATCTAATTCTTTGTACTTTATTCCACTTCTAGAAAACCTCCAGATAAAAATAAATACAGACCAGGCACAGTGGCTGACGCCTGTAATCCTAGCCCTTTGTGAGGCTGAGGCAGGTGGATTGCCTGAGCTCAGGAGTTCGAGACCACCCTGGGCAACATGGTGAAACCCCGTCTTTACTAAAAACACAAAAATTAGTCAGGCCTGGTGGCGTGTGCCTGTAGTCTCAGCTACTCGGGAGACTGAGGCAGGAGAAGTGCTTGAAGCTGGGAGGCGGAGGTTGCAGTGAGCCAATATTGTGCCACTGTGTTCCAGCCTGGGCAACAGAGCTAGACTCCATCTCCAATAAAATAATAAAACAAAAAACAAAATAAACAGAATCATACTACTCATCACTTCTGTTGCTCATGCCCTGGTCTAAGCCACCATTACTTCTTGCCTGGATTACTGCAACAATCTCCTAACTCTGCTCATTGCTTCCACCCTTGCCCTACTACAAGCTATTCCCAACACAGTAGCCAGACTGTTCCTTTTGAAATGTCAGATCACATCACTGTCTTTGCTCAAAACTCTCTGATGACACCTCATCTAAGAGTAAAAGTCAAAGTCCTTACAAGAGCCTCACAAGTGCCTACAGATTTCCTTATCACCTTCCTCCTTACCTGGCTGACTTCTTCTACATTTCATTGCTTTCCATGCTGTGTCTTTTTCTTTTTTCACCCTTCATAAGAATTTATTACTAGGTAGAGTGTAAAACAATAAAGCTTCTAAATGGTGACATAAGACAATATCTTTTTGACTTTGCAGATTTTTTTCTAACAAAGTTTTTGTTTCAGTAGAACACAAAAATCTCTACCCATAAAGGAACAAAATGTCAAATTGGAATTTTTTAAAATTAAGAACTTCTGAATATTAAAAAATGCTTAAGGCCGGGTGCAGTGGCTCATGCCTGTAATCCTAGCACTTTGGGAAGCCAAGGCGGGTGGACCACAAGGTCAGGAGTTCGAGACCAGTCTGGCCAACATAGTGAAACCCTGTCTCTACTAAAAATACAAAAATTAGCTAGGTGTGGTGGCGTGTGCCTGTAGTCCCAGCTACTCGGGAGGCTGAGGCAGGAGAACTGCTTGAACCTGGGAAGCGGAGGTTGCAGTGAGCTGAGACCATACCACTGCACTCCAGCCTGGGTGACAGAGTGAGACTCCATCTCAAAAAAAACAAAAAGCTTAATATAATGAAAGGGAGAATTTTGTAATACTCAGAACTATCAAAGGACTCATTTAGGACATACAAAAAGTTATCAGAGAAATACAAATTAAAAGTACAATATAATACACTTGAATTAAAAACACTGACACTTGCTAACATGTTAGTAACTGTGGAAAAACTGGAACTCATATATATTACCAATGAGAGTATCAAATGGACAACCCGTTTTGAAAAGCTTTTTGGTTATTTCTACTAAAGCTGAGCATATGTATACGGTATGATCCAGAAATTTCATTCCTAGGTATAAGCCCAATATGAATGCCTACATTAAATGCACTAAAAAGAAGTGCACAAATATGTATGCAGATAGCAGCAATGATCATTAAATACAAAAACTGGAAAAAATTCAAATGTCCATCAGCAATAGAATAGATAAATTACAGTCTAATCATCAATAAAAATTAATGAACAACTATTATAGTGAGGTCTCAGACATACAACATTGAGCAAAAGAGGTCAGATTCTAAAGATAACATACTGTATAATCTTGCTTATATGAAGTCCAAAAAGAGGTAAAACTAACCCACAGTGTTAAGTCAGGATAATGGTTACCTTTGAGGAAAGGGAGTGGTAACTGGTAGGGGTCACAAAGGGAACTTCTAGGGCTCTAGTAATGTTCTGTTTCTTTTTAAAAAGTTAAAATAACTTTTATTTTAGAATCTGGGGGCACATGTACAGGTTACAAAGGTATATTGTGTAATACTGAGGTCTGAGGTAAAAATGAATCCATCACCCAGGTAGTGAGCATAGTATCCAACTCTTACCCTGCTGCCTCCCTCTCCAGTCTTGTATTCCCCAGTGTCTATTGTTTCTATTTTTATAACTACGTGTACTCAATGTTTAGCTCCCACTTATAAGTGAGAACATGCGGTATTTGGTTTTCCGTTTCTGTGTTAGCTTAGGATAATGGTCTTCACCATGCTGTCTCTAAAACATGCCAGTCATACTTGCACTACAGAGCTACTCCACTTACTGCTACTTCTGTCTGGAATCACTTGCCCCAAAGAGACACCTGGCTTGCTCCCTCCCTACCTTCAAATACCACTTCAGTAGTTGAGACCCTCCTTAACTTCCCTATTTTAAATAGCAACACTCCTAAGTCCACCATTCCCATCTCCCTTCACTGCTTTATATTTCTTCGTAGCATATATTACCAACTGAGATACTGTAATTTCACTTAACGTGTTTTCTGTCTTCTTTTCCATAAGAAAAAGCTCTATGATGGCAGGGCCTTTTGATTATTGCTATATCTCCAAATACTAACACAGGGTCTGGCATTCAAAAATATTTGTTGAATAGTGTATTTACCTTAGTTTATAAAAAAAATTAAAGTCTATTTAGCTACATCTCACACACCACAAATTTAGGGGGCAGACCAGTTTTCAGTTACATTATACATTAGGAATCCCTCTGAAACAACATATTTTCCCAGAAAACTAAAAATCCCATTCTCAATTATTTCTTTGACGTAGTAAATAGAACCAGTGGAAAACCGCAAAATGCAGCTACCTTATATGAGAGTTAATATAGCTAAGTCTAATTAGCTGTGGAAACAGAAAATAGAAAACATACAACTTAAGTATGTATGTTAAGGCTGGGTGCAGTGACTCAGGCCTGTAATCCCAGCGCTTTGGGAGGCCAAGGCAGGCGGATCATGAGGTTGGGAGATTGAGACCATCCTGGCCAATATGGTGAAACCCCGTCTCTACTAAAAATACAAAAATTAGCTGGGCGTGGTGGTGCATCCTGTAATCCCAGCTACTTGGGAGGCTGAGGCAGGAGAATCGCTTCCACCTGGGAGTCAGAGGTGGCAGTGAGCCGAGATCATGCCACTGCACTCCAGCCTGGTGAGAGAGTGAGACTCCATCTCAAAAAAAAAAAGTTTATTAAAATTCCACTGAAATGAGATATCTTGTTTTCTATACTGCACAAGAATTTCCTTATGAATTAAACAACCATCACAATTTTTTATTGTCTTATTATTCTTCTCAGACTCCTGTTAGGACTGTTTAGCACAATTGTGACCCAGTGCTTGAGATTTCAGGCCTGATGACCTTGTTCTCTCTTCTGTGGGTCAGAATTGGGGAACTTCATCTATGGTAGTAAACTTTGTTAAGTTTCTTTTCATTCCAGAGGATCCAAAATTATTTCTTTGATTTAATACACAGGAACAATAGAAAAATGCAAAATGCAGCCACCTTAAGAGTTATTACAGCTAAGAAGAATTAGTTATGGAAACATAAAAGAACATGGTTCTTTAAAAAGATGCTCTTAAAAACATTAAAATCTTTTCCAATGCCATAAAAGAGATAATGACATATAACTTTTTTCCTTTTTTAAATTAATAAAAGCTAAAATAATCCACCATCATTGCATGAAATTCTCTTGGGCTGGTTCTATTCTTCTTAGTCCACTTTCAGTATCATGTTTTAACATCCACATTATACTTTTTTAATAACATTATTTCCTTTCCTCAAAAATGCTAATGAACGGTCATAGCCAAATCAAACGAACACAAATAGTTTAGAGATGTGTTGTCCAGTAGTTTTCTTCTATGGATGGAAGTGTACTATTCTTTGTTGTACAATATAGCAGTCACTAGCCATATGTGACTATTGAGCGCTCGAAATGTGGCTAGTGGAACTAATGGGGTCTTTAATTTTATCTATTTAAAATTTAAATAGCTATCTGTAGCTACTGGCTGCCATATTTGACAGTACAACATTAGAACCCAGAAATAAATAACCGGCCTATAACAGTACTCCGTATTAGCTTTGGGACCCATTAACCAGAAGTTATTTCCCAGAACTTACAATTCCATCTAAGAATTACCATCCCCTAATCTAAGAATAACTACCATCCCCAAATCCCGAAGGTTACACACAAAAGGTGTATTTAAATAAAATGAACACTTGCGGTTGTTATTTAACATGCTATTTTTAAAAATTATTTATTTATTTATTTTTTATTTTATTTTTTCATATTTATTTTTTTAACATGCTATTAAAAGATAATTTTAACAATAATAAGGACAAGAAAATCGAGTGAGAAAGAAATGATGAAAAAATATTGTTTTTTCCTTTTGTCTTACTACCCACATCTAACTGGTGAGTACTCTGGGCTATACTTCCAAAATCCATCCACTTTTTTTCATCTCTCCTGCCTCCATCATAGTTCAAGCTACCATCATCTCTTGCTTAGAGTACAGTAAAAGCTTCCCAACTTGTCCCCCTACTTTCTCTCTTGGTCCCTAAGTCGCTCATAAAATGGCCAGGGTGATTGTCTTAAAATGCAAATGATATCACATTATTCTTGTCCTTAAAATTTTTTTCAGTGACTTCTTCTATCCTTGGAATATATTCCAAACTTCATTAAATAAGCCTACCTAACCCCAATTCTTCCTTCTTCTACTTCTCAGAACTCATCATGGCATCATTTTCATCCTCACTTGCCACAGCCCTGTCACACTTTCTTTTCCACTGCTCGAACAGACCAAAAATTTGTCTGGCTCAAGACCTTAGCGCTTACTGTTTCTTGTGTGTGGAATGCTATTTGCTCAGATCTTCAGATGGGCAACGCTTGTTATTCATGCTGCAGCTCAAATATCCTTCTCAAAAGAGGTTTCCCTGACACTTTACCTAATGTTGCCACCTAGTGACTATTACATCCTTCTGTTTTATTTTCAGATTTTATTTTCACAACCTGAAATAATCCTTCTTTCCTTTGTCTACTTGTTTCTGTCTTCCTTCCTCCTCTAGAATGACTCCGTGAGAACGGGAAGCATGTCTTCCCCGCCTGGCACATAGTACGCTCTCAATAATTGGAGGAAAAAACCCTAGATTTTCTATAACTATCATTTTAGCTCCTAAATAAATTGGTCAAGTTTGGTGAACTCTCCCAAGGCTGCCTCAGAACTAACAAATTAAAATGGAGATATTTAATCACTCCACTCAAAAGCTGCTTAACACCCTCATTTAACACAGTCAAAAAATTTTAACTTTTTTTTCCTTGAGTTTTACACCCTATTCCATCTATCAGTTGCCAATACAGCTGTGGAATAAAAAGTCCTAAAACCTCTCATAACAGCCTTCCAGGAGGTTAGTTTCTTTAGCTTTCCTTCTCAGTAACTTTGAGGCTATCCCTAAGGAGCCTCTTTTTCAGTTTTTAGGTAAGGAGCCTGCTGGGAATGCAGTGTCACAGGAAACTAATTCTTGAACAGGGCAGATTGGTCACAGGCCCAGTATATTTTAATATATTTATTCTGTAAATGGGCTTTTTAAAGTAAATAATAACAAAGTAAACTCTCAGAGATGAAACATTGTTAGACATATTTATTATACTACCACAGGAGAAATATTTCAAGAAAAATAAGGCTAAAAACTGTTGGAGATAATACCTTCAAGGCATTTTCTACCATCTTAGGTAGTAATCTGAAATGTCCAGGGAATTTTTAACCCATTTTAAAATGCATTTTTAGGCAGGGTGCAGGGGATCACACCTGTAATCCCAGCACCTTAGGAGGCAGAAATGGGAGAATCATATGAGGCCAGGTATTAGAGACCAGCCTGGGCAACACAGTGAGATCCTGTCTTTACACAAAATTAAAAAAATATATATATCAGCCAGGCATGGTGGTGCATGCCTGTAGTCCTAGCTACTAGGGAGGCTGGGGTGGGAGGATCATTTGAGCCCAGGAATTTGAGGCTGCAGTGAGCTATGATCATGATTGCTCCATCCTGAGTCACAGAGCAAGACTCTGTCTCAAAATATTTTTAAATGTCTTTATTATTGTTTCTTGGTAGGAAACAATACAAAGGTAAGATTCTCCTTCACTGTGCATGCCAAATCAACAAGACCCAAATCTAAGTATTATTAATAGATCCTTTTTAACTTACAGGATATATAAGCAGACACAGTCATGAAATGGTCAATCTACATACAAGCAGTTAGAGCTGTACCCAGAATCTTAAAAAGAAAATCAATCTTGTACAAAATTTCTCTGGTCTGTTACAATATGCATTCTTTTTTTTTAAATTTTTTTTTGAGACGGAGTCTGGCTCTGTCACCCAGGATGGAGTGCAGTAGCACGATCTCTATTCACTGCAACCTCTGCCTCCTGACTTCAAGCGATTCTACTGCCTCAGCCTCCTGAGTAGCTGGGATTACAGGCATGCACTGCCACACCCGGCTATGTATTTTAAAAGAGATGGGGTTTTGCCATATTGACCAGGCTGGTCTCGAACTCCTGACCTCAAGTGATCCACCCGTCTCGGCCTCCCAGAAAGTGCTGTCATTACAGGTGTGAGCCACCACCCCTGGCCAACGATATGAATTCTCAACAACAACAAAAAAGTACTGCCCCTAACAGCATTCCACCCAAGAAAAGCTTATGTAAAACATTTATACAGCCCATAGAAGCATAAACCAGATGAAGACAATGTGCCTATGGCTACTCTTCAGGTATTTTTAGTGACTGAGTCTATTACCTATTATCATAAATCTTACCATGAGCTCTCGTTTTTCCTAAGGAGTCTGAAATACAGCATTTTAATAGGCAGTACCCAACCTGACAACTGGATTAAATGCTAAAAATGCATTTATATCTATTTGTTGTTTGCACTTCTAGGTACAATTTCTTATAGAACGACTGCAGAGAAATTCAGCCTATGTGACCTAAAATACAGTTGAATGAGTACTTACTGCCCCTCTGTTCTTACTATTAATGAAGAAGACAGGTATCCTAGTGCCCTGTAGAGAAGGAATTTCTGAAACGTGAAGGACTGTGTGTTACCCTCAGAGAGGCACTTATGCACCTTCTTTATCCTTATTAGTTGTTCCTAAAACCTAAGATACAGGTATGGCAACTATAATCACTATGAGAATACATGTATATATATAACCCAGGAACCAAGCAAAACAAAATGCCAATTGTCCTCTCTGAAGATCAGCACCCTTGAAAAGTTCACACAATTCAAGTTTATACTTTTAATTATTTTCCTGAGGGACATGAAAATAACTGGAACAAAACAAAATAACAGTCTGAATTGTATGAACTGTATAAAGGAATTCAGCACAAAGCCTGGAAGCAGAATGCTTATGATCTGGTATGATTCACACCCCCTCTTTTCTACTTATAGAATGGCAGAAATCATAAAGCAAAACCATTGTAAATTTAACTTGGAAATGTAAAGAGCAATGTCAAATGTCCCAAGTCTATAGTTTAAGTGATTATAGAAAGAAATAATAGGCTTTACTAGTCACTGATAAACAATGTGGTTTAAAACATTTTCAGATTTGTTAAAATTTAAAGGAAACTAGTCTTATTTATGGATTTAATATTCATATTAACTTTTCCAATATCACAGAGTATCTCAAAACACTTTCAACAGTAAAGATGAGATTAACTTATTTCCAAAAACCCTTTGATGTATCATTAGTACAAACAACATGCAATTACACTACATTTTGAGACAAACAGAATGAATATGCTACCAAAGCAGCATGACATACAACACCATGCTAATAGTAGATGACAAGCAAACCTTAAAATTAGGGATGACGGGTGTGATGTTTTTGCATAGAAGTGATAGCTGACCCAGAAGGGCAGGCATCGGTGGCCTTATAGAGAAGCAGATTGGGATGCTAATAAAAATTGTAGGGGTAAGGAAGAGAAGGACAGGAGAATTAAGCTACAAAGCAAAGATGTGAAATATCTCCATTTTGCCTGTATGTTATCCACCCATCCAACCAACCAGTTATTAAAATACTTAAAAGGAACTAGACACTTATCAAGTCTTGTTCTTACTTGGGTCAAAGGCACATACAGTGTTTGCATGGTTGCATAAAAGTGCAATTTGATCTCAGTACAGAAAAATCTAATTGGTACTCACTCATTGAATTCACCCTCAACCTTGGTCTCATTAGTAAGTGCTCACTGACTGAAACTTTGCAACTTTTGGGTCAGTTGGTCCTCTAGCCATACATTCAACTCTGAGAAAGTCTCTAACCTAATCTGTTTTTAGCTTCAATGGCCTCTCCTGCCAGATAAAACCAAAGTAAGGAAATAGAATGTCTTGCGAAAAGCTGTGGAAACGCACAGGCAACTGGAATAATGGAGCCATATCCCAGATACAACTTGGAGCTATAACTTATCTCTTGACTTCTAAATTAAGACACAGATTAATGGCGCATACATATATATATATAACCTTATATCTATATATATCTCCTAGCATTAAACCAGGGACTGCTCTCAACCTTGTTCAACATAATGTTCAGTATATTTACTGCAAAAGGACACGCTTTCGGAGAAAAACAATGCCGTACAGCAATGTGCAAATCACTTGATCCTATAAAGGGTCAGTTTCCTTTCTGTAAAACAGGGTTATTTATCATTACCCTGCCTCATAGTGCCACTGAGAGGCTCAAACAACACAGTGAATGTGAAACTGCTGAAGTATTTTTACTATGTAAGGTGCTCCTTTTGTGAACGTCTAAACTTTCTTCTAATAAGAGCTTTACTGTAAGGTTCTTTAGAATATCCATATAAAGAAGATCTAAATTAATAGGGTTTTGGAGGTGGCGATGGAGAAAAATGATGATTGGGAGGGATACTGGGTCAGAATATAAGGCGTTAGTTCTGGAATTACAGTGAAGTCCTGATGCAAAACCAGAACAGTTATGTGCTTACCCTCTGCAGACCCTGGCCAACTCCCTCGCTGCCCGCCCGCCTCCTCCGCCCGACTGTTACTTTTAGGTGAACTACTGGGGAGAAGTTGAGTGTGGTGGTGTATGGGGAGGGACTTTCAACCCTGAAGATCAACTTCTTCCCCAATCCCTTTAACAAACACTCCTCCTCCTCTTCGGGCCTTGTTCAGTTAGCCGAAACTATTTCTGGTAAGAAAATGGCTGTTACAAAATTTCTTTTAGGCAGCGTCCTATGAGTACCTACTCCTTCCCTCACCATGAACTATTTCTAACAGATTCAGAGTCAGAAAATCGTGTTATGTGTATGTTTTGTTTCTTCCAAGGCTCACCCACAGGCCTCACCCTCCCAGTCTTAACGCTCCCATATATAAAATGAAAAGTGACAGCGCCTGTCAGCTCCATCCCACGGCCACCAAGAGGATGAATGAGTGCCTGGAAGGCGCCAGAAGTGGTGTCTGTTAAACACCCCGTCCACCACTGTTTATAAAGTATCGTGATGAGTCCCGTTATGCCTTTCCGCTCAAGGAAACCGCCTAGTTAGAACCAACACTCTCCGTCACTGAGGAAGGCAACACTGAAGTTGGCCGGGCACGTATTATGCACAGAATCTGTGTCGGGGTGCGGGGACGGAGCGACCCCCCGTTACCGGGCGGGGCGGGGCTCAGGGCAAGCCTACCTGTTGTTCCGGATGCTGACCAGCACGCAAAGCACCAGCTCCAAGTAGGTGCGCAGCACTTCCAGCCAACGAGCTGAGAGCTGCAGGGCCTCGACTTCCTCCCCTCCAGTCCCGGTGTCCGCGCCACCTCCGTCCCCTGGGCCACCGCCGCTCAGATAGTTCTCGGCGGCGAATTCAACACGCAGCTCTCGCACGAACCAGCCGCACTTGCGCATGAGGAATTCCAGCCGAGGCTGCTCCGCGGGCGAGACGCGGAGGCAGATGCGGAGCTGGGGCCACAGGGCCGGATAGAAGAGGCACTCACGCCAGTGCGAGCAGGAGGCCGAGGCCCGCAGCCGGTCGGGCGCCGGCAGAAAAGAGAAGATGTGCACGATCAGCTCGCTGGGCAGCGACGCAGCGCCCGCCGCCTGCCCGCACAGAGCCATCCGGCCCCGCCGCCGGCTGCCGGCTCCCGGCCGCCCCCGCAGTACCCGGAGCAGCCCCCGCAGCCGTCGCAGCTGCTGCAGCCGCAGCCGCCGCCACCGCGCCACCCGGGCGGCCCCGGCTCGGGTTCGAGCTCCCGGCGGTCGGGGCTGCGGCACTGACAAGAACAACAACATCAATGACTAGGAAGAAGGGGGCGGAACCGTCGTGGGTCTCGGCGGAACCAAGTAGAACACAAGTTGTGGAGAGGGGGAAAGGCCTCTGCGGGCGTGGCCTGCCGGGAGCCAGCCTCTGTCTTCTCAAACTCTACTCACGTGCGTCCGAGGCCGGCACACTGAGTAACTGCACTGCCCTCGCTCGTAAACTTCAGCGGCCCGGAAGCCTCAAGGCGTACTGTAAGGAAAAGGCAGCCCTCCCTGCGCCGGTCGGCAGAGACAGAGAAGTGGTAGGAGCTGAGTTTGACGTCGCCGCTGGTGGGAGGAGTCCGGCGCGCACCGGCGCGACTTCCGGAAGAGGGGAGCGCCCGATTGCCTGTAGGGACGGGAGGCGCGGCACGTGATCTCTGACGCACGCAGGCCGCGGGGCGGGGCGGGGCTGGGCGGGGCGGGGCGGGGCGGGGCTGGGCGGGACTGGAACCGGCACTTGGCACCCCTTACGCCTTACGGTGGCCGCTGCGCCCAGTCACATCTGTAAGTCGGTTAATTTTGGCGCTCGGTCGATGGAGGTGGCGGTACTCTGGTTTAGTGCGAAAGGTCGTCACGCTTCTTTGTAAAACGTTTCTCAGTTTGGGCTGAGGACCCTGAGCCAAAGTGGCGGCATGCAGGGTCTTTCTCAGCCATCCCACCTGCCCAGAGTAGGGTTAAGAATTCCTGAGATTGCGCCGCTGAGAGGGAGCTGGCGGACGGGCGGGCTAACCCCGGCGGGCTGTGCCGGGAGGGGCGGTGTGGGGCGTGGCGGAGGCCGCGAATGGACCTGCCCCCTCGGTCCAACCACGCAGGTGGACTTCCGCGCACTCGCTGGTGTGTGGGGAAGCAGTGAGGACAGCGTCACCCTTTGGATTCAGAGGGAGAGAAAAAAATTGGCAAAGGGATCTGAGATCCGCAGGTTGTGACCAGCCTCTTCTCCAGGGCTTGAGGAAGGGTCTCTTTTCCCTGTGCTGAGATTTAAGGCTCTCGTTGAAAAGTTCACAGTAATGACAGAGCTTTGATTTTTTTTCTTTCTTCTTCTTCTTTTTTTGCCTGGTATCCCTAACTTAGATTTTCCAAACCATGTCCCTAACTTCACCACAGCCTACTGCAAAGTAAACTCTGGTTGCAAAGAGTGGTGAAGTCAGAAAAGATTAAGTGACTTTATGTAATAATCGAGGGTTGCTTTAGGGAGGCTGCCTCTTTATGTAATAATTGAGAGTTGCTTTAGGGAGGCTGTGATGTTGGAATAGCATCGTTCTTTTGTGGTAAACACCAAGACTTTTTGGACTTTTTTTTTTTTTTTTGGTTTTAAGGAGCGGAGAATTTAATAGGCAAGAAAGAAGGAAGAAGGCTGAAGGAAGAAGCTCCCCACTACAGAGACAGACGGAGGGGGCTCCCAAGACGAAAGAGGAGACCCCCATTCTAGATGTTCTTAACCCTTTGAGGGCAAAGCTCTCCGTTTAATGCCTTGCACATATCAGGTTGCCAACAACATGGTGTGGTTTATCAATTGTGATAGGTTACTTATTCGAGCCCCTGTTTACAAGAGTTTTAGGTAATTATACCTTATTAATTTTAATGAACTCTTAGAGGGCGACCCCAGTCGTGGGTTCGGCAGGATGAAACACTACCCATTTACCAGTTTACAGACATTTAGGTCGTTTCGAGTTATGAATAATGCTGTGAACATTCATGTGCAAGTCTTTATGTGGACGTATGTTTTAATTTGTCTTGGGTAGATACCTAGGAATGAAAGTGATGGGTCGTAGGGTAGTTCTATGTATAACTTTTTGAGAAACGGAAACTTTTTCCAAAGTGGCTGCATCATTTTTCATTCCCACCAGCCATGTATGAGGGTTTCCAGTTCTCTGACTTTTTTTTTTTTAATATTCTAGAAATGCACTGTAATTTGAGATTGATATTTTTTTCTTAGCATTTTGCTAGCAACAAGCTACCATCTTGGAGATCATTAATAATTAGTCTTTAATTATTAGGAATGGTTCCTGAGTAAAATGAAAATATGTCAGTCTGCCATAAATGAAATTCATTATTTTAGAATTTCAAACTTTCTTCTTAAATGAAGTGTGGTAGGAATCCTATTTTAACAACTGTAAGCTAAAGAATTAGCTGTGAATCTTGCCCAGTTTCAATAATAAATCAGTGAATTCCAATGGTTGCACAAAATTTATCTTATCAGGCCAATATATTTACTATTAATTAAATGTATATTGAGTATGTATATTTAGCATGTTAAGTGAGTTAGATTCTTTTGACATATATTCTATACTGCTAAAATAAAATTGACTCATATAGGACAGAATGGAATTACATTTTGTGAAGTTATAAAATCTGAGCTATGATTCAGAGTGTGGGAGGAAGTACTGACGTTATGAAGCTCATAAGTACCTAGTAGTACTAAGCTCCAGGTTCCAAAAGTGGCATATTGTCACTATAGCAACCACCATGCTTATTTGGATTTGAAACCCAGGCAACGAATGGTGGATAGGACTATAATATTAAGGTAGGTATCTGCTCTGGTGGATTGATATGCCTGCCTGTTGATAGTCAATGGTCTGTTCTGTTTTTCTTGTTATACTCATGGTTAATTCTTTTAGAGATAAATTAAGCACTTAATATTTTTATATTTCTCCTTTTCTAACATGCTAAGTTTAGTGTTTTTCCTAGTTAGGTAATTGGGGTATTAAATATATCTTACTATAGCTTTCTTTCCATTTTTGCTTAAGTTTGGCAACTTTCTTTGGGTTAAATATAACTTTTATTATACTGAATCACTTGCAATTTTATAATAGAAAAAAGTAACCATGACAGATTTTATTTTAGCTGCATCATGAAACGATGTTCAAGGCTACCAGTAAACATGAAAATTGCCTAAATTCTAATATTTCTTGAAAAAATACAGTTTTCTGAGTGATGTCTGGGTTTCAGACATTGTTGACAGGTAGAGGTGACATAATACCCTTCCAATTATCTCTTAGCATGCACCCATAAATTTACCTAGAGGCACAGGAACCTCCTGCGACAGTAGATCTGGGTACCTCATTCCCGTCACCCTTGTCTGGTGGATTGAAGTGTTTCCTAGTGGAATCATATTACAGTAAAAAGAAATGAGGGATTGAAGGGAATTCATCTTTAGAGGAGGAAGTCTGCGTTGGTGAGCTACATGACAGAGGACCGCGTCATTGGTTTGTCAGTCTAGGTGTAGCATGTCGCTGATATCACAACTTTTTCTAACCAAGCCACTCATGAGTTGATTGTGCAAGACCTCTCTCCATAAAGCAGGGATTGATAGTTCATATATCAAAGGAATCAGATACGTGTAGTGAGAGAAGAATTGGGTACTGTGCAATATAGGGAGATGGAAAGATTTTGTCTTACAGGAGGATGCTTTTCGCAAGTGGGAAAGTGGGCTCTGTGTTTCCAGATTTCCTAGTTTTTCAAAAGTAACTAAAATCCTCATTTTTAAAAAGGTTAAACCTTCAGATTGCCAATTTATTTACATTAAAAATATTCTGTGGGCATAACAAAACCAGATTTAGTCTTCAGGGCACCAGATTTCAAATTCTTTACCAAAGTTCTCAAAACTGTGGGCCAAGGCCATATTTTGTCTCTGTAGCTAGGCCTACTAGCTAATCCCCGCATTTTAAGTCCACTTCCAGAGCTATTTTTTTCCCTATCTATCCCATTTAGTTAAAAAATGAATTCAAAAGGTTTAACTTGAATGCCTGTTTTATTGCATTACTGATTTCTTCCCTTTTATTTAAGAGGATGGGTGTTTTCAGAGGTACCCTTTATTGCTTAAGTACATATTAAAAACTAAGTGTTATGTTTAACACAGCTGGTTCAACCAATAAAATTCCTTGACTTCTAGTTAAAATCAGTAATTGACTAATGATCCTCGTTGGAGTTGTGCAGCTTAGATTATAGGCAGGATCCCCCAACGGGGCTCACGGGACTGTTACTTAAGAGGCACAGTCTCCAAAGTAGTCATTTTAATTGGGTTCCTTTGGTTGTTTAACCTAACTAGCTTAAGCACTGAGAGGATTTTCTTTTCTCCTTCCCTCTGGCCCTCTTCCTCCTCTTCCTGGAGTTTTGAGGACATCCACAGGTATCCTTTGATGTGTAGGGACCGGAATGGAAAACTAAAAGCAGGAGCTAAGGTTACTCTCTTCATCTCTGAGTACCACAGTTTCTTGGAATCTTCATCAAGCTTTTCCAGGTCATACTGGCTGAGTAATCTTAAGACTTTGTCATGAAGAAATATATTATTCATGGCTAATTACTGCAATATTCTCATTGCAGAATTTAATATTTAATCCTTTGGAAAATCTTTTTAGCCCATTAGGTGCTGAAAAGGAGAAATGAAGTGAATATTTTCATATAGTAGCATTAATTGGAATGTTGTCTTGCTCTAGGCCAAAGGGGTTTCACTTGATGTGCCAATTTTAATTAGTTTTGCAGGCTGAGAAGTACTATGTTAAGAAAGATTTTGAGGTTGTCCTCATTCTACTGGAAGGAGTATCATTTGATTTGTGATGTCTGCCATAGTTGGAAAGAATTGGTGACCTGTTTAGGTAATTATTGTCTAATGTGACTATATATTAGTGTTTGTTTTCTACATTTGTTGCACTGTGCAGATACATTCTTTAGTGAATTGTATTCATGCTAATTCCTTATTTTATGAATAGCAACAGATCACTTAAATAAGTTTTATAAATTATTTCAAATTAGGAATTTTTATAATATAGCTACAACGTATTAAGTAAATTTTGACATCTATAGATGAATCAACTCGTAACTGAATTATCTGGGAATGTGAATCAGTTCTTCATTTATATTGAATATTAAAAGGGGAGTCATACTTTCATACCACAAGGAAAATAAAACAAATTTTTCATTCACTTGAAGGTTATGGAATTTCTTCCATAGTATTCAGTTTATGTAGGAAGATTCTCATATCTCTAAAATCTAACCCTTTAGCAAGAAATTTCTAGTAGAAATTCATTACATTTTTTTTCTTAAGAGTAATACATGACCATGGTAACAAAAAAATGTAGTACAAAAGTACTGTTGATGAAAAGCAACAGATTTTCATCTCTTGCCTCCCATTGTCAGGCCTACTCCCAGAAACATTTTTAACAATTTTGATGTTAGATTCATTAGGTAATTTTATTTCATTTAATTCATTTTTCTTTTTTTCCCCCATACCTTGCTCTCTTCCCTCCCCCTCCCCACCAGTAGTCCCCAGTGTCTGTTGTTGCCATGTTTATATCCATGAGTACCCAGTGTTCAGCTCTCACACGTGAGAACATCGGTATTTGGTTTTCTGTTCCTGCATTAATTCACTTAGGATAATGGCCTTCAGCTGCATCCATGTTGCTGCAAAGGACATGATTTTTCTTATTTTTAATGGCTGTATAGTATACCATGGTATATATGTACCACATTTTCTTTATCCAGTTCATATGATGGTCATCTAGGTTGATTCCATGTCTTTGCTATTATGAATAGTATTGTGGTGAACATGCGAGCATGTATGTCTTTTTGGTAGGATGATTTGTTTTCTTTTGGATATATATCCAGCAGCGGGGTTGCTGGATCGAATAGTACTTCTAAGTTCTTTGGGAAATCTCCAAACTGCTTTCCACAGTGGCTGAACTAATTTACATTTCCACCAGAGTGTATAAGTGTTCCCTTTTCTCTGCAGCCTTGCCAACATCTGTTATTTTTTGACTTTTTAAATAACAGCCATTCTGACTGGTGTCAGATGGTATCTCGTGGTTCAGATTTGAATTTCTCTGACGGTTAGTGATGTGGAATATTTTTTTCATATGTTTGTTGGCTGCTTATGTGTCTTATTTAGGAAAGTGTCTATTCATGTCTTGCCCATTGTTTAATGGGGTTATTTGTTTTTCGCTTGTTCAGTGGTTTAAGCTCTTTTAGATTCTGGATATTAGACCTTTGTTTGTGGTGTAGTTTGCAAATATTTTCTCCCATTTTGTAGGTTGTCTATTTACTCTGTTGATAGTTTCTTTTGCTGGGCAGAAGGTCTTTAGTTTAACTAGGTCCCACTCGTCAAATTTTGTTTTTGTTGCAATTGCTTTTGATAATTTAGGCATAAATTATTTCCCAAGGCTGATGTCCAGAATGGTGTTTCCTAGGTTTTCTTCTAGGATTCTTGTAGTTTGAGGTCTTACATTGAAATCTTTCATCCATCTTGAGTTAATCTTTTTATATGGTGAAAGGTAGGGGTCCAGTTTAATTCTTTTGCATATGGCTAGCTAGCTACCCCAGCACCATTTATTGAATAAGGAGCCGTTTCTCCATTGCTTATTTTTGTCAACTTTGTCAAGGATTAGAAGGCTGTAGGAGTGTGGCTTTGTTTCTGGGTTCTCTATTCTGTTCATTGGTCTATGCTGTCTGTTTTTATATCACTACTATGTTGTTTTGGTTACTATAGCCTTATAGTACAGTTTGAAATCAGGTAATGTGATGCCTCTGGCTCTGTTCTTTTTGCTTAGGATTGCTTTCACTATTCAGACTCTTTTTTTGGTTCCATATGAATTTTGGAATAGTTTTTTCCAATTCTGTGAAAAATGACATTGGTAGTTTGTTAAGAATAGTGTTGAATCTGTACATTGCTTTGGGCAATATGGCCAGTTTAACAATATTGATTTTTCCAGTCCCTGTGCATTGAATGTTTTTCCATTTGTTTGTGTCATTTATAATTTTTTTTCAGCAGTGTTTTGTAGTCCTTTTTGTAGAGATCTTTCACCTCCTTAGTTATATATATCCCTAGGTTTGTGTGTGTGTGTGTGGCTATTGTAAATGGGATCATGTTCTTGATTTGGTTCTCAGCTTCAACATTATTGGTGTATAGAAATGCTACTGATTTTTGTACATTGATTTTGTATCCTGAAACTTTACCAAAGTCATTTATCAGTTCCAGGAGCCTTTTGGTGGAGTCTTTACGGTTTTTTAGATATACAGTTATACTGATAGCAAAGAGAGATAGTTTGACATCTTTTCCTATTTGGATGCCTCTTTAGGTAATTTCAAATTATATGCCTTTACTTACACTTTTTTCTCTTCTTTTTTTTGAGAACAGGTCTCACTCTGTTGCCCTGGCTGGAGTGCATTGACAGGATCATGGCTCACTGCAGCCTCAACCTCCCAGCTCAAGCAATCCTCCTGCCTCAGCCTCCCAAGTAGCTAGGATTATAGGCAGGCACCACCACACCTGGTTAATTTTTAAATTTTTTGTAGAGATGGGGTCTTCAACTCCTGGCCTTAAGCAATCCTCCCACCTTAGCCTTTCATAGTGCAAGGATTACATGTATGGGCCACTAGGCCCAGCCGCTACCTGTGCTTTTTAACTGATTAACTTTAGACATCATCTGTTTACTCCCTTTTTGTAAAATATGAAGATGTATTTCAATTACATTACTCTCTTTCCCTCTTCCATATTCCTACCAATATTTGATAATCGTAATATTTTGTTTTTCTCTTGGTTTTTTTTTTGGAGATGGAGTCTTGCTCTATTGCCAAGGCTGGAGTATAGTGATGTGATCTTGGCTCACTGCAGCCTCCATCTTCTGGTTCAAGCAATTCTCCTGCCTCAGCCTCCTGAGTAGCTGGGACTCCAGGTGTGCATCACCACACCTGGCTAATTTTTGTATTTTTAGTGGAGATGGGTTTCACCATGTTGGTCAGGCTAGTTTTGGACTCCTGGCCTCAAGTAATCTTCCTGCCTCAGCCTTCCAAAGTGCTGGGTTTATAGGCATGAGCCACCGTGTCCAGCCTCTTGGTTGTTCTTACATTAATCAGCTTTTGCTACATAGCAGTCACAATCTTCTGTCTATAATTGGCTAGATTATAGTATGTTAGATAAATATTAGGCAAATATTCACTTTTTTCCCCTTTACCCACCTTTATGGAAAAAGCATACTTTCTCCCATGATTATTGATGTTGGATTTGGGTCTTACGATTTGTGTAAAGTTAATTTTTCCTGTCTTTCGTTTATAAGAAGGGCTCTAATTAATAAAGATGCTAGTTTCTATAAAAGGGAAACCTGAAGATCTTAATGTCAACAAAATAGCCGTGTATTTTTTCACTCCTTTAACTGTCCACTGAAGGTGTTCTTAGCAGGCGGCTTTCCTTCATGTGATGATTCAGTGACCCTAATTCCTTCTGTTTTATAGTTATACCATCCTTAAAATGCCCTGTGATTCTCTGTCTCTTGTAATGGAAGGGGAAGAGAGAATGGAGAAGGCACTTCTTAATTGCCGTAGCAAGGAAATGACAGATTACTTCCTACATTCATTGGCTAAAACTAGACACATGGTCTTGCCTAGACATAAAGGGTCTGAGAGATGAAGTTTTGCCACAAAGGAGGCCTATCCTTTTATTACTATTTTTGGCTGAAGGTAAATACTAGGGTCCTTGTATTTGCTGTGGACAGAGATGGAAGAAAACGGTGGATTTGTTTAGTATAGTTTTCTTGTATTCAGATCTTTAGTTAATCTCTATTCCTAGCTAACCTTCTCACTCTTTCCTTAATGTTCCTTAGAGATAGTTCCTCAGGTGCACTGAACCCAGAATCTCTAAGGTTTCAGTGCACAGGACAGCTTTTATCTCAATTGCAGCTTCCTCCTAGTGATGGTGGCGGCTCATCTGGAGCAGCTGCTGCGGTGAAGGCCGCTGCAGTAGGAGGGGGTGCACCTGGGGCTGTGCCCTCTGTGGAGCCCGTAGGGGGTGGGAACAGGTGATCCCAGTGGAAGCCTCACACTCTACCAAATTGGTGGGGCAGGAGCCTGCACTTCTAGGTGCAGCTGTAACCACCCAGCCATGGCTCCAGACCTGGGCATCCCTGTGCTCTCTGGGGCCCAGGGAGCCTCTTGCCCCCGCAAGTTCGGAAGTGCCTGCTCCCACTCTCCCTGGCCTCTCCCTGCTCTCAGTTTCCACTCTGGTGTGGAGCAAAGTTATAGCTTAGCCCAGGCACTGTCGTGACCCAGCCAGGTGTGTGCATGCCTGGGGCAACACTGACACACCAACTCCCACTGCCGCCTTGAGCACTGATGAGCTCAGAGGGAGCTGAAACTCTGAAACTTTGGGCACTGATGAACTCAAGAGGGAGACCGGGGGTGCTGAGGGCAGCTTGGTGTGGGCCTGTGGGCTCCCCTCAGCATGGACAGCCTGGGCACAAATGGCATGTTGATGGCAACAGGAGGCAGACAGATTCCTAGGTGGGAAGGGGCAGGTCCTTGGTGAAACCCCGTCTTGAAGCCAGGGATGGCCTGAAGCCTGGGGGCCAGGCTGCCAATTACGGGTGGAGTCCGCGGCCCAGAGTGAGAACTTACGGTGCTTTTTCCATGCCTGCCCATGGCTACCCATGGATCAATCAGCATGCACTTCCTCCCTTCTGAGCCCATAAAAACCCTAGACTCATGCAGACTCAGATACTCTTCAGGATGACCTGCCAGTGGAAAGGAGCTACCCACTACACGTCTTCTCTCTACTGAGAGCTGTTCTGTTGCTCAATAAATCTCTGCCTTGTTCACCTTCCAGTTGTCCATGTTACCTCATTCTTCATGGACATGGGACAAGAACTAGGATATCACTGAATGGTAGGTGTGAAAGGAGCTGTAATGCTTTCCTGGCCCGCTTGCCAAGCTGCAGGCAGTGACACGCTCCTGGACTATGAGAGTGAAGAGTGGTAACCCTTCTGGGGACCCAGACCTTGGGATTTCCTGAGGTAGAGCTGCTGTAACACTGTAGCACTTCCACCCTTTGTTGGCGCCGGGTGGCCGCCCCATGCAGTGGGAAGCAGCAGTGGGGCTGGGCCAGCCACGGGCTGCAGTTGTGGTGGTGGGACTGAAAGAGCTATAACACAAATGGGCTTAAACACTCCCCACTGAAACTTGCTGCCATCCCCTGCTCTCTGCACTGCAGGCAATGAGAAGGAGAGAAGAGCTGTAGCCCTTCTGGAAGCCCAGACCTTGGGGCTTCCTAAGCCAGAGCTGTGACATGCTATAACACCCTCTTTGGATGCTCTGTGGTTCCTGGCATCTCCGGGCTTTTGGGCGCCACCTTGTTCCCCTCATCGAGACACTGGTCTTTGCAGCAGAAGCTGCTTGCAGTACATCTGGTCCAGCCAGAGCCTCACATGGAGCCAGTGCCTGTGCTGGTGCTTGGTGCTGCCCGCTCCGCAGCAGCAGCTGGTATGCCTGGCTGTGCGCAGTGGCCGGATTCCACACTGACTTGCTCATGCATCCCTTGTCACTGAGTGCTTGGCTCACCCTTAGTAGCCGTGGGATCCGGGCCAATAGTGAGAGCGAAGCGCAGCATGCTGGGTCGAGTGGGTGGAATAGTCCAGTGGGTGTGAGCGAACTCAAGCAGAGGCATCGCCAGCCACAGAAGTTTCCGTTTGGCAGAGCGACACCCAAAGGAGCATGGGTCACTAGTATGTTATGTTCTGCTTCAGTTGTCAATACACTCCTGTCCACTTTTTGCCTTTGAGGAAATATTTGGAATCTCTTAGTGGCAATGGTCATCTCTTTCCTAGCTGAGTTCTCTTCTTATTATACAGAGTCAAGTATCTATACATTGTTTTTAAATTTTAAGTTTCGGGAGTCAGAGGAAGTAAATCTAGAATATCTTCAATTAGTACCCTTAACAGAATTTTAATTTTTGAAAAAACATGTATTGCTTGAACAAGATGCATTTTCTATCCATGATGGACTGAGGATAAATAAATAGGGGGTTCTGGAGGATATGTAAAAAGGTATAATATATAATCCTTTCAACCTGAAGAATTTCTACTTTACTCCAACTTTGATGTCACTGCTGGCTTACCTTTCTAGAACACTGATTCTATCGCAGTTCTTCTTCTTCTTCTTTTTTTTTTTTGAGATAGAGTCTCGCTCTGTTCCCCAGGCTAGAGTGCAGTGGTGTCATCTTGGCTCAGTGCAACCTCTGCCTCCCGGGTTCAAGTGATTCTCCTGGTTCAGCCTCCCTAGTAGCTGGGATTACAAGTATGTGCCACCATGCCCAGCTAATTTTTGTATTTTTAGTAGAGATGAGGTTTTACCATGTTGGTCAGACTGGTCTCAAACTCCTGCCCTCAAGTGATCTGCCTACCTCTGCCTCCCAAAGTGCTGGGATTGCAGGCATGAGTCACCACACCTGGCTATCATAGTACTTATTTAGAAATGTTCAGTAATTTTTTTCCTTGCTCATATTTCTGTGTAAACTCTGATTGGTCAATACCTGCCTATCAGTACTTGTCCCTCTACTGAGAACTACTCAGTTTATTGTGTTATCTACATGCCACGTTCATTCTTTTGCTTTTGTACATGTGGTCTCTACTCTCTAAAGTAACCATCTTTTCTGTATCTGAGTCCTATTGAAACATAAATATTGAATTCAAATTTCACTTTTTTCAAGTCTTCTGTCCTGACTACTCCAAACTTAGTGATGCTTTTCCTCTAATCAGCAACAAAACTTATTTATCCATATTATTTGTTATTGTTTTACACTTCTTTGTGTTCTTCCTTACAAAGTATAGACTCCCTAAAGGAAAAGCCTTTGCTTTATACCTTTTTCATTGTCCTTCAGTGTCTAGCATGGTGAAGATTTCATGCTGAGTATATCATAAATATTTATTGATTGAAGCCCTGAATTGTTTACTTCTACTCAAAGTGTGTTCTGTAGACGGATGTCAGTCCATGAACTGTTTATTACAGCTTTGCTGGAATATAAGTAAAGAAATTGAGAATAAACTTTAGAAACGTTTATAGTCATTTGACATAGTAGTTTTATATCAGTTGAAATTTATAGTAAAAAATGTGGCTTCTAATTTGCATGTTTTTTTTCTTTTTTTCTTGAGACGGAGTCTCGCTCTGTCGCCCAGGCTGGAGTGCAGTGGCGTGATCTCGGCTCACTGCAAGCTCCGCCTCCTGGGTTCACGCCATTCTCCGCCTTAGCCTCCTGAGTAGCTGGGACTACAGGCGCCCACCACCAGGCCCGGCTGATTTTTTGTATTTTTAGTAGAGACGGGGTTTCACCGTGTTAGCCAGGACGGTCTCGATCTCATGACCTCGTGATCCGCCTGCGTCAGCCTCCCAAAGTGCTGGGATTACAGGCGCGAGCCACTGTGCCTGGCCTAGTTTGCATGTTTAAAAAAATTTCTGGTAATCATCTTAATTTCATTTTATAAAAGTATCAGTCCACAATGGAATAGACAAATTAAAAAATGGCACCTTACCATAGATTGCTTGAGAAGCACTGATTTAGACTACAAGGGATATGAGAATTTAGCAATGAAGAGATCAGTATGTTTTGGCCTAGTAGAAGATGATTTCATGTTGGAGGTGAGATCTTTACTTGAAGGTTAAATAGCATTTGGATGGTTGTAGTGCACTGGGTTGTTTCAGGTAGGGATGACAAGGTTTTGGACCACAAATGGAGTAGAGAGAGGTGTGATGATATGTTTTGTGGTGACCAGGGAGGAAAGAGTTCTGGCAGAATTAAAAATCAAATTTATGAAAAGCTGACCAGACACCAGATAAAATGAGCATTTCCTATTCATTTGGTTACTGCTTGAGCTATGGCATGATGAAAACCTTCATTCACCATGTGTTTATGGCTGATTTTCCAGGGGACTAGTAATACTAAGTATGTTTTAAATTTTATGTATTTGAAACATTGCTTTTTAATTTAGCCTTTAAAAAATTAGATAGTTGGCTTATTAATGTAATTGCCAAATGTAGCTTTAATATGAAGTGACGTAAGTAAAATGTAAAGAAAAATAATTGATGACAGTTATTTTAGGCCAGGCATGGTGGGTCTTGCCTGTAATCCCAGCACTTTGGGAGGCTGAGGTGGGTGGATCACCTGAGGTCAGGAGTTCGAGACCAGCCTGGGCAACATGGTGAAACCCCGTCTCTACTAAAAATACAAAATTAGCCAGGCATGGTGCTGTGCGGCTGTAGTCCCAGCTACGCAGCAGGCCGAAGCAAGAAAATCACTTGAACCCAGAAGGTGGAGGTTGCCGTGAGCGGAGATTGCAGCACTACACTCCAGCCTGGGCAACAAAAGGGAAAATCCGTCTCTCAAGAAAAAAAACATTATTTTAAATAGAAAAACCCTGTTTTTATCTTGTTTTCTATTTTCCTTTGTCAATTTCATCTTGGACCAAAGCTTTTCCTCATTATTGAATTACAATCATGAATTCAGAGACCTGGGATTAAAAAGAATATTGATATAATGATTGTTCCTGGAGAATTAACATTTAGCTTATAGCATAAAATGTGAGCTAAACTAGTTATATTTTTTTATTTTGGTAAACTATGCATAACATAAAATTTACTATTTTAACTATTTTAAGTGTACAATTCAGTGGCATTAAGTACATTCACTTCATTATACAGCAGTTACTGCCACCCTTTTTCATCTTCTCAAACCAAAACATTGTATCCATTAAACAATAGCTCTCCATTTCCCATTTCTCCACTGAATTAGTTATTTGAAATCTACCCATTTTGGTATTTTCTTACTTGTCTTATTTGCTACTTTTATAAATGAATATATATTAGGTACTCCTTATATATATGGAACTGGGCCAGATGCTGAGCAGGGTTGAATTACAGTTATAAAGAAGGCTGCACAATTTTCCATGATATTACGTGGTTTCCTGGGTGACAGAGTCTTGTTGCATCACATTCTTTATCTTACATCCAAACTACAATCCAATTAAATGTGCAAAAGTACACAAGCTGATTTTTGTTTCAGAGGTTACCAGGAAAATAATTACACCAGTCTGACAATTTTAAATCAAGATTGAAGTATTGCTTTGGTTTCTTCTGAGATTTTGAGTACCTAAATGAACATATTTGCAAAATTATTAAATATGAAAGTGGGTGGTAGTTTGGTTATTTTTAAAATCCTGAATAAATTTTTATATTTATATGGATTTTGAGGTGTCCTCATTTTATTTTTTCCTCTTTAACTCTGTCATGTTCATTTGCACCCCTTGTTCCCCTGACCTGTAAGTTCACCTATTTCCCATGGTGTTCTTTAGTCTTTTTTTAGAAATCTCACCTTTTTCAGTTTCAATTCTCTCTCTTTAGGGGGGAAAACTCTCCTAATTCTGTATTTCTTAAAACTGCGAGTAACAGTTCTCAGTCTAGAACTGTGACCTGAAATTTCCACTTATATGGTCTGCTGTCACATCAAACAAAGCATGTTTATTGTTGGACTAGTCATTTTTCCATTAATTTTGGAAACCCTCCCCTTTTAAAAGTGGCACTATGTTCATGTCATTATCTAAGCTTGAAAATTTGTGGTATTTCTTTCCCTGTTCAAGTAATAGCCAATCTCTACTAACTGTTTCTGTCTATTGTGATAATCACACCTGTCCTTTCCTTTCCATTTTTTTTCATTTTGTTCAATATAGGGCCTGATCACCTGATGCCTAGGCTACTGCAGTAGTTCCCCACCAGTGGAATTTTCCCTCAAGTACTTATAGCATTTTCTTTGTGAAAATTGTGAATATTTAGATTACAGTCAATTGTGTCTCTCTCTCACATGGTCTTTTTATCTTTTCATTCCCCAGAAACCTTGGAGCATTGTTGCTACTAAACACATATTTTTGAGAATTTGAGAATATGATATTCTAGTTATAATCTCTTCTCCCTCTAGTGTATTTTGTATAGCATTGCCAGGTTCTCCATTAATTAAACAAATATTGAGTGCCTATTATGTGCTAAGGACTCTTTTAGGTGCTAAGGTTATAGTAAACAGCAAACAAAAACTTATGATCTTGGGTGGCTTATATTCTAGAGAAGTAAAAGACTGATAAATTAGCAAAGTACATAGCCTGTTAGGCAGTGATAACTGCAAAGGAGAAAAAAAATTAAGGAGGAAGACAGGGAGTATGGAGTGTGAGACATTGACATTTTGTTAGAACAAGGCTTTCTGAGGGACAAAATATTAAAAAAAAGAGATTGATATTTTGGATTAAAGTGGCTAGGAAAGCCCTTCCATAAAGGTAGCGTTTGAGTAAAAACTTGAAGGAATTGAGTGAGGAAGGCAATACATATGTGCAGGAAGAAGGTTCCAGGCAAAGGGAACAGCAGGTGTAAAGGACCTCAGATGCGAGTGTGCCTGTCATGTTTGAATATCGACGGGGAGCAGAGTGAGCTGGAAGATGACTAGTAGGAGGCAAGGGTGTGTGTTGGGGAAGAGGTGTGGAGTGGAAAAGTACAGATTGAATGGGGCCACATAGATCACAATTAGAGGTGTGGTTTTTACTCTGAGCTGGCCAGCCTTTGTAGGAATTTGAACATGCAAGTGACATCTGACTTAGGTGATAAGAGAATCATTCTGGCAATGATATTGAGGTAAGAGAGGAAGCAGAGAGACCAGCTAGGAGCTTTGGCACAAATCCAGTGAGAGGGAGATCTGGTTTGGGATATACTTAAAGTCGAACTAACAGAATTTCTGATAGATTGGATGTGGGGTGTGAAGGGAAAAGAAAAGTCAAGGATTATTTGAAAATCCTTGGCCTGAGAAGCTGGAAGAATGGAGTTGCCATTAACTAAGATGGGTGTAGCCCTGAGAGGAGCAGATTTGGCAGGGGGTTTTCAGGAAGTTCAGCTTTGAATGTGCTAAATTTGTGATGCTTGCTTGATGTCCAAGTCGAATGAGATGGCCTGGCTTCATGTGAGTGTAATAGATTAGACTGAAGTTCAAGAAGGAGGTCTGAGAATTGTCATCACAGAGATAATATTTAAAACTGTGAGACTGGTTAAGTCATCTAGAGAAAAAGTGTAGAAAGAAAAGAGATTACACTTTTTGAAATACTTTACACCTTCATCTTTTGGCTTAGTACATACCCTCAAAGGCTGCAGGTTTTCCATGACGTTTCATAGTGGAATTTCATGTAAATCTCTTACTTCAGTCAAGCTGGAACACTTACGTTGCCTAAGCTCTCCTTTTGCATTGCTGCTTTCCTATGCTCATTTATTCTTCGTACAAAGAGTGCTTTCTTACCTGCTTTCTACCTAACTTAAATGCAGTTTTCTCCAAGCAGCATTATCTTATTACCACAGAGTGTTCTGTTTCATTTTGCAAAATTCTGCATCTTTATTTCACCCCTCCTAATCTTGTCTATAAAGTTCATCATATTTTTGTATATGTCTTTTTTTCCTGATGAGCTAATGGGATCTATGGCTGGTACCATAATTTTGAATATTTCATCTTCCACAGTGATCAGACCCCCAGTTCTACTTCACAGAGGCAATCTGTGGGGAATCAGTCTTTCCAAACACTATCAAGCTGGAGGAAGTGAGGCTGTTTGGGAATATCTGGACATTGATCCTGCTTTCTCTTCTTAGGTAAAGTTGTGGCTTTACTGGCACTGGGTTTGGCTCAAGAACCAGTAAGAACCCAGATGTTTGTAATTTTCCATTAAAGGGCATAGCTTGTTAGAGTTTGTTCTTCCCCAAATGGTGATGTAAGCCCTGAGCATCAAAGAGAAGTGTCACCCTCATAATTGAACTTGTTAAATATGGCAAAATGTCACCTTGTTCTCTCACTGGGAGTGCATGACTCTGGAGGCCAGTCACAGCTGTGTTGAGCCATGCTACATCTGTTCTTGTTCTGAGTGGCAGTTTCACTGCTAATAAGATTTTGAATCCTTAGCTAAGTAAGTCAGGAACTAAACATAAACCTATTTTCTCTGTGTGTGTGTGTGTGTGTGTGTGTGTGTGTGTGTGTGTGTGCATGCACTCTATTTCCTGTAGTTCATAGCTGATAGCTAATATTTGTTTAAGGTTTACCTACTATGGACTAGACATAGTTCTAATGCACTGCTTGCATTAACTCTTTTAATCTTCATAACATTCATATGAATTAGCCATCTCCATATTTATAGCCATTTTCTGATAAGAAAATTGAGGAAAGAGAAGTTGAGTAACTTTCTTTAACAGACTGTAATGTTAAGTGGAGGAATGGGGTTTGATCCCAAGAAGGTTTGATCCAGAGTTTATATTTTTAACTGCTGTACTATACTAGTGATATGGTTAGGCTTTGTGTCCCCACCCAAATCTCATCTTGAATTGTAGTCCCCAGGTGTTTAGGGAGAGACCTGGTGGGAAGTGATTGCATTATGGGGTCGCTTTCCTCCATGCTGTTCTCATGATAGTGAGTGAATTCTCATGAGATCTGATGGTTTTATAAATGGTAGTTTTTTCTGTGCTGACACATGTACTTCTCTCTCCTGCCACCATGTGAAGAGGGTCCTTGGTTCCCCTTCACCTTCCATCATGATTGTAAGTTTCCCGAGGAAACAAAGCCAAGTGGAGCTGTGAGTCAATTAAACCTCTTTCCTTTATAAATTACCCACTCTCAGGGAATTCTTTATAGCAGTGTGAAAGTGGACAGCTACAACTAGTTTATTTGAAATGCTGCATGCCAATTTTGATTATTTCTTTTTGTCTTGTGGTGGGTGTTTCTATAATTTTAAATAATATGCTTATCTTACTACTTCTTGATTTATCAACTAAGGCGATAACTGTCGATGACTTGATGTTTAAGATGATTTACTCTTCTGCTACTCTATTGCCCTTCTTCAAACTTTATATAGTTATATATTATTGTTGTTATTTCCTCTGTTGGTTAGCTTTGTGACTCCAATATGCCTGAACCTCTATTTCATGTTCCATTAGCTTTTGGCAGTACTGTATCCTTTATTGCCCTTTTTATAAAGTGAGAGTTTATTACCCATACCCTCTACTTTAATTTTTACCTCCCTTCTGTCTTTTAACTTCTGTCAAATATCCATTTACTTTAAAATTATCAAAGTTTATAATATTTATATTCTATTTAAGGAAGGCAGTATAACTTTGTGGTTAAGAATGTGGACATTGGAATTAGGTTGCCTGGGTTTAAATCCAAGCACTACCACATCCTAGCTGTGTCACCTTGGCAAATTATTTAATTTCTCTGTGCCTCAGTTTTCTCAATTATAAAATGAGGATAATGTACTCTTATTTCACAGGATTATTGTGAAGATTTATGTAAAACATTTGAAACAGGGCCCGATACGTAATAAGGACTATATAAATGATTGCTATTAGTGTTATAATTATTCTGTAATCATAGTGAACTCTTCCATGCTTTCAATTTATTCTAAAAGTTCAATACATGATATTTAACTAATTAATTTGTTATGATTATACAATACAGAACCAAGTAGTACACTGTGATTACATTTCTTTGTCTCTGTGTTCAAAGTTGTGACCCTAAAAATAATGTTTCTAGTATCAAGGTCAAATGGGGTATCTTATCTTCCACTCCCTAAAATTAAAAAAAATGTAGCATTTTAATTTTATTGATAATTAGATGATGACTTTCTTCTGTATCTCCCCTCTCCCACAGAATTTGGAATTGCTTTTTTTTTTACTGACAAAAGAATAAGTTATTTTAATCATATTCTCAAAATTATCTGACTTCTCTGTCACACTTGGTTGTAAGAACTCACTCTCTTCTCGGAGACAGTCCTTTTATGATCCATGGAAGAAAAAATTGATTAATTGGACTTACCAAAACTGAAGACTTTTGCTCTACAAAAGATTCTGTTGAGAGAATGAAAACACAGGTTATATCTGGGAGAAAACATTTTCAAATCACATATCTCTTAAAGAATGGATATCCAAAATATAAGAAAAAAATTAAGGAAACAGCCACTTGTAAAAAAATGGACAAATGATCTGAACAACTGCTTCAAAAAGACTTATGGATGGCAAAAAAGACTTATGGATGGCAAATAACCATCTATAAAAAGATTCTCAACATTATTTGTCATTAAGGAAATTGAAACAGCAAGATATTACTGACATACCTGTTAGATTGGTTAAGAGAAAAAAAAAACCTGACAATACTAAATGCTGGTTATCTCATACTTGCTACTTTGGAAGATGGTTTAGCAGTGTCTTATTAAAGTTAAACACAGACTTACCACATGACCCAGCAAAAGCACCTTTAGGTATTTACCAAATTGGTTTGAAAATGTAAATCCATACACGTGCTTTAATCATAGTTGTCAGCTTTGTTCATAATCATCAAAAACTAGAAGCAACCAAGAAGTTCTTCAGTAGGTGAATGCATAAACGGTGGTACATCCATGCAATGGGTTATTATTCAATGATAAGCAATTGATGCTACAACATGGATGCGTCTTAAATGCATTTTCCCAAGTTATTGAAGCCAGACTGAAAAGGCTACATCATATTGAATGATTCCATTCATATGGCATTCTAGAAAGGGCCAAATTTAAGACTGGAAAACCAATCAGTGGTTGCTAGGGATTTGAGGAAAGGGGAGTTTTCACTTGGGGGAAAGAATGGGGGAGTTGTAGAGTTAAAAGTAAACTGTAGTGGTGGACATATACTATGCATTTGAAAAAACTGATAGAACTTTATAGCATAAAGAGCTTAATATGTGCAAGTAAAAAAATCAATCAACCAAGAGTTAGGGATCCCGGAGGGGAATGCAATGGTGACAAAAGAACCTAACAAGCTTGTTTCAGATATGTGATATAACTTCACTAAAGGGATGGGGGAAAAGGTGCTGACCTGAATAATTTTTGGAAAACAGTGTTTTAACTAGAAACTGTAAGATTAAAGACAAAAGTGTACATAAATGCTGCAGCTGGTAAAGTTGTTTCTCACAGGGGTATTGGTTAGCAATTCTGAAACTGCTGTACGTGTATACTGGAAACTGACAAATAAGTAAATGTATTACCATACATTTGGTGATTGATGGGAGCCAAGTTTCTCACTATTGGAGAAGAAGGTTGCAGAAAAGCAAGAGGATAGAATGAACCATGTGGTACTGAATTAGATTTGGAGACACCAATATGAAATTATATTTAGTTTAATATAGATACTGCTGGGCTTTGTAGCAGGTGGCTAGTTTCATAGTGTGCGGTGTTCTCATTTTTCCCTCACCTTCACCCACCCAGACCACAACCCAAACACAATTGTCTTTATTTTTCTGCCTGTCTTTTTGCCAGTAGCGAAAATGTTATTTGTTCATGCCTGAGATAGGTTGTTAACACAAAATTCTAATGAACTAGTCCAAACGCTTAACTTTTGTAGCTGGAAGACCTTCAAACATTTTAAACAAAGAAAAAAATCTTGTTTTTTTCTTTTCCTTTTGGATAGCATAGAGAACTTTTTATTTTTTGTGAAGTAGAATGTGAGTCCTTTTGGGTATATTGGAATTTCTCTGGGGACAATTTTGAAAGAAACTACTGTATACATCAAAAGAACATAAGGATTTCTGTTGTCCAACTGTCTTCAAAATTTTACCTAAAGTGTTCCATTAAAAAAGGCTACTAAGTAGAACTACTAAAATGAATAATAAAAAATATAAAAATGAATAATGAAAAAATACAAAAAAAATAAAAAATAATTCAAAAATTTACCTAGAGTACCATTTAAAAAAGGCTCCTAAGTCGAGCTACTAAAATGAATAATAAAAAATGTAAATTTCAAAGTAGCCTAATGTAGCAAGTTGAGAAGTAGAGCTTTTCCCATTCCCTGTGATTTTGGGCTGAGGGCCCAGAGCTGAGAACAAAGCATATTAGTGCCTGGATTTCTAAAGAAAGGATGCTGCTCCATCTGTGTGAAACTAGCTATGGCCACAGTCATTGCCAGGGAAGCAGTTCTAGCCAGTTCCTTGCATATGGTGGCTCTGTGTAGTGCCATGTGACTTTGCCAGCTTGTTTATAGCTAATTGGTGATTGTTGGGTCAAGTGCTCTTTCACTCTAACTGTACCCAGGCCAGTGGCCTACCGGAAGATGCAATGAAGACATTGCCTACATAGAAGTGGCCATTTGCTGGTCAATTAGATATTTCTTTTTATTTTTCTTGTTTTTGAGACAGGGTCTCACTCTGTCACCCAGGCTGGAGTGCAGTAATGCCATCATGGCTCACTGCACCTTTGACTTCCTGGGCTTAAGCGATCCTCCTGCCTCAGCCTTCTCAGTAGCTGGGAATATATGTGTGCACCACCACACCTGGCTGATTTTTTTTTTTTTGAGATGAAGTTTCACTCTTGTTGCACAGGCTGGAGTGCAATGGCACGATCTCGATTCACCACAACCTCCGCCTCCTGGGTTCAAGCGATTCTCTTGCCTCAGCCTCCCAAGTAGCTGGGATTACAGGTGCCTGCCACCACACCTGGCTAATTTTTTTGTATTTTTAGTGGAGACCAGGTTTCACCATGTTGGCCAGGCTAGTGATCCACCCACCTTGGCCTCCCAAAGTGCTGGAATTACAGATGTGAGCCACCACGCCCGGCCCTGGCTGATTTTTTATTATTGTTTTTTGTTTTTGTTTTTGTTTTGTAGAGATGGTGTCCCACTATGTTTCCCAGGCTGGTCTCAAACTCCTGGGCTCAAGTGATCCTCTTGCCATGGCCTCCCAAAGTGGTGTGAGCTACTGCACCTGGCTGAATCTCCTTTCTGAGATTCTTTCTTTTAGTTTAGTTTTTTTTTTTCGTTTGTTTGTTTTTGAGACAGAGTCTTGCTCTGTCACCCAGTCTGAAGTGCAGTGGTGTGATCTCGGCTCACTGCAGCCTCTGCCTCCCAGGTTCAAGCGATTCTCCTGCCTGAGCCTCCCGAGTAGCTGGGATTACAGGTATGCGGCACCATGCCTGGCTAATTTTTGTATTTTTAGTAGAGATGGGGTTTTGCCATGTTGGCTAAACTGGTTTCAAACTCCTGCCCTCAAGTGATCCACCTGCCTCAGCCTCCCAAAAGTGCTGGGATTACAAGCATGAGCCACCATGCCTGGCTAGTTTTGGTTTGTTTTTAAACAGAAGTTACAGCAAGATAGGCCGTTGCTTATAAGAGCAAAACCCAGTAAAGCACAGATAAATAACTGAGTCATGTCAGTGTTGAAATATTGAAATAGAGCTCCATCAACTCCTTCTAGAGCTGCCTGAATCCAAATTAAAAATATTTTTTCATGCCATCAAGTTCTATTTAAATTTCATATAAGCTTGTTTTCAGGTATAAACAGTTTTTGGTATTGGGAATAGTGCTCTTCACTTGTCAGTTTATGGGAGACATTCTTTTTGTTTCTGTCCTCCATACATATCCACTTGAAATCCTTATCTGAAAGGCTACTGTTGTTACACCAGTGATTCTATTTGAAGCTTCCACTATAGTTCTTATCCACTTGAGCTATAAGGACTGACAGCATCTTCTATTGCCATCAGGACTCCTTTAGGCTCAGGGAATGTGGTTACATTTTGTATCTGTTAAGCAAAGGAAGGCTTTAAAATCGTAAAATTGTGTTTATTTTATAGAGTAAAATAGTGTTTATTTTACAGAGTAATAATCTTAGTGTTGTTCTCCATCCTATTTAAAAAGTGTCCCTGTCAAACAAAAACTTCACTTCTAAGGAGAAAACATGTGATAGGATGATTGACCAGAAGGTTCAAACTATTGAATTTTGGTGGGTTTGTAATAAAATGTTAATTTCTGGGTTATATAGAAATCTCATACGTTAAACTAGAGGAGAGGGGGAGAGGAGAAGAGGAGAGAGAGGAGGGAGAGAGAGAAGAGAAGAGAGGAGAGGAGAGAGAGGAGGAAAGAGGAGAAGAGGAGAGTTGAGAGGAGAGAGGAGAGGAGGGAGAGAGAGAGAGACGACAGGAGAGAGAGAGAAAGGAAGGAAGGGAAGGAAAGACAGTCATCTTTTCCAGGTTTATGCTTTCCACCACAAACCCAAGAGAGTAATCCAGCTTCTATAAATAACTGCAGGCCTCACCTTGTTTCTGTAGATTTCCTAGAGGGAAACTGTACTGAAATTCTCATGATCACTATCATCTGTCCCTGTTAAGTAGACAGTGGGGATGTCCCTCTCTCCCTCCAAGGTTGGAATGTGTGAGTTAGAAACACAGAACACACTGGGAACTCCAGCTTGACCTTCTGCCTGTTCCAAATGAGGCTTTTTCTTGTTTTCCTTTCTGGTAGCTTTTCTGTCTATCTAATACCACTTGGCAACCTTTTTCCATGATAGCAGCTCTCAGCACTTTTTCTTATAACTGACTTTAACCTTAGGGGGCTTTCTTTAGCAGTTGCAACTCTTGCATGCAGGTTCTTAGTCATCTTTTATCTCTAGTGCTGAGCACAGGCTCTGGGCAGTAAGAATTTGTTGGATGAATGAAGGAGTGGGCTCGTGTAGCTAGGCAGTTTAAACTTACTCTCCCAACACCATCTTTTTCTATATATTTTAATTAATGAATGGGATCTTGCTCTGTCACCCAGGCTGAAGTGTAGTGGCGTGATCAGTACAGCCTCAAATTCCTGGACTCAAATGATTCTCCCACCTCAGCCCCCCAAATAGTGGGACTGCAGGCTCAACACCATCTCTAAATGATAGCTTTTATCGGAGCTCCTGCCAGCCCGCTGGGGGTGGCTACGTGCTCTTTACACTGCTCTTTAAAAAAGAGCAATGATGTTAAGAACCTTAATTCTACATATATTTATTATATAAGGCAAGTGTTAGTTGTTATTGTCATAGAAGATACAAAAATAACCACAACATAATCCCTGGTTTCCAAGAGTTTTTAATGTAGTGGAGGAGACAGATGTTAGTAACTTTAACGTAGGGAAGGGTAAATTCTGCAAAGACTTCATGAATATGGTGGCTTTTGAGCTGGTCTTTGAAGGCTGGAGGAATGTAACACTTGGATATTATGCAGAAGAAGGAATGTTATTCCAGGTGGAGCAACATGAGTAAAAGCATAGGAGCAAGGAAAAAGGAAGCACAACTAGGAAATGAAGGCAGCACTATGCAGCTTTGTCTGTGTATAATGACTGGAAAGGTAACATGGTAACTAACCATTGTGTAAAGGATTTTGAGTGCCAAACTGAGCACTTTGGATTTTGTTTTGAGCAAAATTGAAAGCCATCAAATAGTTTTGAGCAAGGAGATGACATATAGTAGAATTGTTTAATAAAGTGGTTTTTAATTGGTACTATGTATGAAAATACTCTGTGATGTTTGTAGGTAATGATCATTCTAGGTTTTCACTCAAATTGACTGACTCCCAATTTATGGAGTGGAACATGGGTGTGTGGATTTTAGGCTCTACAACTAGTTCTGATACAAACTAGTGATTAAGAACACCTGAAGTAGTAGAATGGACATTAAAGAAGCTGTCAAAAATGTCAGACTGTTTAATGCCCAGTGACTTCTGAATTTTAGTTTCTACATCTGAAAAGAATTAGGAATAATAATACTTGCAAGATATACCTCCTAGGGTTATTGGGAAGATCACATGTGATAATATACAGTCATGCACTGCATAACAACGTTTTGATCAGTGATGGACCGCATATACAATGGTGGTCCCATAAGATTATAATGGAGCTGAAAAATTCTATTGCCTGGTGATGTGATAGCCATCCTAACAGTAGTGCAACACATTACCTTTTCTATGTTTAGTTATACAAATACTATTATATTACAATTGCTAACAGTTTTCAGTACAGCAACATGTACAGATTTGTAGTCTAGGAGCAATAGGCTATACTGTATAGCTCAGGTTTGTAGTAGGCTATGCCATCAAGGTTTGTGTAAGTATACTTTATGATGTTTACAGAATGATAAAATCATCTAATGATACATTTCTCAGAACACATCCCTATTGTTAAGTGATGTGTGACTGTTTAGAAAAATGTTTTATGGGCTGCAATAAATACACAAATATAAGGAATGATTATAATCATATTTGTGTTTTAGTTGTAAAGAGTTAGTTTAAGCAATGGGTTTATTGAAGAATAAAATCAGGATCAAGGAAATGGGAAACACCTACATGGACCTTATCAGCTGCTTGCTTGGTGTGGAACATTATGGTCATCTTTTCTTTTTTGGCTTTTGGAATTCATTCTTTCTAAATAACTATTTATTGAGTGTCTACTGTGAGTCATGCATTGTTATAGGTGTTGGAGATAGAGTGGTGAACAAAGATTCTCTGCCATTACAGAGTGTTCTCGTGAGAGTAGATGGAAAGTGTATTAGTCTGTTCTCACATTGCTATAAAGAATTATAATCATGGTGGAAGGGGAAGCAAGCACGTCCTTCTTCACAAGATGGCAGAAGAAAGAAGTGCCGAGCAAAGGGGGAAAAAGCCCCTTATAAAACCATCAGATTTTGTGAGAACTCACTCACTATCAGGAGAACATGAGGGTAACTGCTCCCATGATTCAGTTACCTCCTACCGGGACCCTCCCATGACATGTGGGGATTGTGGGAACTACAAGACGAGATTTGGGTGGGGACACAGCAAAACCACATCAGAAAATAAATTTATAATAGGTCGTAAGTACTACAGAGGAAAATAAAACAAGTTAAGGTGATGGGGGCAATTGCTCATTTAGGTAGGATGGTCAGGAAAGCCCTCTCTGATGAGATGATGTTTGAGCAGAAATCTGAAGGAGTAAAGAGAATAAAACATGTGGTTGTCTGGTTAGAAGACAAGTCTAGGCAGTGAGAACAGCAAGTGAAAAAGCCCTGAGGTTGAAACATACTTGTGTATTCATAGAATACTGAGAAGGCCATTGGGAATGGACCATTATAAGCAAAGAAATAGTAGTAGGAGTTGAGGTCAGAGAGTTAGCAAGTGGGACAAGATCATTTAGGGGCCTCTAGGCCATGGCAAGGGCATTTTTTTTTTTCTTTCCTGGGGATGATAGACATTGGAGGGTTTTGAGCAGGGAAATAAAACATTGTGACTTACAATGTAAAATGATAAGTCTTGTTGCTATTAAATTTCCAAACAAAACTATCAAGTAGGTAGTTAATATTGAAGTCTGAAGTTCAGGGGAGAAACCTGGGCTGGAGATAAAAAGTATGAATGTATAATTTGTTGTCAACATATAGATGATATTTAAATCCATCTCAAATGTTCTTAACTGACTCTCTTGCTTGGAAAAATTTAGGGTGTATTGTTCCAAAATTTTTTATATTTAAATCTTTAATCCACCTGGAATTTTGGAACATAGTTTGATATCACATTCCAGTATTTTTTTTCCATATAGATAACAAACACTATCAAATTAACCATTCTTTTCTCCATATGTATAACCAGCCTCATTTATTACGCTATTTTTTCCCAATGAATTTTTGTATATAAAACTCTCCTGTATACTGGTATCTATTTTTGTATTCGCTACTCTTTCCATGGTCTGTTTGCTCAATCCCAAACCACTTTTCCTATTGATTTGATTGCAGAGGCTTTATTATATGTGTCTGATTAGGTTTGTCCCTCTTTACCCTTCTTATATTTTATACTTTTTGGGAGTATTCTCAGGCATTTTTTCTTTCATATGAATTTTAACATAATTTTATTAAACGAACAAAATACTACATTTGATTTATATGAATTTTGAGAATTCATATAAATTTTGACATGAATTTTACAATTTATGTCTTTCCAGTGTTCCATGGCTAAATAACAATAACTGTTATAACATTATTAGGTTTTGTTTTCTTCATGTAGGTTAAGATTTTGTTTTCTTCATATAGGTTCTGTGTTTTCCTTGTTTACATTTATTACTACTGTACCCCTATTATAGTTTTAGCTGTTATTGTAAGAGGAAAAATTTTCACCTTTTCCTCTTTTGGTTACTGGTTCCAAGTACAAAAAAGTTCTTGATTTTTCTAAATTTAACTTTACTGTAGTCATCTTACCAAATTCTTATTATTAAATCAGGATGCTTTCATTGGTATATTTTCTAAATATATAATCATGTAATCATTAATTTCCTTTTCAGTGTCCATATAAATTACTTCATTTTTGGTCTAATTTCTCTTTATCATGCTTTTTTTGTTACCTTTGCCCCCTTTTTTCATATTTTTAAAACAATTTATTCTGCAAAAATTTCTTGAGCACGTTTTTGTGTGTCAAGTGCTTTATTGGTGCTAGAGATTCAATAATGAACAAAAAGGACAAAATCCCTGTGTGATGGAACTCTATTATTTGCTTCCTGACATTAATTGAAATGACTTAGTGTTTTATTGTTTAGTATATTTTCTGTAGGCTGTGGTGAATAGACTATCATATTTATATAGTTTTCTTTTAGGCCTATATTTCTTAAAGTTTTTATTAGGAATAACTGCTGAATTTTATTTGACTTGTTTTCATCAGCTGATAATATGATAATCTGGTTTGTCTTTTATTGCTTTTTATGGATTATTGATTTTAAAAATTGTTCTCTAATCAAGTATTATTCATTTAGTATTAAGGCAATATGTCTTACTTGATACTGTGTACTTAGCATGCTAGTTACTATCTTTAATTAACAAGTATCATGGATTGTGTTTTCCAAAAATGAACACAACCATAACTCCTATTCCACTGGGTTTTCTTACAGTATAACTTTGAACTTTTTATATTGAGAGGTAGCGTTTTTATACTGAGAGGTAGCGTCTCTGTTCTCTCTCCTTGAATCTGGGTGGGAGTGTGACTATAGCAGAAGTGGCACTATGTGATTTCCAAGACTATATCATAAATGATGATATAGCTTCTCTTCTTGGATACATGGTTTGTGGAACTTAGACACCATTATGTGAGCAAGTCCAAAGAGCCCATGGAGAGGCCATATGTAGGTATTAATACTGACAGTCCCAGCTGAGAGCCCAGCTTACAGCTACATCAACCACCAGTCATATGAATGAATGAACTTCTAGGTGATTTCAGCTCCCAGCTCTTGAGTCACTTTCAGCCTTCAAGTGTTCCCACCTGAGGCCCCAGACATTGTGAAACAGAGATAAGCCAACCTGCTGTACCCTTTCCGAATTCCTGACTCACATAATCTGTGAGACCCACAGTGAAATGGTGGTTGCTTTATGTTTTAAATTTGGGATGGTTTTTATATGGTAATGAGTAACTGAAACAAGAAAAGGACAATTTATATACAAAATTAATAATTTTCCCCTCATTTTTATATAACACACATTAACTGTATTATGCAATCATCTGTAACAATACTGCCAACTTCATGTGGTGCAAAGAGTATCTGGAGTCAGCTGAGCAAGATTCAGGTTACAGAACAACAGTAAAATATGTGTTTTATTTTGAGAAGTTCAAGTAATCTCTCCAAGTTTGCTTTTCTTTAAAATGGTGAGGAATATTATCAACATAACTTGATAATGATGTTAATGTAGAACAAGTAGTCATCAGTGAGTATTTTAAAGAGTCATTTGAGATTTTCAGTACACAAATATAATCAATTACAGGTATTTTGTTAACAAAACCTTAATATTAATACAGAATGTGCTAAACTAACAGGCAAACAGGAACACCATAAAACTGTAATTCTTCTCCCTTTCTCCCATAATCAGTACTAGAGGCTGGTCATTATTTTAATAAGGAACAGATTGTAAGCCCATTCATTTGCATATGGACTTTTGATACCTCCTTTTAAGACTTCCATATACCTTCTTTGTATCCTTTCTAATTTATAGACATTAATGGTCCTAGCTATGTATTTGGTATGTAACAGTTAATAGACATTAATAGTCCTATCTATCTATTTGATATGTAAAAGTTAGACAGATTGTTATTTTCAAAAGCTGTATTCAGGAAGTCTTGGCAGGTATATAGAGGTATTTACTTGCTATATATAGCATAGAAATAATAAAATTTTTCCCTCAGTGAGGTTTCTTCACCAGGATAATAAAATTTCCCATCACTGAAAATTGAGTATGCCTTTATTTTTAATTACTTTTAAAATAAATATAACCATCTTTATTTTTATATAATGCATTAACTTGATCATATCTTTCATGTTTATTTTTCAGAGCAAAATTTCCCCTCCATTTTCCTCATCTCTTCCTTTTTCCTTTGCTTTCTTCTGCCCTTTCTCTCCTCACTTCATAATCCATATTAACAACCAGAGTGTGTCTTTCCCTATTTTTCTTTATGCATATACAATCATAATGAGAGTGAAAGGTGATACATATGGTGGTTAAAACAGACTCTGTAAACTTCATTTACAGTACAGTGGTTATTGTTTTTACAAAAATAAAATTATTTCTGTGTACCTTTCTGCATCTTGCATTTTTTTTTCAACAATATTTCATTAAATCCTGCCAAGATATGGTTTAGCTCTGGTTCATTGTTTTTAAAGGCTACCTAATATTCCCTGGTATAGGCTGGTGTAGGGAATATTATGTAGGCTTTAAAATCACCTGGTGTAGGGAATATCATGTAGGCTTTAAAATTTAAATTTAAATTCCCCTGGTATAGGGAATATTATGTAGGCTTTAAAATCACCAATTCTTCTTTCTTGTATGTATGTCCTCAAATGCTGGGGCTTGTATTTCAGTTGTATAGATTTCTAGGAAAGGGGTGTTAGATAGGAATGTATCTGTAATTAATTAATTAATTAATTAATTTTTTGAGATGGAGTTTTGCTCTGTTGCCAGGCTGGAGTGCAGTGGCACAATCTTGGCTCACAGCAACCTCTGCCTCCCGGGTTCAAGTGATTCCCCTGCCTCAGCCTCCCAAGTAGATGGGACTACAGGCGTGTGTCACCATGCCAGCTAATTTTTGTGTGTGTGTGTGTGTTAGAGATGAGGTTTCATCATTTTGCTCAGGATGGTCTCGATCTCCTGACCTCGTGATCTGCCCGCTTCAGCCTCCCAAAGTGCTGGGATTACAGGTGTGAGCCACCACGCCCGGCTGTAATTTAATTTTTAATAGATTGCAAGATTGCTTTCCAAAAATTCTGTAATACTTCACATTGTCACTAGCAATGTAGGAGAACCGTCTTACACATATCCCACCATTTTAGGTTTTATAGGTCTTTTTAATTTTTACCAATCTGACAGGTATAAAGGGATTTCTCATTGCTTTATTTTGTATTTCTCTATCAGTGAGTTGAGTTTCTTTTTTTCTTTTTTTCACAATTCACACAGATATTTAATATAATACATCCATTTACTAGAGTTAATGTAGTAAATTACATACCTTATGATAAAAGTTCAAATTCCTAACATAAATCTTTTTATATTTTAAGAGGTTTAAATTGGAAAAAGGACTCATTGGTGTTTTTTTTTTCATTTTACACTTTTTAATTCTTGTGGCTACATAGTAGTTATATATATTTATAGGTTACATGAGATATTTTGATACAGGCATGCAAGGTGTAATAATCTCAGCAGGGTAAATGGGGTATCAAGCATCTCAAGCATTTCCCCTTTGTGTTTCAAACAATCCAATTATGTGCTTTTAGTTACTTTAAAATGTACAATTACGTTTTTTTTGTGCTATAGTCACCCTGTTGTGCTAGGAAATTGGAGTTCTTATTCATTCTGTCTATATTTTGTACCCATTAACCATCCCCATTTCTCCCCCATACCTCCTCACTATGCTTCCCAACCTCTAGTGACCATCATTCTACTCTCTAGCTCCATGAGTTCAGTTATTTTAATTTTTAGGTCCCACAGATAAGTGAAAACATGCAATGTTTGTCTTTCTGTACCTGTCTTATTTCACTTTACGTAATAACCTCCAGTTCCATCCTAGTCGTTGCAAATGACAGGATCTCATTCTTTTGTGTGGCTGAATAGTATTCCATTGTGTGTATGTACCACATTTTCTTTATCTATTTGTCTGTTGATGGATGCTTCCAAATTTTGGCTATTGTGAATAGTACTGCAATAAACATGGGAGTTCAGATATATCTTCGATATACTGATTTCCTTTATTTTGGGTATAAACCTAGCAGTGGGATTGCTGGATTATATGGTAACTCTATTTTTAGTTTTTCAACAAACCTTCAAACCGTTCTCCATAGTGGTTGTACTAATTTACATTCCCACCAACAGTATATAAGGGTTCCCTTTTCTCCACATCCTCACCAGCATTTGTTATTAACCTGTCTTTTGAATAAGAGCCATTTTAACTGGTGTGAAATGATATCTCATTGTAGTTATGATTTGCAGCTCTCTGATGATCAGTGCTGTTGAACACTTTTTCCTGTTTAACATTTGTATATCATCTTTTGAGAAATGTCTATTCAGATCTTTTGCTCATTTTTAACCAGAGTATTAGATTTTTTTTCTATAGAGCTGTTTGAGCTTCTTATATATTCTGGCTATTAATCCCTTGTCAGATAGGTAGTTTGCAAATATTTTCTCCCATTCTGTGGGTTGTCTCTTCATTTCCTTTGCTGTGCGGAAGCTTTTTGACTTGATGTGCTCTCATTTTTTCATTTTTGCTTTGCTTGCCTGTGCCTGTGGTGTATTACTCAAGAAATTTTTGTTCATTCCAATATCCTGGAGAGTTTCTTCAGTGTTTTCTTGTAGGAGTTTCAAAGTTTGAAGTCTTAGATTTAAATCTTTAATCCATTTTGATTTGATTTTTGTGTATGGTGAGAGATAGGGGTCTAGTTTTATTTTTCTGCATATGGATATCCATATGTTTTCCCAGAACCATTTATTGAAGAGACTGTCCTTTCCCCAATGTATATTCTTGGCACCTTTGTCAAAAGTGAGTTCACTGTAGATGTATGGATTTATTTCTGCGTTCTGTATTCTGATCCACTGTTCTGTGTATCTGTTTTCATGCCAGTACCATGATGTTTTGATTACTATAGCTCTAGTATAATTTGAAGTCAGATAATTTGATTTCTCCAGCTTGTTTTTTTTGTTCAGGATAGCTTTCGCTACTCTGGGTCTTTTGTGGTTCCAAATAAATTTTAGAATTGTTTTTTATATTTCTGTGAAGAATGTCATTGGTATTTTGATAGGGATTACATTGAATCTGTAGATTGCTTTGGGTAGTATGGACATTTTAACAATATTGATTCTTCTGTGAACATGGAATATCTTTATTTTTTGGTGTCCTTTTCAGTTTCTTGCATCAATATTTTATAGTTTTCATTGTAGAGATCTTTCACTTCGGCTAATTCCTAAGTATTCTGTTTTATTTGTAGCTATTTTAAGTGGTATTGATTTCTTTTTCAGATTGTTTTCTATTGACACATAAAAAAGCTACTGATTTTTATATGTTTGCATCCTGCAACTTTCTGAATTTGTTTATAATTTCTAATAGTTTTTTTGGTGGAGCTTTTGGGTTTTTCCAAATATGAGATCATATTATCTGCAAACATGGATAATTTGACTTCTTCCTTTCCATTTGGATGCCCTTTATTTCTTTCTCTTGCCTGATTGCTCCAGCTAGGACTTCCAGTACTACGTTGAATAACAGTGGTGAAAGTGGGCGTCCCTGTCATGTTCCAGATCTTAGAGGAAAGGCTTTCAGTTTTTTTTTTCAGTATGATACTAGCTGTGGGTCTGTCACATATGGCTTTTAATGTGTTGGGGTATTTTTCTTCTATACCCAGTTTTTTGAGGGTTTTTATCATGAAGGGATGTTTAATTTTATCAAATGCTTTTTCAGCATCAATGGAAATGATCATATGGTTTTTGTCCTTCATTCTGTTGATATGATGTAGCACATTGATTAATTTGGGTTTGTGTGTGTTGAACCACTCTTGGTCCTTGTTCTTGTTTTATCCCTGTGATAAATCTCACTTGGTCATGATGAATTATCTTTTTTACGTGCTGTTGAATTCAGTTTGCTAGTATTTGTTGAGGATTTTTGTATTACTGTTAATCAGTGATATCAGTTTGTAGTTTTCTTTTTTTGCTGTGTCTTTGTCTGGTTTTGGTATTGGGGTAATCCTGTCTTCTTAGAATGAATTTGGCAGTACCCTTTTCTATTCTGTTTTTTGGAATAGTTTGAGTAGGATTGATACAAGTGCCTCTTTAGATGTTTGGTGGAATTCATCAGTGAAGCCATCAGATTCTAGGCTTTTCTTTACTAGGAGAATTTTATTACAGCTTCAATCTCATTACTTATTATTAGTCTCTTCAGATTTTGGATTTCTTTATGCTTCAGTCTTGGTTAGATTGTATGTATCTAAGAATTTATCCATTTTTTTTCCTAGATTTTCCATCTTATTTTCATATGGTTGGTCATAATAACCACAAATGATTCTTTGAATTTCTGTGGTATCAGTTGTAACAGCTCCTTTTTCAGCTGTGATTTCATTTATTTGGGTCATCTCTCTCTGTTTTTTTTTTTTTTTACCTTGGCTAAAGATTTACCAATTTTGTTTAACTTTTCTAAAAACCAACTCTTTGCTTCATTAATCTTTTTTTTTCATTTCAATTTCATTTATTTCTGCTGTGATCTTTATTATTTCTTCAACTAATTTCAGGTTTGGTTTGTGTTTGTTTCTCTAGTTCTTTAAATGCATCATTACGTTGTTTATTTGAAGTCTTTCTTCTTTTCTGATGTAGGCACTTGTAACTATAACCTTCCCTCTTAGTACTGCTTTTGGTGTATCCCATAGGTTTTGGTATGTTGTTTCTATTATCATTTGTTTCCAGAAATTTCTCAATTTCCTTCTTAATTTCTTCATTGACACACTGGTCATTCAGGAGCATGTTGTTTAATTTGCATGTGTTTGTATAGTTTCCAAAATTCCTCTTGTTGTTGATTTCTAGTTTTATTTTATTGTGGTCAGAAAAGATGCTTGATATTATTTCAATTTTTTGAATGTTTTAAGATTTGTTTTGTGACTTAACATATGGTCTGTTCTTGAGAATGATCCATGTGCTAAGGAAAAGAATGTGTATTCTGCAGCCTGTGGATGAAATGTTTTGTGAATATCTATGAGGTCCATTTGTTCTGTGGTGCAGATGAAGTCCGATGTTTCCTTGTTGATTTTTTTTTTTGGTCTAGAAGATCTGTCTTATGCTGAAAGTGGGGTGTTGAAATCTCCACATATTTTTGTATTGGGGCCTATTTCTCTCTTTAGCCCTAATAACATTTGCTTTATATATCTGGGTGCTCCAGTGTTGGATGCATATATATTTGCAGTTGTTATATCCTCTTGCTGAATTGACCTCTTTATATAATGACCTTCCTTGTCTCTTCTTACAGTGTTTGTCTTGAAAACTATTTTGTCTGATAAAGGTATAGCTACTCCTGTTCTTTTTTGCCTTCTATTGGCATGGAATATTTTCCCCATCTCTTCATTTTCTGTCTATGTGTGTCCTTATAGGTGAAGTGTGTTTCTTGTAGGCAACAGGTCATGGCCTTGTTTTTTCATCCATTCAGCCACTGTCTTTTGATTGGAGATATTAGTCCATTTACATTCAACATTATTATTGATAGTAATATTAAAAGACTGATACATTCTTATTCTTGCTATTTTGTTATTTATTCTCTGGTCGTTTTGTGGTCTTCCTTCTTTCCTTCCTTCCTGTCTTTGTTTTATTGAAGGTGATTTTCTCTGGTGGTATGATTTAATTTTTTGTCTTTTATTTTTCCTATATCTGTTGTATGGTTTTTGATTTGAGGTTATCATGAGACTTGCAAATACTATCTTATAAACCATTATTTTAAGCTGATAACAACTTATCAATGTTTGCATAAACAAATAAGCAAAAAGAAAACTAATAAAAACTCTACACCTTAACTTTGTCTCTCACTTTTTAACTTTTTGTTTTTCTTATTTGTATCTTACTGTAGTGTCTGTCTTGTAAAGTTGTAGCTATTATTTTTGATTGGTTTATCTTTTAGTGTTTCTACTTAAGAGTAATTTACATACCACAGTTATAGTGTTATAATATTCTGTGTTTTTTTCTATGTACTTACTCTTACCAGTAAGTTTTGTGCCTTCAGATGATTTCTTATTGCTCATTAATATCCTTTTCTTTTTGATTGAAGTATTCCCTTTAACCTTTTTTTTGTAGGACAGTTCTGGTTTTGATGAAGTCCTTCAGCTTTTGTTTGGGAAAATCTTTATTTCTCCTTTATGTTGAAGGATGTTTTCCTGGATATACTATTCTAACAAAAAATTTTTTTTTTCCTTCAGCACTTTGAATACGTCATGCCACTCTCTGCTAGCCAATAGGGTTTCCACTGGAAAGTCTGCTGCCAAATGTATTGGAGCCCCATTGTATGTTATTTGTTTCTTTTCTCTTGCTGCTTTTAGGTTCTTTTTTTTTCTTTTTTTCTTTTTTTTTTAAATCTTTGGCCTTTGAAAGTTTGATTATTAACTGCCTTGAGGTAGTATTCTTTGGGTTAAATCTGCTTGGTCTTCTATAATCTTCTCATACTTGGATATTGATATTTTCCCCTAGGCTTGGGAAGTTCTCTGTTATTATCCCTTTCAATAAAGTGTCTACCTCAATCTCTTTCTCTACCTCCTCTTTGAGACCAGTAACTCTTAGATTTGCCCTTTTGAAGCTGTTTTCTAGATATTGTAAGCATGCTTTTTTTTTATTCTTTTGTCTCCTCTGTGTGTTTTCAAATAGCCTATCTTCAATCTCACTAATTCTTTCTTCTGCTTGATCAATTTTGCTATTAAAAGACTCTGATACATTATTCAGTATGTCAGTTGGATTTTTTACCTCCAGTACTTTGGCTTGATTCTTTTTAATTATTTAAATCTCTTTGTTAAATTTATCTGATATAATTCTGAATTCCTTCTCTGTGTTATCTTGAATTTCTTTGAGTTTCTTCAACACAGCTATTTTGAATTTTTTCTCTGAAAGGTTTCATATTTGTGTTTCTCCAGGATTGATGTCTGGCACCTTATTTAGTTGGTTTGCTGAGGTCATGTTTTCCATGGGTGGTGGTGATGATTGTAGATGTTCGTCAGGCATTGAAGAGTTAGGTGTTTACTTATAGTCCTTGCAGTCTGGGCTTATTTGTGCTTGTCCTGCTTGGGAAGGCTTTACAGGTATTCAGAATGACTTGGGTGTTGTGATGTAAGCTGTATCTCCATTAGGGGGCACCCCAAGGCCACTAATGCTGTGGTTCTTGTAGATTTGTATAGGTACTACTTTGCTGGTCTTGGTTAAGATCCAGGACATTTCTCTAGATTACCAGGCAGATACTCTTGTTCTCTTCCTTTATTTTCTCCCAAACAAAAGTAGTTTCTGTCTCTGCGATGAACTACCTGTGGCTGGGGATGGGGGTGACACAAGCAGCTCTGTGACCACCACTGGGACTGCACTGGGTCAGACCTGAAGTCAGCACAGCATGAAGTCTTGCCGAAGGCCTGCAGTAACCACTACTTGGGTGCTACCTATGTTTGCTCAAGGCTCTAGGGCGGTACAGTCAGCAGGTGGCAAAGTGGGACAGACTTGTGTCCTTTCCTTCAGGGCGGCAAGTTCCCCCAGACCCCGGGTGGGTCCGGAGGTGTCATCCATGAGCCATGTACTGGAGTAAAAAACCTTAGACATCTACCTGGTGTTCTGTTGTACTGCTGCTGAGCTGGCACTCAAATCATGAGATGCAGGCCTTCCCGCTCTTCCCTCCACTTTCCACAGGCAGAGGATCCTAACCCTGTGGACACCACCATCACTGGCCTATGAGGAGTGCTGCCAGGCTTCCACTGATGTTCACTTAAGGCCCAAGGGCTCTTCAATTAGCTTGAGGTGAATGTTGCCAGGTCTGAGACTCATCCTTCAGGGTGCTGGGATCCCCTCTGGACCAGGGCAGGTCCAGAAGTACCAACCTGGTATCTAAGGTGCACGACAAAGCTCCCTTTACTTTTCTCTGCTTTTCTCAAGCAGATGGAGTCTCTCCCCATAGCCACCACAGCTGGGAATGTGCTGTGTCTTACCTAAAGCCAGCACATCTCAGTGTCTCTCCTATGGCCCATGGAATACTACCTGGGTATTGCTGCTGATTATTCAGGGCCCAAGTGCTCTTTAGTCAGCAGGTGATGGGTCCTGCCAAAACTGGTTCCTTCCCTTCAAGGCAGCAAGTTTCCTTCTGGCCCAGGGTGTGCCTAGAAATGTCATTTGGGAGCTAGGGCCTGGAAAGGGGGCCTTACCACTGTGCCCTCTCCTACGGTGGCTGAGCTAGTATTCTAGATGCAAGACAAAGTCCTCTTTATTCTCCCCTCTCTTCGCCTCCCCTCCCCAAAAAGAAGGAGTCTCTTTCAGAGCTGTGAGCTATGCAGCCTTGATTTGGGGGAGTAGTGCAAGCACTCCCTTTGTTGCCTTGGCTGGTGTCTCAATTGGTCACATGCCCCACCCACCCCAGTACACTGCCTCTGAGGCCAGTTCAGCAGTAGGACTTGCTTAGGAATTGCTGTCATTGCAGCCTAGACTGACTTTCAAGTTTATTTAGAGCCCCAGAGCACTCCAGCCCGCCGTGGCGAGGCTTGCCTGAACTCAAATTCTGACCTCTGAGATGGGTGATTCCCCTCTGGCTATGGCTGGTCCAAGTGCTCCCTCTGTGGGTGGGCTTCAGCCAAGTACATACTGGTTCTGCTTTCTGCTATGACAGGGTAGCACTAAGTTCAATGCAATGTCTCACAATAGCTGCATCCTTCTTCCTTGAGTGCACAGATTCTCTGTGCCATGCAGCTGCTGCTGGAGGATGGGGGCAGGGAGGAGGGAGGTGTGGTGTCGGCAATTCAAGACTGTCTTTCCTACCCTTTATGGTGCCTTTCAGTAATATGAAGTGAAAACCAGGTACTGTGAGTGCTCACCTGATTTTTGCTTCTTATGAATGTACTTTTTTGTGTAAATAGGTGTTAAATTTGGTGTTCCTGTTAGGGGGATGATTGGTGCAGGATTCTATTATGCCATCTTGTTTTTTCCCCCAGTCTTTGGTCTTTTCATGTTTTCTTTTTTGTACTTGCTTTAGAATAAATTGACTATTTATATTCATTGCCTAATTTTCTATTGACTTGTATATTTTTCTTGTGAAAGGTAAGAATTCTTTATATGTTACAGTTATTAATCATTTGTCATGTATGTTCCTAATACTTTTCTTCCAAATCTATCATTTGTGTATGATCTCATTTATGATATATTTTTCAATTTTCCAATTCATTGATAAAGTTAATGATTTATACTTCTGTAGTTCCTGGTGTTGAAGTAATTTATATTCCTGGAGTATACTCTACTTGATCATATGGTAGTATTCATTTGATAAGTTGCTAGATTCTGTTTAGTTGTACTTTATTTAGGATTGCTGCATCTTTATTTGTTTTATAGATTGCATTTCTCTGGAATGACCACAGCAATATTTCCAGCCCTTGATGATCTTCTAGAACTTTGCCACTTCCCTGCATCAAGAGGTAAAATCCATTTCTATTCTCTTGAATTGAACAGCTTCAATGAATTGAGTGCTGAAGAATTAACACTCTGTGACTTCATGACTTGTTGGAAATTGTGAGGAATCTCAGGCCACATGGAGGGGCCAGTGAAGATGTTCCAGCTTATAGCCCCAGCTAAGGTTTCAACTAATAGCCAGACTCAACCACCAGGTATATGAATGAACCTTCAGATGATTCTAGTCTCCAGCCTTCAAGCTTCCCCAGTCGATGCTGAGTGGAGCAAAAAAAGGAATTATTCTCACTGAGCCCTGTCCAAATTGCAAATACCTGACAAAAATAAATATTGTTGTTTTAAGCCACTAAATTTTGGAGGAACTTGTTATGCAATCATAAAAACAGATTTTGTTATCTGGAAGTGAGTGCCATGTAACAGAAATCTAAAATGTGGTAGTGGCTGAAGCTAGACTAGACAGGATTAGGCAGGACTAGACAGAGGGCAGAAGGTGAGAGGGCCTTCAGGTGACTGTGGAAGGCTGATGGACCTCAAGGAGGCTATCAGAGAGGGTTTAGAGGAGAGTGAAAAAATATCATTGGAGCTGGAGGAAAGAGGATCATTGTTAGGTAATGACATGAAGTTTGGCCACCTTATCACCTGTGGTAATGTGAAAAGCAGAAAATGGTGATTGTCTGGCTTCTTCTTGCTGCTTATAGTAAAATGATAGGAGAGAGGTAAGCTAAAGAAATAATTGTTAAATATAAAGGAGCCAGAACTTCTTGGACTTGAAAATAAAGCTTTCTCTTTTCCAGTTTTTCCTGACGGCAGAGAATTCTAAAATTAAGAAGATTCTTTATGGAAGGAGAGCAAATCTAGGGTACTGTCATTAAAACATGGTTTATCATGAAGCCAAGGGAGTGATTGTAAAATCTTAGTTCTAATACCTCAGGAAATTTAATGTCATGCCTCACACAGACAGTAGTCTCTCTAATTATCTTAAGGACATGACATACCTTACAGATCCTCTTTATTAAAGAAAAAGTCCTTTGAGAATTTTAAGAGCATTGTCCCTCGGCACCCTTATAGGAAGCTCTAGGACTTATCTTGAAGAGATTTGTGGGTACAGGTTTTGTCTAATGGAGTGGATTATAAACAAGAAATCCACACAGTTTTTTGTTGCAAATTTTTTTTAGAGCAGTTTTAGTTTACACAAAATTAAGCTGAAAGTAGAAAGTTCCTATATTCTCCCCATTCCCCTCTCTCCCTAAAATTTCCCACACTATCAATATCCCTGACCAGAGTGGTACTTTTTTTTTTTTTTTTTTTTTTTTACCATCAATGAACCTACCTTGGTACATCATTCTCACCCAAAGTCAATAGTTGACATTAGGGTTCACTCTTGGTGTTGTATATTCTATTAATACACCAATATGTTTTGACAAATGTATAATGACACATATCCTTCATTATAGTATCATATAAGGTAGTTCCACTGCCCTCCAGATCCTCTGTGCTCTGCCTATTTATCCTTACCTTCATATCCATGACAACCACAAATCTTTTTACTAACTCTTACAGCTTTGCATTTTCCAAAATATCATGTAGTTCATGTGGTAATATACATTTGTTTCTTCCATGTCTTTTTGTGGCTTAACAGCTCGTTCCTTCTTAGCACTGAATAATATTCCAAACTCTGGATGTACCAGAGTTTGTTTATCTGTTCCTCTACTGGACAACCCTGGTTGTTCTCAGGGTTTGGCAATTATGAATGAAGCTGCCATAAACATCTACATGCAGGTTTTTGTGTAGACGTAAGTTTTCAACTCATTTGGGCATATACCAAGGAGCTTGCAATTACTGGATCATGTGGTAAGAGTGTGTTTAGTTGTGTAAGAAATTGCCAAACTGTCTTCCAAAGTGACTGTGCAATTTTGCATTTCCACCAGCAATGAATGACAGTTCCTGTTTCTCCACATCTTCACCATCATTTGGTCTTGGCAATGTGTTGGATTTTTGCCATTCTAATAGGTGTATAGTAGTATCTCATTGCTGTTTTAATTTGCAGTTTCCTAAGGACATGTGATATGGAACGTCTTTTCATATGCTTATTTTTCATTTGTATATCTTTAATGAGGTGTCTTCATATCTTTTGTCTGCTTTTTGACTGGGGAATTCATTTTCTTATTGTTGAATTTTAAGAATTCTTTGTATGGGATCTAATTAAACTAAAGAGCTTCTGCACAGCAAAAGAAACTACCATCAGAGTGAGCAGGCAACCTACAGAATGGGAGAAAATTTTTGCAATCTACTCATCTGACAAAGGCCTAATATCTAGAATCTACAAAGAACTCAAACAAATTTACAAGAAAAAAACTAACAACCCCATCAGCAAGTGGGCAAAGGATATGAACAGACACTTCTCAAAAGAAGACATTTATGCAGCCAACAAACACATGAAAAAATGCTCATAATCACTGGCCATCAGAGAAATGCAAATGAAAACCACGATGAGATACCATCTCACACCAGTTAGAATGGTGATCATTAAAAAGTCAGGAAACAACAGGTGCTGGAGAGGATGTGGAGAAATAGGAACACTTTTACACTGTTGGTGGGTCTGTAAACTGGTTCAACCATTGTGGAAGACAGTGTGGCAATTCCTCAGGGATCTAGAACTAGAAATACCATTTGACTCAGCTATCCCATTACTGGGTATATACCCAAAGGATTATAAATCATGCTGCTATAAAGATACATGCACACATATGTTTATGTGGCACTATTCACAATAGCAAAGACTTGGAACCAACCCAAATATCCAACAATGATAGACTGGATTAAGAAAATGTGGCACATATACACCATGGAATACTATGCAGCCATAAAAATGATGAGTTCATGTCCTTTGTAGGGACATGGATGAAGCTGGAAACCATCATTCTCAGCAAACTATCGCAAGGACCAAAAACCAACACCGCACGTTCTCACTCATAGGTGGGAACTGAACAATGAGAACACTTGGACACAGGAAGGGGAACATCACACACCGGGGCCTGTCGTGGGGTCGGAGGAGGGGGGAGGGAAAGCATTAGGAGATACACCTAATGTAAATGACGAGTTAATGGGTGCAGCACTCTAACATGGCACATGTATACATATGTAACAAACCTGCACGTTGTGCACATGTATCCTAAAACTTAAAATATAATAAAAAAGAAAGGAGATCAATGGTTGCCAGGGACTAGGGGGAAGGAAGAATGGGATTAACTGCATAATAGTTATAGAGTTTTATTTTGAGGTGATGAAAACATTTTAGAACTAGATAGAGATAGTGGTTGTACCATATTGTGAATGACTAATTGTAAATGTCACTTTATTGTTCACTTTAAATGATTACTTTTACATTGTGTAAATTTCAACTCAATTTTAAAAATTTAAAAATGGAACAAGGGAGAGGATTTAGAAGGTTCTAAATGCTAAAAGAAGTTAATGATAGAATTCAGGTAGTGCGTATACAGGTGTTCACTGAAATCTTTCAATTTTGCTGTATGTTTGAAATTTTTTATAATAAAAGTTCAGAGGGAAAAATGGAAAAAAAAAGAATTCTTTATATATTTAGGTAACAGTGCTTTATCAGATGTGTCTTTTGCATATACTTTTTCCAGTCAGTGGCTTTTCTTTTCTCTCTCTTGATCCACACAATTTTTTTAAAGGATTGTATCGTTTTATACTGAAAGGCATAGAGACAGTACAAAATGAAAAGATGCCTTTGACCCCAAACTTCTGCATATGGGAAGCATGCTAAGAACATGGCTATTTTTTATGAAAAAAAAATAATTTAGAGGGTAGAACCAATAGCCCAGAGTGGAGAGCCAAGAGTCACAGTGAATCATTCTTAAACAGTACAACTGAGCCCTAATCAAGTACCAGTACCTTTTGCCCAGCTTGATTTCAAGCTTTTAATGGACCAATGACTTCTGTGTCTCTCCTTTCCTCCTTTTTTTTGGGAGTGTCTATAGCAGTTATCCTGTACTTGCTCCACCATTGTGCATTTGGTGTTTGTTAAGGCAGATAATTTTTCTTTTTTAGTTTATAGCTCTTGAGATTACAAGGAACTGTACGTAAGGGGCTGTATTTGAGGAACTGTACCCAAGAAGTTCATCCATACCTGGACCTCAAGCCTCAGCCTGATGTTGTAGGTCTTGAGGGAGTGCATGAGTGTATTTTGCTGCTGTGGCTAGAGGGTGGACTGTGGTATTTTGCATTTTCCAAAACTGACCTCAGCAATATTTGTGGTCCCACATGCTCTTCTAAACTTTGTCACTTCCCAACAAGAGTTAGAGTTTATTTCCCCTCCCCCTGAACCTGGGCTGTACTTTGCACTGTTGAATAGAATGTGGTGGGAGTGAAACTATGGGACTTCCAAGGTGAGGTCATAAAAGATAGTACTGCTTCTGCCTAGCTCACTCAAGAACCCAGCCCCCATAGTGTGAGGAGGCCTAGGACAGTTACAGAAGCCATGTGTAGGTGTTCTGGCTCCAGCAAAAGTCTTATCTGACAACATCAACTACATGTTAGTGGGTGAGTATTCGTATGATTTTAGTCCCCAGACTTTGAGACACCCTAGCTGATGCTGAGGGGAGCAGAGATGAAGTATCCCCCTGAGACCTGTCCACATATTGTTGTTTTGGGTTACTAAGTATTGGAGTAATTTTTAAATATAGCCATAGTAACTGAAATAATTAGGTTCATAGTTTTTAGGTTTATTTTTATGTTAACTTTTGGTAATAAAATTATGTTGGCTTTGTGAAATGAATTGGGAAACATTTCATCTTTTTATTTGGTATGAAATAATTTAAATAACACTATAAATACCCATTCTTTAAAAGTTAGGTAAAACTCAGATTTAAAGGTTTTTTTGGGTATAATGCTATTATTACTATTGTTATTTAAAATAATGGTTACCTTTCCATTTTTTTCTTTGCTAATTAGTCATTTTGGGTCTGCTTCTTGGTTCAATTTGGATTATTTGTATTCTCTAGGAAATTGTACATTTTTCTTTATTCCTAGTCTTGCTAATATTTTTTTCCCTCTTATATTTTTAAGCAGTACCATAAAGGGTTTATTTATATTTTTAGTTAAAAAAACTCTTGGAATTATTTATCAATTCTACTACTTTTTCCCCTTATATCACCAATTACAACTGTTCATTGATCAACTCATTCACTCTTCGCTTTTCTTAAAAAAGTTCAGGTAAACATGATAATGTTTCTGCAGTTTCATTCTTCTTCGTAATGAAAGGATTTAGGGGCATAAATTTTTATCTAACTGTGGCTATTGCTGGGTTCCATACATTTTTATGTAAAGTATTTACCTTTTCAGTAGCCTCTAGAGTATTTGTAATTTTTCTCTTTGATCAAAACTTAATTTTGAAGTCATTACGATGTTTCAAGCTGTTTAAAAATTATTTGTAATATTATTGTATTATGATCAATGACTATGGCCTGTTACATGTTTACTTTGAAATATTTGTTATGTTTTACTTTGTGGAAATTTCTATAAAACTATGAGCAAATATAATTCTTTCATTAAGGAAAATAAGATTCTATACATAGGTAGAAAACAAATCTTTTTTTTTTCTATATTTTACTTTAAATTCCAGGATACATATGCAGAACATGCAGGTTAGTTACATAGGTATACATGTGCCATGGTGGTTTGCTGCATCTGTCAATCCATCGTGTAGGTTTTAAGCCCTGCAAGCATTAGGTATTTGTCTTGATGCTGTCCCTCCCCTCACCCCCTACTCCACGGCAGGCACTGGTGTGTGTTGTTCCCCTCCCTGTGTCCATGTGTTCTCATTGTTCAACTCCCACTTATGAGTGAGAACATGCAGTGTTTAGTTTTCTATTCCTGTGTTAGTTTGCTGAGGATGATGGCTTCCATCTTTGTATGTCCCTGCAAAGAACATGATCTCCTTCTTTTTATGGCTGCATAATATTCCATGGTGTATATGTACCACATTTTCTTTATCCAGTCTATCATTGATGGGCATTTGGGTTGGTTCCATGTCTTTGCTATTGTAAGTAGTGCTGCAGTAAACATACGTGTGCATGTGTCTTTATATTAGAATGATTTATATTCCTTTGGGTATATGCCCAGTAATAGGATTGCTGGGTCAAATGGTATTTCTGGTTCTAGATCCCCGAGGAATCGCCACGCTGTCTTCCACAATGGTTGAACTAATATACATTTGCACCAACAGTGTAAAAGCATTCCTATTTCTCCACAGCCTTGCCAGCATCTATTGTTTCTTGGTTTTTTAATAATCACCATTCTGACTGGTGTGAGATGGTATCGCATTGTGGTTTTGATCTGCATTTCTCTAATGATAGTGATGTTGAGCTTTTTTTCATGTTTCTTGGCCACATAAATACTGTCTTTTGAGAAGTGCCTGTTCATATTCTTTGCCCACTTTTTGATAGGGTTATTTTTTTCTTGAAATTTAAGTTCGTTGTAAATTCTGGATATTAGACATTTCTCACATGGGTAGATTGCAGAAATTTTCTCCCATTCTGTAGGTTGCCTGTTCACTCTGATGGTAGTTTCTTTTGCTGTGCTAAAGCTCTTTAGCTTAATTAGATTCTATTTGTCAATTTTAGCTTTCGTTGCAATTGCTTTTGGTATTTTAGTCATGAAATCTTTGCCCATGCCTATGTCCTGAATGCTGTTGCCTAGGTTTTCGTCTAGAGTTTTTATGGTTTTGAGTTTTACATTTAAGTCTTTAATACATCTTGAGTTAATTTTTGTATAAGGTATAAGGAAGGGGTCCAATTCCAGTTTTCTGCATACGGCTAGCCAGTTTTCCCAACACCATTTATTAACTAGGGAATGCTTTCCCCATTGCTTGTTTTTGTCAGGTTTGTCAATCAGATGGTTGTAGATCTGTGGCATTATTCCTGAGTTCTCTGTTCTGTTCTATTGGTCTATATGTCTGTTTTGGTGCCAGAACCAGGCTGTTTTGGTTATTGTAGCCTTGTAGCATAGTTTAAAGTCAGGTAGCGTGATACCTCCAGCTTTGTTCTTTTTGCTTAGGATTGTCTTGGCTATATGGGCTCTTTTTTGGTTGCATATGAAACTTAAAGTAGTCTTTTCTAATTCTGTGAAGAATGTCAGTGGTAGTTTGATGGGAGTAGCACTGAATCTATAAATTACTTTGGGCAGTATGGTCATTTTCAGGATATTGTTTCTTTCTATCCATGAGGATAGAATGCTATTTCATTTGTTTGTGTCCTCTCTTATTTCCTTGAGCAGTGGTTTGTAGTTCTCCTTGAAGAGATTCTTCATGTTCCTTGTTAGCTGTATTCCTAGGTTTTTGTTTTTTTTTTTTTTGAGACAGAGTTTGCTCTGTCGCCCAGGCTGGAGTGCAGTGGCGTGATCTCGGCTCACTGCAACCTCTGCCTCCTGGGTTCAAGCGATTCTTCTACCTCAGCCTCCTGAGTAGCTGGGACTGCAGGCATGCACCACCACGCCCGACTAATTTTTTGTATTTTTAGTAGAGATGGGGTTTCATCTGTTAGCCAGGATGGTCTCGAACTCCTGACCTCGTGATCTGCCTGCCTTGGCCTCCCAAAGTGCTGGGATTACAGGTGTGAGCCACTGTACCGGGACCATTCCTATGTATTTTGTTCTCTTTGTATCAATTGTGAATGGGAGTTCATTCATGATTTGGCTCTCTGCTTGTATATTGTCGTATAGGAATGCTTGTGATTTTTGCACATTGATTTTGTATCCTGAGACTTTGCTGAAGTTGCTTATCAGCTTAAGGAGTTTTTGGGCTGAGATGATGGGGTTTTCTAAATATAGAATCATGTCATCTGCAAACAGAGACCATTTGACTTCCTTTCTTCCTATTTGAATACCGTTTTTTTCTTTCTCTTGCCTGATTGCCCTGGCCAGCACTTCTAATACTATGTTGAATGGGAGTGGTGAGAAAGGGCATCTTTGTCTTGTGCCAGTTTTCAAAGGGAATGCTTCCAGCTTTTGCCCATTCAGTATAATGTTGGCTGTGGGTTTGCCATAAATGGCTCTTATTATTTTGAGATATGTTCCATCAATACCTAATTTATTGAGAGTTTTTAGCATGAAGCGATGTTGAATTTTATTGAAGGACTTTTCTGCATTTAATGAAATAATCATGCTCTTTTTGTCTTTAGTTCTATTTACGTGATGAATTAAGTTTATTGGTTTGTGTATGTTGAACCAGCCTTGTATCCCAGGGATAAAGCTGACTTGATCATTGTAGATAAGCTTTTTGATATGCTGCTGGCTTTGGTTTGCCAGTATTTTATTGAGTACATTTCACATCAATCTTCATCAGGGATATTAGCCTGAAGTTTTCTTTCTTTGTTGTGTTTCTGCCAGGTTTTGGTATCAAGATGATGCTGGCCTCATAAATTGAGTTAGGGAGGAGTCCCTCTTTTTCTTTTGTTTGGAATAGTTTCAGCAGAAATGGTACCAGCTCCTCTTTGTACTTCTGATAGAATTTGGCTGTGAATCTATCTAGTCCTGGTCTTTTTTTAGTTGGTAGGCTATTAACTAGTGCCTCAATTTCAGAACTTGATATTGGTCTACTCAAGGATTCGACTTCTTCCTGGTTTAGTCTTGGGAGGGTGTATGTGTCCTAGAATTTATTCATTTCTTCTAGAACTTCTAGTTTCTTCGTGTAGAGGTGTTTATAGTATTCTGTGATGGTAGTTTGTATTTCTGTGGGGTCAATGGTGATATCTCCTTTATCATTTTTTTCTTGTGCCTATTTGACTCTTCTCTCTTTTTTCTTCATTAATCTAGCTAGCAGTCTATTTTGTTAATTTTTTTTTTTAAAAACCAGCTCCTGGATTCATTGATTTTTTTTTGAAGGTTTTTTTCATGTATCTGTCTCCTTCAGTTCTGCTCTGATCTTAGTTATTTCTTGTCTTCTGCTAGATTTTTTGTTTGCTCTTGCTTCCCTAGTTCTTTTAATTGTGATGTTAGGGTATCGATTTGAGATCTTTCTAGCTTTCTGATGTGGGCATTTAGTGCTAAAATTTCTGTCTTAACACTGCTTTAGCTGTGTTCCATAGATTCTGGTACATTGTCTCTTTATTCTCATTGATTTCAAAGAACTTCTTGATTTCTGCCTTAATTTTATTATTTACCCAAGAGTCATTCAGGAAAAGCTTGTTCAGTTTGCATGTAATTGTGTGATTTTGTGTGAGTTTCTTAATCCTGAGTTCTAATTTGATTGCACTGTGGTCTGAGACACTGAAAAACAAATCTTTGAAATAAAACTTCAGTAGATGGATTTAAGGAGAGTCACTATGGAGACCTGTGACTATGGAGTGTCACTATAGGTTGGAAAAATTAGGAGGAAGAAATATCTAAAAACTAAGAAGAAATACATATAGAGAAGTAAATTATGATGAAGATATTTGACTCAAGATTCTTTTCCATAGCCTTTCCTTGAAATTGCTGGAGCTTGTGCATCATCAAAATAATGGCATAAACCAAGGAAGAAGAAAACAAAATTGAGGAAATGGGATCCAACACAAAAGAGAGACAACAGGATTAATTGAGTGTTGGTGAAAAGCCACAGCCTGTAAATAATGCAGTTCGAACTGAAATAGACCAGGAGGCTCAAGGAGAGACTTCTTCAAGAAGATAAAATTGATAGAATGCCTAAGGAGTTTGAGTGCATTGAGAATAGATTCATATCAGTTCTGGAGAACTGGGTGGATACATTAATGTTAAGTACATAGAAAAGTTAAAAATGAAAAAAATTCTCAATTCTAGGGAAAATAATCATAGTAAACTACATGTTTTAGTTACCAATAGTGTTTACGTAGTCAATATAAACAATGGGCATTGATATAAATAATGTATGTTGATCTGCTATAACAAGGTAAAATGCTATTGGGGAAACAAGATAACCTGTGTGTGTGTGTGTGTATGTTTGTTGAAATTATTGCTTTTATATGGAAAAGATTTAAATTATTAGCTTCTGCAATAAATAATATAGATAATAATGCCTATAACTAAAGTTAGTAACAGTATAAGACTATAACAATGTTATTTAGGAATTTGGGGCAAATACCAAAAACCAGCAAAAAGAGTTGAAAGCAATTCAGGGAGTGAGAAATTTGAAGTGTGGGGGGATCTAATTTTTTCATATCTAACCTTGTAGAAGTTTTAAATGATGCACATGTGTAACTCTGCTAAAAATAGCCCCCTAAATTATAAATAAAAGGAAATCATGGGATAAGACAGACCAAGAGGTGTAATATTAGGAGTTCTAGGAGGTTAAAAAAAAAAGAAAATGTGAGAGAAAATAGTATGATTATATTAGAAGAAACCTACATCTGCAACTTGAAGAGTGCCCCAGTCTCTCTAATCCAAGCTTTATTTAGGATGGATGAGGAAAAAAAGGTAATAGGCATATTCCTATAAAATTTTCAGACTCCAAAGATAATGATAAAATCTTACAGGGTCCAGATAGAAAAAAAACGTTAGTTGGAAAGGACAAATAATCAGACATACATTACATTTCCTGTGTGCACTTCTTGAGACTGGAATGTGGTGGTTTAATGGTAGTAGACCAGAAGATTACACCCATGAATCTTAGGCTAGGCTAAGCTAAGCTATCAGTTACCTCTTAGGGAGAAAGATGTTTGCAGATGTGTGAGAATTCAGAGATTAGAGAAGTCTTGAGAAAATATACCAGTCAACAAAAGGGCTTGAACAGTGACTCTAGGATATGAGAAGATAATGAAGGGAAATAGTGGTAAGCAATAATCTTGGCAGTATACACGATTTTCTTTTTTTTTTTTTCATTATACTTTAAGTTCTAGGGTACATGTGCACAACGTGCAGGTTTGTTACATATGTATACATGTGCCATGTTGGTGTGCTACACCCAATAACTCGTCATTTAACATTAGCTATATCTCCTAATGCTATCCCTCCCCCCTCCCCACACCCCACGACAGGCCCCGGTGTGTGATGTTCCCCTTCCTGTGTCCATGTGTTCTCATTGTTCAATTCCCACCTGTGAGTGAGAACATGCGGTGTTTGGTTTTTGGTCCTTGCGATAGTTTGCTGAGAATGATGGTTTCCAGCTTCATCCATGTCCCTACAAAGGACATGAACTCATCATTTTTTATGGCTGCATAATATTCCATGGTGTATATGTGCCACATTTTCTTAATCCAGTCTATCGTTGTTGGACATTTGGGTTGGTTCCAAGTCTTTGCTATTGTGAATAGCGCTGCAAGAAACATACGTGTGCATGTGTCTTTATAGCAGCATGATTTATAATCCTTTGGGTATATACCCAGTAATGGGATGGCTGGGTCAAATAGTATTTCTAGTTCTAGATCCCTGAGGAATCACCACACTGTCTTCCACAATGGTTGAACTAGTTTACAGTCCCACCAACAGTGTAAAAGTGTTCCTATTTCTCCACATCCTCTCCAGCACCTGTTGTTTCCTGACTTTTTAATGATCGCCATTCTAACTGGTGTGAGATGGTATCTCATCGTGGTTTTCATTTGCATTTCTCTGATGGCCAGTGATGATGAGCATTTTTTCATGTGTTTGTTGGCTGCATAAATGTCTTCTTTTGAGAAGTGTCTGTTCATATCCTTCTCCCACTTTTTGGTGGGGCTGTTTGTTTTTTTCTTGTAAATTTGTTTGAGTTCATTGTAGATTCTGGATATTAGCCCTTTGTCAGATGAGTAGATTGCAAAAATTTTCTCCCATTCTGTAGGTTGCCTGCTCACTCTGATGGTAGTTTCTTTTGCTGTGCAGAAGCTCTTGAGTTTAATTAGATCCCATTTGTCAATTTTGGCTTTTGTTGTCATTGCTTTTGGTATTTTAGACATGAAGTCCTTGCCCATGGCTATGTCCTGAATGGTATTGCCTAGGTTTTCTTCTAGGGTTTTTATGGTTTTAGGTCTAACATTTAAGTATTTAATCCATCTTAAGTTAATTTTTGTATAAGGTGTAAGGAAGGGATCCAGTTTCAGCTGTCTACATATGGCTAGCCAGTTTTCCCAGCACCATTTATTAAATAGGGAATCCTTTCCCCATTTCTTGTTTTTCTCTGGTTTGTCAAAGATCAGATGGTTGTAGATGTGTGGTATTATTTCTGAGGGCTCTGTTCTGTTCTGTTGGTTTATATCTGTTTTGGTATCAGTACCATGTTTTGAAAAGATCAACAAAATTGATAGACCGCTAGCAAGACTAATAAATAAGAAAAGAGAGAAGAATCAAATAGATGCAATAAAAAATGATAAAGGGGATATCACCACTGATCCCACAGAAATACAAACTACCATCAGAGAATACTATAAACACCTGTACTCAAATAAAGTAGAAAATCTAGAAGAAATGGATAAATTCCTGGACACATACACCCTCCCAAGACTAAACCAGGAAGAAGTTGAATCTCTGAATAGAACAATAAAAGGCTCTGAAATTGAGGCAATAGTTAATAGCTTACCAACCAAAAAAGTCCAGGACCAAACGGATTCATAGCCGAATTCTACCAGAGGTACAAGGAGGAGCTGGTACCATTCCTTCTGAAACTATTCCAATCAATAGGAAAAGAGGGAATCCTCCCTAACTCATTTTATGAGGCCAGCATCATCCTGATACTAAAGCCTGGCAGAGACATAACAAAAAAAGAGAATTTTAGACCAATATCCCTGATGAACATCGATGCAAAAAAAATCACAAGCATTCTTATACACCAACAACAGACAAACAGAGAGCCAAATCATGAGTGAACTCCCATTCACAGTTGCTTCAAAGAGAATAAAATACCTAGGAATCCAACTTACAAGGGATGTGAAGGACCTCTTCAAGGAGAACTACAAACCACTGCTCAACGAAATAAGAGGATACAAACAAATGGAAGAACATTCCATGCTCATGGGTAGGAAGAATCAATATCGTGAAAATGGCTATACTGCCCAAGGTAATTTATCGATTCAATGCCATCCCCATCAAGCTACCAATGACTTTCTTCACAGAATTGGAAAATCTACTTTAAAGTTCATATGGAACCAAAAAAGAGCCCGCATCGCCAAGTCAATCCTAAGCCAAAAGAACAAAGCTGGAGGCATCACACTACCTGACTTCAAACTATACTACAAAGCTACAGTAACCACAATCTTCAATCTCAGTGGTTAATGACCAACTGTTGGCAAATGTTTTCTGTAAATTTTAAAGAAGTTTTCTTTTTTTCTCCTCCGGCTTTGAATTTGAAATCTTTCAAACACATATAACATTTGAAAGACTGTTATGTAGTTTCACCAATTTCTCTTGTGGAATTTCTCTTCTAATTCAGGTATACTCTTTGGAGATGGCTCATTCCAGAGCAGGAGGGATAGAAAGTAAGCCTGCATTTTTTTTACTTGCCAGAAAGTAAGGAAATGCTCAAAGACAAATGGACACATGTCAAAAGGGCAGAGAGCACATGCAGGAGATTGATTGGAGAGTACTTTTCATAAGATCACCTGTAAGGGAGCGAGCAAAGCAGCACTGGCAGAGGAAGTTGAGTTGTGATGCAGTTCATCTTGTGCACATGGAGAGTTCTGGACCTAGGATGACCCTTCAGAGTGTTCTGAATTGGGTCAATTGAGCTGGGCCCTTATACCCAACATGGACCAGTCATTTGAAGTGGGCTTCCCCTAGAGAGGGGACATACCCTTGGGTGAGGAAGCTCCTTTCATAGAAGGCAATTCCTGGAGAGATGCCAGTTGTGAGCTCCCACATGCAACATTCTTACAGCTGGGGAAGAGTGCATTGGTACTAAAGTAAGTCCTGGACAGTACACCCGAGCAATCCCTACCATCGTTCACTAGCTTCATAGAATATATTCACCCCATCTGGGAACAGAAGCTCTAGTATTCTGATTGGTCTCTTTTTCTGGAAATACAGAGGAGAGTAAGTAGGATTTATTCCAGTCTCTTTCATTACACCTTGTCTTCAGGCCACAACTAATACTCATTGTCTCCTTCTGCTACTGATTCTAGATTTCCCCTTACCCTTGACTAACGCCTCTACTGATCTAAGCCACTTACCTTGTGGGTCCCTGAGGCCCTTGTTACCACGCTTTCCTGAGGCTGTGACTGTAGAATTTGTTCATTTCCTATCAAAATTGGGCAAAGGAGTATGAAGAGATACCCTTCATTTATACCCTTCATATGGCAAACATAATGTGTTCATTACCTGGGTGATAAAAATATGCTTCCCCATACTCACCATGTGGCAGAAGCTCCACTTTTTCCTGATAATCAAGGTCTATTAGCCCTACATAGATGGTGACTCCTTTTCTTGCCCTCTGGTCTCTTGGCCCAAAATGTATGAAATGACCAGGTGGCAGTTGCAGCTTACAGTTTAACGGGCTGTGTCCACTGATGGGACCAGGACCTCTAGATTAATTGAACCTAGCATTCAGGGATGAGAAATAAAAATGAAAATTGCTAAATGGGTCATTGGGAATGACAGCAAGTGGGGCCATTCCTGCTGCTCCCCTTAGTTTCCTGTCTGCATTTTACCTATTGCAGATGCAGTCACTATGTAATGTTTTTTGATTTCAGGTATAACCTCATCCTGGAGCAGGGCACCCTATCGTCAGATGGTATCATCTTTAAGGGGTTGTCTCAGCCATGCCTTTAGAATTACCTTTCATTGCTTGTCATGCTGGAAGCTTCTGAATGTTGCATTTTGTGATAGAAACAGTGGGTACCATGGTCATGTGCTCACATCTCCTTTGCGGTAAAGAAAAGGATCACTCATTAACATCCACCAGATAACATTCTCCATGAAAGCACCAAATAAGTAAGTATACAAAATACTAACCAATTGAAATTATCCAGCTTCTGTCATTGGCCCCCTTAGTGCTGGCATAATGGACAAAGCAGCCATGGTGACAGGGATGGAGGCTATGCCCGGGCCCAAAAGTATGAGTTCTCTCTCACCAAAGCTGAACTAGCTACTGCTGTGCTCACACCGTGGTCATATGCTCACATCTCCTTTGCTGTAAAGACAGTCCCTTGGTCCAAGACAATGTTATGTGGAATATGGTTAAAGTGAACCAGAAACATAAGTTCTCAGGTAGTGGTTCTGGCTAAGGGTCTGCAGGCAGAAAGGTCAAATCCATGTTGTAATATATGTTGATTCTTGTCAAAGTGATTTATTTCCACTTTCAGAGTGGAGAGGGTCCAGTGTAATCCATTTACCAACAACTGTCTCGTTAATTTCTTTGAGGGAATGTGCTATATTGGGGGCTCAGCTTTGTGTCTGTTACTGGTAGGTTAGATAATCTGTAGTAGCATAGCAGTAGCTAGTTCAGCCTTGGTGAGAGAGAGCCCATACTGTTGGGCCCATGCATAGCCTCCATCCCTGTTGCCGTGGCTGCTTTGTCCTAAATTATACTAGCACTAAGACGGCCAATGACAGAAACTGGATAATTTCAGTTGGTTAGTATTCTGTATACTTACTTGTTTAGTGCCTTCTTCATGCAGAATGTTCTCTGGTGAGTGTTAATGAGTCACCCAAAGATCTTCATACTTTATGTTTACCCCCCTAGGTCCATTCTCATGCCCCTTTTCCAGGAAAACCAATTAAGAGACTTGGCAGTCTTTTAGATGAGAGTCGAGGCCCTGAGCTAGCAGAGCGGCAGTGAGAATATAAATAAACAATGATATATGAGTGGAATTTTAAGTTAGGCTTGTGACATTTTGGAGACCTTAAAGTTCCTAATCTGATTGATTAGGAAGATCAGAAGTTTGTTTGTTTGTTTGTTTGTTTGTTTATTTATTTGAGATGGAGTCTTGCTTTGTCACCTAGACTGGAGTGCAATGGCGCAATCTCAGCTTACTGGAGCCTCCGCCTCCTGGGTTCAAGTGATTCTCCTGTCTCAGCCTAATGAGTAGCTGGGATTACAGGTGCTCACCACCATTCCTGGCTAATTTTTTTGTGTTTTTAGTGGAGATGGGGTTTCACATTTTGGCCAGGCTAGTCTTGAACTCCTGACCTCAAGTGATCCGCCTGCTTTGGCCTCCCAAAGTGCTGGGATTACAAGCATGAGCCACAGCGCCTGGCCAATTTATTTATTTTTAATTTCTCATTTATTTTTAATTTGGATAGGAGAACCTTATTTCTCAGAAAGGGTTGTAGCCTACAGGGTGGCCATTCTGACAGGCTAGGAAGTGTAGCCTCCGGCCAGAAGCCATAAACAGATACTTCAAGGGAGGGGCAAAGAGCAGGAATTTTTGCTGAGCAGGATGGCCAAATATACATATTTAATAAGTTATAGGAGGAGTCATAAGTATTTATGAAAGGAGAAACATGTGCATGCACAATTGAGCTTCATACTCCTTCACGGGTCCCATGTACAAAAATTGTCAGTGTTAGCGTGATCTGAGGGTGGAATTTTCGGTCCTCTGATGCCAAAAGGTGAAGCAGAGGACATTAAAACCCTTATGTACATTCTTCGTAGATTGGCCAGAACCACTCCATCATCATTGGTCTCTTATCGGGTGAAAAGGAGGGGAAGCATCAGGCTGTTGGTTGATATCAGTGGTGTAGTCTTTTGAAAGGGCTGGTTTCTGCTAAGCCCTTAGGGAAGAAAGGCTAATTATGGTTAGCAAGGTAGCGAGTATAACAACATGTGTCTGACCTCTCCATCCCATCAAGACTGAGAACTCAGTTTTCAAGATTTCTCTGGGGTTCCTTTGGCCAAGAAATGGTCTGTTTAATCAATTGAAGGGGCTTAGAATTTTATTTTTAGTTTACATTCTCTCCCATTTGGCCAAGACCTGCCAGACTTTTCTTTTGTCCCATATCATTGCTGGGGTGATGTGGCTACCTGCTGCAGGTCCATCCTGTCCCTCAGTGGGACCCTTGTGACAGAGGGACTTAGAGCCAAAAGACTTACAGCCAACTAAACATTTTATGCCAGATGAGAATGGAGGTGGGCAGGTAACCATCAACACTTAAAACCTTTTAAGCAACATAAGAGCCAAAAACCAAAGCCAAAAAGTAAGGTTATAAAAGTGACTTACCAGTTCTATGCACTGAGCTACTACAATCTTGGTGTTAGTTACAGACTTGTAGCCGTTAGCTATATAAAACATAAGCATTTTGCTAAAACCATTTTAAGCTAAGGAATTTAGAGATTTTGTTGTTCTGCAATGCCTTTTGCAATCTCTTAAGTAATTTATCTTAAGGTGGCTGAAAAATTTCTTATTATATCATTATTTGTGTGAACCCCGTAACTGGGAACAACTATACTGAGAAGGCTTTGTCACCAGGTGTCTTGATATTCTCTTAGTAATTCTCATTTACTTCTATGGAAAGCAGGAAATTCTTTATGGTTGGATGGATGGAAAGGGACCACAAGATGGCTCAGGAGGAAAAGTCTCTCAAAAATTTGCCAGCTCTTTAGGCAATCTGTGTGCCTGTCCTTGATTTGGAGAGTCTGAACTAATTCTGTCCCTCAAAACTGGCCCTTACAATCTCACACACCCACCTTTTCCCCCATAGTCTCTGGGCCTAGAGAGAGGGTGCATCTGTTGTTTCAGCAGCAAGGCAATGACAATGAAAAAAAGATTGGGTCCAATAAGATTGCAAATGAGGGACATTCACAGCCTTTGTAGAATCATCTCTGGTTTTTACAATATCATGATTCTGGTTTTCTCAGAAGAAGTAAAACAGTGAGAGATAAATAACATTAATAATTTGACAATCAAAAGAGAATGTGTATGTCAGAATGGAAAAAGGAACCTATTCTGTTAGGGAGACAACTAAAACCATCATGCAGAAATTAATTTTAATTGAGACAAAAGATTTAGGAAAAAGTTGCTCTGTAGGTTGGAGACACAAATTTTATTTTAGACCAGCAGACTATTAGAAATGCTGGTACAAAACTCAAGAAAGGAGTCAGAATTAAAGACAAACACATAGCTGTGTCATAATCCTACCCATTTTATAACTGAGAAATATGGGAGAAAAGATTGTTGTCGCCTCTCTAATATACCCATTATAATCTTCAACCTGCTGAGTACTGGGGGATTAGGATCATGGGGGAACAAACAGATAAACAACAGCTAACACAAGAAAATGGATTTAATCAGGTTTAAAGCTTAGTCTTATGTAAGAATTTAAACATTTCGTTTCAATAATGCTTAGTGTCTTGGAATAATTGCTCAGGGTCTCAGATAGCTTCTCTTCCTAAGACAACATCTAAGTATGTGGTGCTGGGGTGGCTTCTATGATGTTACAGCTTAAGGAAGGCAGGATTCCCAGATTTGCATATTATCCCAAGGCTCCTCTGGTTGCCATGGCGATGTCCTTTGTTTGCTGGCTGCTGCTGCTCTCTCTCAGCATTTGGATTGCTTCTCCCACAGTTTGGTCAGAGCCTAGTGATGCTGCTGGTTGACAAAGCTTCTGGTATTGGGGAGCCCTCTGGATATGAGCTGGAGTCAGCTCAGGCTGGGTGGCTCACTCTGAGCCTCCATCTTCACTTCCACACAGAAGTCTCACCTGGCAAGCTCCCTAGCAAGATACTCTAGGGCTGACATTTGCCCACCTTGGGAAAGCTAAACTCATAGGCTCAGGTGCAAAGTTATTTTGATACTTTCTTGGTTATTTGCCTTTTAATTTGTTTAGTATCTATCACTGGCCGCCCTCCTTCCTCTAACACATACACACACTAGAATATAAGCTCATGATAATGGGGATCTTGTAATTCTTGTTCATTGCTGAATAACAAGCTCCAGGAAAAGTACCTGTCACATCATTGGCTAATAATAGACCTCTGTTAAATCAATGAAAGGAGGAAGGACAAAAATAATAGATGAAATCCCTAAGGAAGAACATGTCAAGTGAGAACAAGATGAGGACTAAAGTGTTTAGTACATCTTCTACTTTCTATTTTAGAGGCAGAAGGCAAAAGAGGCTCTAGGGAAGGAAAGTGAGAACTATTCAAGAGAAGTGTGCAGAGGTTGGGAGTGTAAAATTGGGGCAAGCATGCATCAGTAGACAGAGGTGATCACTGTTGCATAAAGCTTCAGAAGTTGAGCAGGAGTAACGGAATTGGCAACTTGAAGGTTATTGGTAATTTCAGGGAAAGTGGTACCAAGACATGAACCTGGGAAATTCAGTTTCAAGGAATTGTGCCATAAAAGGGAGAAGAGAATTGCAGCAGGTGAAGTCTTTTATGAAGATTGAAGTGAAGGGAAGAAGAATTAGGATATGCCACCTGACTCTTCAGAGCAAAAGACTCACGGAGGATTTTTTTTTTTTTTTTTTTTTGCCTCCAAGACAGAAGAGACTTGGTGTATTGGTATGTAGGGAGGAACTGGTGGAGAGGAAAATGAGGAAGACTGAAGAAGAAGATGGTTTATGAATTTAGGTCTCAGAACTTGACTGGGAAGGGATGAGATCAGCCTTAGAAAGGAAGATAAGAAAATAAGAATGGATGGAAAATAGGAAATCTGAAGCAAGTGGGAGGAAAATAGAAGAATTCACATCCGATTTTGCTCAGTACAAGAGGTGTCCGGCTTATTGGCTAAGAATGTGTGTGTGCAGACCCCTGTGAAAATTGCATGGTGAAACAGGGCCATGTCACAAGGTGTGGCTCCTTACTGCCCACACTTCTTTGATCCTTTATTGACTCAAAGTGAGTGGCCATGCTCCCTGGAGGTTCCTTTAGAGAGAGTGCTTTAAAGAGAGTGCTTTAGACATTCTTGTTTAAATTCAGATAGGAGACTTGGTTAAGGTCTGAGTGTCTTCTCCCTATAGCGTAATCAGTTTCTAAAGAGAGGCCTGGGTGCCTTAAGGTTCCCTAGAATCAATATGAGGATCTCAAATCTCAGACTCAACCCTCTTCATGATTCTGGATTATGTAAGTGATATGAATAATTTCAGTACTACAAATCTCAGGTTTGTCCCTCAGCAATGCTGACTCATTATTAAATAAATAAAATTTATTTATGCTAAATTTTCCTTAGTTGATTCTCTTAAGAATATCTTGTTTTAGATTATCTCATGGTAATTAAGAGTTTATGAATTATATGCTAATGGGAAAATCTAACTTCACATATCTTCTTTATTCTGATTTCATCTATACGAATTTTGTAAAATGTAATATTGGGCAAGGTAAAAGCCACTCCATAGACAAGGAATTACATAATGTGTATATTTGGAATTGAAATGTTTATTTAAAATTTTTTATTAATAAAAGTTTATATAAAGTGATGTTTGCTTTGTTTATACTTTTTGATCATCAATCATTTATTCATTTATTATATATATATTTATTTTTATATATTATTATATATTTATTAATATTATATATTTATTATATATTTATTAGTCATCTATGTGCAGGTTCTGTTCCAGGTGCTAGGAATATAAATGCAGAAAAGATGTAGTCCCTGAATCTTAGGAGTTTATGGTCTAGTTATGGGAGACAGTATAATCAAGTAATCAACTAAGTACAATGGATAGTGTATGTGCCCAAAAAAGAGAGTTGTCAATTCTGGTTAAGAAGGATGGGAAACCTCTATAAAGGAAGGTTTTACTGTTGAAATGGTGTCTGAATTCTGAAGGGCTACAAGTTATCTTCATTAGATTACTATTAGAGGATAAAATTTCGCTGGCAAAGAACTCATCTTATGCAAATTTGTGTTCCCATACAAGGGAAGAATTTGTCAGTAAATAAAAGATAAAGGCTTCCAAAGAATCACGAAGTTTAAAATTATAATAAAAGGTTTTTTTTTAACCAATACCAGTAGGTGGCAGTGTAACCTCATTAAAAAAAGACCGATGTAAGGATGAAAATGACTTTCCTGATTTTCCAGTCCTGATAATGAGGGTCTTCTGGGTTAAAAATGGATAAGAAAAAGTGGTTTTGAAATTTTTTCTCTGCAGGGCAGCTTTTCCTTGAATAAGCTGCTGTCTCATTCCTCCCCTGCTTCTCATTCATCCTGAAAGATCTACATAAAATTGACTTGGACACCTCCCCTTCCAAGGCCTGTGGGAGTCAGAAATCCTTCTCAAGATTTCTGCACGGCACTGACCCAGAAACAAAACTAAGTTCCCTGCTTGATGTCCACTAAAAGCCCATTCACATAAAACATTCATGATTTTAAGTGCCTTTAGTGAAGATTTGAGGAAAGGATAGCAGCAGAGTGTATACAGCAGCAACAAAACAACCTCTAATGGATCAGGCAGCCTCTCTTGTCTCAAAATGTTCCTTGGCCACCCACCACTATGGAATTTTACTGAATTTCTTTTTGTCAGCCTTTCTCTATCTAGTTGGCTCCTCTTTTTCCCTGCTCAGCCCTGTAATTTCAATTTTTTTCTCTCTTCTCCATTCCTTCTTCACTCTACCTCTTTCTTCTTTTCTTTACCTCCCTTTTCCCTCCTCTTCCCTCCCTCTTGCTCTTTCTTTCTCCCCTCCAAACCCACCAGTGTGCTCTGTGGTAGTGAGCCCTTCACTTAACAAAATCCCTCCTCTTTCTCCTCCTCCTCCCCACCATTGCCAAAAGGCAGCAGTGCCAGTTTATTACCCTGAAACAGAAAGCACGACAGTAATTTCAGTGTAATAAAAATGCTTTAAAAAACACTTCCCTGCAGATTTTTTTTAAATTAAGAAAATTGTGGTGGTTGCAGGTTTTTGCTAAGCAGGGTATTAATGAGTTTGTTAATATTCTCTACTCCTCCATCCATCTTCCATTTGCCTAGAAAATAAATCCCAGTTACTATCTGACTATCAGTATTTACCTTATTTGCCATTGATGTTGTTTTTGTTTTGTTTTTCCTTTAGGGTTTGTCTTGGTCCATTTTATGCTGCTATAACAGAACACCACAGACTGAGAAATTTATAAGGAATAGAAGTTTATTTGCCTCATGTTTCTGGAGGCTGGGAATTCCAAGATCAAGGGGCTGCATAGATTGAGGTCCTTTTTGCTGACTCATAACGTGGAAAGAGAGTGCACTGCATAGAAGAAAGGAGGCCAAACTCATTCTTTTATCATGAGCCTACTCCTGAAATAACTCACTCTCAAGATAATGGCATTAATCCATTCATGAAGGCAGAATACTCATGATGTAATCACCTCTTAAAAGGTCCTATTTCCTAACACTGTTGCATTAGGGATTAAGCTGTCAACACATGAATATTGGGGGACACATTCAAACCATAGCAAGAGTTCTTTGTCTTTGTGACTCGGTGTGGTTCAGCAAATTGCGATTGGTCTGCTATAGCGGACTTTCCCCTCACCTCCCAAATGTTTATTATGAAAAATTTCATTTTAAAGAAAGGTGGAAGGAATTGTTGAAAGAATATGTCATCTAGTTTCTACTGTTGTTAACATTGTGTCATATTTGCCTTTTCATCCATCCAACCACCCATCCATCTAGCTACCTTATAATTACTATTATTACTTATTATTACTATTATTTTTAAAGACACCTCTATTAAAGCAACCATCTTATTTTTTGATTTTATTTATTTTCAAAGTTAGTTGCAGACATTAGTATACTTTACTCCTAGACATTTTAGCGTGAACATAATTAACTGGAGTATAATACTTGTTTTCAATTTCTTTTTATTTTTGAGGTAAAATTTACATACAGTGAAATCCAAATCTTAAGTGTACCACTAGATAAATTTTGATAAATGCATTATGCCTGGTCTTCACACACCCTTTTCAATATATAGAAAATTTCCAGATAATTTATTTTGTTGTTTTTTTCACACACTAAGTTCTAGACTTTTCCAGGTCCGAGGGAACTATTAGGGGGGAAAGTACTTGTTATAGTAAAAAAGATTTTAGGTGTGTTTGTTTTTAAGGTGCAGAAACACATCGCAGATTAAGGTCTGCATCTCTGCTTTTTGTTATTGTTCCAGTTTGATCTCAGTGACATTACAAGCAAGCAGAAACACTCAGACATGAAATGGCCAGTGCCTGTGAGTTAAGAGCAGGATCTAGGTCTATTTTTTTGATATGTATCTCAACTACCTGGAATACTTTATACTTTTGGCACTCAATAAATATTTGTTGCTGCCAGACGATCTGCCACAAAAATTTACTGGGTCTATTTTATGGCTATTGTTTGTTCACCTTGAAAATAATCATGGGATCATAGAAGTCAAAGTCATGGAGAGCAGCACAGAGGTTTCTCAGCTGTTGATAAGTTCTTTACAGTAAAGCAGGGTTAAATGTAGAAGGTATGATACTGAGAGCTTCTCAAAGGTACAGAGGTGAATAGAGGAAAAAGAGCAGATAAATTCAGACAGAATGTCGTTAAGGTCCTAGCAGAAAAAAGACCTGAATTCGGAGTTCTCTTATGCTTTCTACTGGAGTTCCAACTCTGTGCTTGACCTTTCCAGGGCCTGCAGGTGCATGAAGATGGGTGGTTACTATTCCTAGAAAATGTTTATGTAGAAAAATACTGATACATGCTGATATGGTTTGACTGTGTCCCCACCCAAATCTCATCTTGAATGGAACATATTGCAAAGTGGTAGCATGATATTTTACTAAACTAAGTTACTGTCAAGACATTCAGAGATATTTTTAAATGGTACACCAAATTTCAACACCCTAAATGCTCACTCAAGCTGATTACAAATGATTGCTTGCCATTCTTTGTGTATGAGTGTGATTACCACCTGCAGTAACTTAAAGACGACTATTCAGGGTGAAATCTGCCTCTGAATTGCCATCCTGGTCACAAATCTTTTCCTTCCCAAGTGGAAATCTTCTCCAGAAGAAATAATAACAATAGTATTTTGGTTAGTGTTCAGTTGTGGAGAGTAAAACTCACTCTAGCTAGTTTAAGCAGTAAGGTGTTCATCACGGAGCATTAAATGGCCCACAGATTTTAGGTTGAGTGTCCAGGAATGGTTCCCAAAGCCACATTGGCTGTCAAGGGATTATGCCTTTGCTACCATTAGAAAGCCATGGTATAAGAAAGATACCATCACAGCTGTTAGCTCTAGAGCCTCTGCTATCAGTGGAAAATAGCCTACCAAGTTAGGAAACCTTTGCTACAGCTGCTGTCCCAGGCTGCCACTGCAGTTCTAAGGCACATCAACAAAATTGGATTCCAGACTCTAGGCTGAGTGTCATTCCTGGACACTCAACCTAGAAGTTTAACATCTAATTGTAGGAACTTAAATCTAGAATCCTAGGTGCAAGGGATTGGGAAATGGTGCAAGGGATTTAGTCCCATTATATTAAAAGAAGTTAGAATGCATGCTTACTGGCCAGTGTTTACTAGAAATATCTAACATTTGTCAAGAACCTGTACGTGAGTCACGGTAATTACTTCTTCACATGAATGATCTGAGTCTTACAACCACCCAATTAGGTAGTTACGTCCTATTAGTGAGATACTATTATTATAGCCACTTTTACAGGTGAGGAATCTGCTGGTAGGAAAAGTTATTTTCTCAAGCTCGGGTCACAGAACAGAACATGGTGAAATTGGCATTTGAACCTAAGTGTGTTTGACTCTAAATTCTGGAATCTGGTCTCTTAACAATCATACTATACTGTTTCTACTATCTTTACCAATTAAGTGAAAAGAAAATTAGTTTAAAAGATATTTGGATATCATCAATCATCAAGACACTGTGCTAAGATCATACATAAATTTTTTTTTTTTTTGAGACAGTCTTGCCTGTCACCCAACCTGAAGTGCAGTGGCATGATCTCGGCTCACTGCAGACTCCGCATCCTAGGTTCAAGCAATTCTCCTGCCTCAGTCCCCAAGTAACTGGGATTACAGGTGTGTGCCACCATGCCTGGCTAATTTTTGTATTTTTAGTAGAGATGGGGTTTCACCATGTTGACCAGACTGGTCTCGAACTCCTGACCTTGTGATCTGACTGCCTTGGCCTCCCAAAGTGCTGGGGTTACACGTGTGAGGATGGCATTAATCTAGAGGTAAACTATAGGCACAATTATTATACAAGGTAGGAAGTAAATGTCATAAGAGAGTATAGACAAAATGCCCTTGGAATTATTTGGAGAGATTTACTCAGAGAATTCAGAAAGAAGTTTAGCTAACACTGGGCTTTGAAGGGTAAATGGTTTTTGAACATTCAGAAAAGGAAGAAGGTTACTTGTATCAGGCTGTTCTCATGCTGCTAATAAAGACATACATGAGACTCAGTAATTTATAAAGAAAAGAGGTTTAAATGACTCACAGTTCAGCATGTCTTGGGGAGGCCTCATGAAACTTACAATCATGGCAGAAGAGGAAGCAAACACATCCTTCACATGGAGGCAGCAAGGAAAAGTGCAGAGCTGATATGATTTGGCTGTGTCCCCACCCAGATCTCATCTTGAATTCCCATGTGTTGTGGGAGGGACCCAGTGGGAGATGATTGAATGATGGGGGCAGATATTTCCCGTGCTGTTCTCATGATAGTGAATAAGTCTCATGAGATCTTATGGTTCTACAAGGGGGAGTTTCCCTGCACAAGCTCTCTCTCTTTGCCTGCTGCCATCCATGTAAGATGTGACTTGCTCCTCTTTGCCTTCCACCATGATTTTGAGGCTTCCCCAGCCACGTGGAATTGTGAGTTCTCTGTTAAACCTCTTTCCTTTGTAAATTGCCCAGTCTCAGGTATGTTTTTATCAGCAGAATGAAATGAACTAATACAGTAAATTGGTACTGGTAGCATGGGGTGCTGCTGAAAAGATACCTGAAAATGTGCAAGCGACTTTGGAACTGTGTAACGGGCAGGGATTGGAACAGTTTGGAGGGCTCAGAAGAAGACAGGAAAATGTGGGACAGTTTGGAACTTCCTAGAGACTTGTTGAATGGCTTTGCCCAAAATGCTGATAGTGATATGGAAAATAAAGTCCAGGCTGAGGTGGTCTCAGATGGAGATGAGGAACTTGGGAACTGGAGCAGAGGTGACTCTTGTTATATTTCAGCAAAGAGACTGGCAGCATTTTGCCCCTGCCTTAGAGATTTGTTGAACTTTGAACTTGAGAGATGATTTAGGGTATCTGGCGGAAGAAATTTCCAAGCAGCAAAGCATTCAAGATGTAACTAGGATGTGGTTAAAGGCATTCAGTTTTATAAGGGAAGCAGAGCATGAAAGTTTGGAAAATTTGCAGCCTGACAATGTGATAGAAAAGAAAATCCCATTTTATGAGGAAAAATCCAAGCCGGCTGCAGAAATTTGCATATGTAATGAGGAGCTGAATGTTAATCCCCAAGACAATGGGGAAAATGTCTCCAGGGCATGTCAGAGGTCTTCATGGCAGCCCTTCCCATTACAGGCCTAGAGGCCTAGGAGGAAAAGTGGTTTTGTGGTCTGGGCCCAGGGTCCCGTGCTGTGTGCAGCCTAGGGACTTGGTGCCTTATGTCCCAGCCACTCTAGCTGTGGCTAAAAGGGGCCAATGTAGAGCTCAGGCCATGGCTTCAGAGGGTGCAAGCCTGAAGCCTTGGCAGCTTCCATGTGGTGTTGAGCCTGCCAGTGCACAGAAATCAAGAATTGGGGTTTGGAAACATCTTCCTAGATTTCAGAGGATGTATGGAAATGCTTGGATGTCCAGGCAGAAGTTTGCCACCGGGGCAGGGCCCTCATGAACCTCTGCTAAGGCAGTGCAGAAGGAAAATGTCAGGTGGGAGCCCCCACACATAGTCCCCACTGGGGCACCATGTAGTGGAGCTGTGAGAAGAAAGTCACCATCCTGCAGACCCCAGAATGGTAGATCCACTGACAGCATGCAATGTGTGCCTGGAAAAGCTGCAAACACTCAACACCAGCCCATGAAAGCAGCAGGGAGTGGGGCTGTACCCTGCAAAGCCACAGGGGTGGAGCTGCCCATGACCATAGGAACCCACCTCTTACATCAGCATGCCCTGGGTGTGAGACATGGAGTCAAAGGAGATCATTTTGGATCTTTAAGGTTTGACTGCCCCACTGGATTTTGGACTTTCATGGGGCCTGTAACCCCTTTGTTTTGTCCAATTTCTGCCGTTTGGAATGGCTGTATTTATCCATTGCCTGTACCCCTATTGTATCTAGGAAGTAACTAACTTGCTTTTGATTTTACAGGCTCACAGGCAGAAGGGACTTGCCTTGTCTCAGATGAGACTTTGGACAGTGGACTTTCGAGTTAATGCTGAAATGAGTTAAGACTTTGGGGGACTGTTGGGAAGGCATGATTGGTTTTGAAATATGAGGACATGAGATTTGGGATGGCCCAGGGGCAGAATGATATAGTTTGGCTCTGTGTCCCCACCCAAATCTCATATTGAATTCGCATGTGTTGTGGGAGGGACCTGGTGGGAGGCAATTGAATCATGGGGGCAGGTCTTTCCTGTGCTGTTCTCATGGTAGTGAATAAGTCTCACAAGATCTGATGGTTCCATAAGGGGGAGTTTCCCTGCACAAGCACCCTCTCTTTGCCTGCTGCCATCCATGTAAAACGTGACTTGCTCCTCCTTGTCTTCCACCATGATTGTGAGGGTTCCCCAGCCACATGGAACTATAAGTCCAGTTAAACCTCTTTCTTTTGTAAATTGCCCATTCTTAGGTATATCTTTATTAGCAGCATGAAAACAGACTAATACAAGAGTGACGGGGGGGAAAGCCCCTTATAAAACTATCAGATCTTGTGAGAACTCACTATCACTAGAACAGCATGGAGGTCACCATCCCCATTATTCATTTACCTCCCACCAAGTCCTCCTGTGACATGTGGGGATTATGTGAACTCAAGTCCAAGATGAGATTTGGGAGAGGACGGAGCTAAACCATATCAGTAGTTAATAGTCACAGAAGCTGGAAATCCTGAGGCATGTGTGGACTAATTGCACATATTCCAATTTGGTTAGCACGAACAGCAAATAAAATGGAGCAGAGGAAAATATGGCTGAAAAGGCTTTGAATGCTAAGTCATTTGGAATTCCTTTTGTAGATTGTCAGGAACCCTGAAGGTCCTTGAGCAGAGGGGTTACATGAGAGCTCTGTTATATGAAGATATTAGGATCTTTTGGATAATCTGGAGTTGGAGGACTAGAGATCAAATTAGATTGGAGCTACATCTTTACAAAAAATAAAGAAATTAGCAGGCATGGTGATGTGCACCTGTAGTCCGAGCTACTTGGGAGGCTGAGGTGAGAGGATCACTTGAGCCTGGGCAGTTGAGACTGCAGTGAACCATGATGGTGCTACTGTACTCCAGCCTGGGTGACAGAGAGAGAGCCTGTCTCAAAAAAAAATTGGAAGCTGATATAATGACTTTTGAGAACTGACAGACAGATACTCTAATTTGATGACAGTGGAAGTGAGATGAACTGGGTATGAGGATTAGAAAAAAGAGAGCTGGACTTAGCAGTTCTTAACAACTAATTAGATGTTGATAGCAAGGAAGAGAGAAGAGTCAGATTATTCTGAGGTTTCCTTCCTGGGTCATGAGAACAATGATTTCATTAATAAAAGTGTATAAGGGCATAAGAAGTGCGTAAGTTCTTAAGAAGAATATACTTACATGGGAAATTAATGAGTTCGATTTTGGATTTTTCAAGTGAAAACACTGGTGTGACAACCCAAGAGACATGGCCAACAAATTTGGAAATGTGGAATGGGAGATCAGAAGAGAAGTCAGACTAGAAGCATAAGATTTTAAATTTATCTGCATATAGCAGTACTCAAGATAGCTGCACTTCAGTAGCACCTAGAGAGCTTTAAAAAGTACATGTGCTGGACCCCAGAGATTCTGATTTAATTGGTAAGGCTAAAAATTTTGATTTAATCAGTTTGGTCAGTGATGCAGATTTAATTAGTATAGGGTAAGGACCTGGTATTTTTATAGTTTGTAAAGCTCCCCAGATGATTCTAATGTACAACCATGTTTGATAACTACTGACAGAGGTAATTCATGAGCATGAGGTTGGGCAGGATTTGAAAAGGATAGTATAAAAAGAGAGAAAAGAAAGTTAATGGTAGAGCCCTTTATAGCATTTATGTTCAATGAGTAGAAAGAGAAGTCAGACAATAGGCAAAGAGGTAGAAAATAAACCAGGAAAAGAGCCAGAGAGTTGAGAGGAGTCAGCAATGCCACATGCCACAGAGAGCAGAGGAGACTTCTAAGAAAGGATTTAATAGAGGCAGGGGGTGGCATTGGAGGACATGTTATAATTTGCTTTGTACATGCTTGTTCACTGTTCACTCCTGGTTAAGTTACAAATTCATAATTAAAAGGAAGAAGCTGAGAGATGAAAAGCTGAGAAAGTGCTTAGACAGGCAAGTTTACTGGGGTAAGCCTTCAGATGAGTGAAATGATTTCAGAACTTAGTTGGAGTTTTGGAATCCAGGATTTCAGAAATGTAGCAAACCTGCATGATGACAATCCAGTGGGCATAGTTCTGAGAGAGGAGTGCTGTAGTGGCCAAACATGTTTTAGGAGTCTAGGTCAGACAACTGTGAGGTTACAGTTCAGTGGATCTTCACATGTATGATTAAATCAGCTATGATGTGACAAGACTTGTAGTATAAAGGAGAATGCTGAACCAGATGCCTGAAGTCTTTTCTTTAACTGCTTATTTTAAAAATTGTCACATTGTAAGTGTATATGTTTATAGGGTACAATTTGATGTTTCAGTACATATCTGTATATGGATCATGTTGTATAATGATCCCATCAGGATAGTTAATGTGTCCTTCACTTCATGCATTTGTTTGTGGTGAGACCATTCAAAAACCTCTCCTCTAGCTATTTTGTGATACACAATATTTTGCTGTCAACCCTAGTCACCCTACTGTGCAATAGAACACCAGAATTTATTCCTCCTATCTAATTGTAACTTTGTACCTGTTGATTAACCTCTCCCCATCTTTCTCTCCTCCCTTCCCTCCCTTCCCTCCCTTCCCTCCCCAGTTTCTGGTAACCATTGATCTACTCTCTGCTGCTATAAAATCAACATGTGAATTTTTTCAGATTCCATGTCTAAGTGAGATCATACGGTATTTGCCTTTCTGTATCTGGCTTATTTCACTTAACATGATGTCATCTAGATTCATCACAGATTACATTACATTGATGTTGTTGCAAATAACAGGATTTTATTCTTTTTTATGGCTGAAGAGTATTCCATTGTGCATATATACCACATTTTCTGTATTCATCCATTGTTGGACATGTAAGTTGATTCCATATCTTGGCCATTGGAACTAGTGCTGCAATAAACATGGGGAAGTATATATGTCTTCATCGTACTGATCTCATTTACCTTGTATATATACCCAGTAGTGAAATTATTTGATAGGTAGTGGTTCTATTTTTAATTTTTTGAGGAACCTCCATATAGTTTTTTATAATGGCTGTATTAGCTTACAATCCTACCAGCAGTGTGTAAGTGTTCCCCTTTTTTCACATCCTTATCAACACTTGTTTTCTTTTGTATTTTTGACAATAGCCATTCTGACTGGCATGAGGTTGCATCTCATTGTGGTTTTGATTTGCATTTTCCTGATAATTAGAGATGTTGCACATTTTTTCATACACCTGTTGGGCATTTTTGGTGTCCTTTTGAGAAATATCTACTCAGGTCATTTGCTCACTTTTAAATCAGATTTTTTTTCTGCTATTGAGTTATGCAAGTTTTTAAAAACATAATCTGGGCAGTAACTCCTTGTCAGATACATAGTTTGCAAATATTTTCTCCTATTCTGTAGGTTTTATTTTCTCTCTGTTGTTTCCATTGCTGTGTAAAAGCTTTTCATATTGCTGTAATCCCATTTGTCTGTTTTTGCTTTTGTTGCCTGCACTTTTGAAGTCTTATTTTAAAAAAATTATTACCCAGCCCCATGTCGTGAAGTGTTTCCTCTATGTTTTATTCTATTTTATAGTTTCAGATTTTACATTTAAATCTTAATCCATTTTGATTTGATTTTTGTATATGGTGCAAGGTAGAGATCTAGTCTCATTCTTCTGTATATGGATATCCACTTTTCCCAGCACCATTTATTGAAGAGTCTTTTTACTTTTTAATTTTAGGTTCAAGGGGTGCAGGTGCAGGTTTGTTACACAGGTAGATTGTGTGATGCTGAGGTTTGAAATTCTAATGATCCCATGACCCAAGTGGCAGATACAGTACCTGATAGGTAGTTTTCAACACTTACCCCTCCCTCTTTTCTCCCTTTTTTTGGAATTCCTAGTGTCTGTTGTTCCTGTCTTTGTTCCATTTGTACCCAGTATTTAGCTTCCACTTACGAGAATATGTGGTATTTGGTTTTCTGTTGCTGCGTTAATTTGCCCATGACAGTGGCCTTCAGTTGCATCCATGTTACTTCAAAGGACATGATTTCATTCTATTTTTATGTCTGTGTAGTATTCTATGCTGCGTAAGTACCACATTTTCTTTATCCAATCCACCATTGATAGGTGCCTGGGTTGATTTCATGTCTTTGCTATTGTGAATAGTGCTGCACTAAACATGTGAATGCATGTAACTTTTTGGTATTAATAGAATGATTGATTTTTCTTTGGGTATATACCCAGTAATAGGATTGTTGGGTTGAATGATAATTTTATTTTCTGTTCTTTGAGAAATCTCCAAACTGCTTTTCACAGGGGCTGAGGTAGTTTACATTCTCACCAACATTGTATAAGCATTCCCTTTTCTCTGCAACCTCACCGTTATCCATTATTTTTTGACTTTTTATTAATAGCCATTCTGGCTGGTATTAGATGGTATCTCACCGTAGTTTTGATTTGCATTTCTCTAATGATTAGTGATGCTGAGCATTTTTTTTGTATGTTTCTTGGCTGCTTGTATGTCTTCTTTTGAGCAGTGTCTGTTCATATCCTTTGCCCATTTTTTTTTTTTTTTTGAGACAAGGCCTTGCCCTGTTGCCTAGGCTGGAGTGCAGTGGCATGATCATGACTTGCTGCAGCCTCGACCTCTGGGGCTCAAGCAATCCTCCCACCTTAGCCTCTTGAGTAGCTGGGACCACAGGTGTACGTAAACACACCCAGCTAATTTTTAGTTTTTTGATGGAGGCGAGGTCTCATTTTATTGCCCAGGCTGGTCTTGAACTCCTGGGCTCAAGGAACTCACCCACCTCTGCCTCCCAAATTGCTGGGATTACAGCTGTGAGCCACCATGCCCGGCCTGCCCAATTTTAATGGGGTTATTTGACTTTTGCTTGTTGATTTGTTTAGTTCCTTATAGATTCTGGGCACTAGTCCTTTGTTGGATGTATAGTTTGTACATATTTTCTCCCATTCTGTAGGCTGTCTGTTTACTCTGTTGATAGTTTCTTCTGTTGTGCAGAAGCTCGTTGGTTAAGTAGGTCTCACTTGTCAGTTTTTGCTTTTGTTGCACTTACTTTTGAGGACTTAATCATAAATTCTTTGCTTAGGCCAATGTCTGGAAGAGTATTTCTTAGGTTTTCTTTTAGGATTTTCATAATTTGAAGTCTTACATTTAAGTCTTTAATCCATCTTAGTTGATTTTTGCATATGGTGAAAGGTAGAGGTCCAGTTTCATTCTTCTGCATATGGTTAGCCACTTTTTGCAACACCATTTATTGAATAGGGTTTCCCCATTGCTTATTTTTGTTGACTTTGTCAAAGATCAGATGGATATAGGTGTGCAGCTTTATTTCAGGGGTCTGTATCCTGTTACCTTGGTCTATGTGTCTGTTTTTGTATCAGTATCATGTTTTGTTTACTGTAGCCTTGTAGTATAATTTGAAGTTGGGTAATGTGTTGCTTCCAGCTTTGTTCTTTTTGCTTAGGATCATTTTGACTATTCAGGCTTTTTTTTGTTCAGTATGAATTTTAGAATAGTTATAATTCTGTGAAAAATGACATTGGTAATTTCATAGGAATAGCATTGAATTTGTAGATTGCATTGAGCAGTATGGCCATTTTAATTATATTGATCCTTCCAATCCATGTATGTGGAATGTTTTTCCATGTGTTTGTGTCATCCCTGATTTCTTTCAGCAGTGTTTTGTAGTTCTCATTGCAGCAATCTTTAATCTCTTTGGGTAGATGTATTTCTAGGTATTTTTTTCTTTTCAACTGTTGTGAATGGGAGTGTGTTTTTGATTTGGGCAAGAGAGCAAGACTCCGTATCCCCCCCCAAAAAAGAAAAAAAAATGCTACTGACTTTTATACATTGATTTTGCATTCTGAAACTTTGCTGAAGTTGTTTATCAGGTCTAGGAGTCTTTTGGCAGAACCTTTGGGTTTTTAAGGTATAGAATGCTATCATCAGTGAAGAGAGACAATTTGACTTCCTTTTTTTCTATTTGGATAACTTTTATTTTTGTCTCCTGACGATTGCTTTGGCTAGGACTTCCAGTACTATGTTGAATACAAGTAGTGAGGTTGACATCCTTGTTTTTTTCCAGTTCTTAGATGCCTCCAACTTTGCCTATTCACTATGATGTTAGCCATGGGTTTGTCAGAGGTGGCACTTATTATTTTTAGCTATGTTCCTTTGATGGCTAGTTTGTTGAGGAATTTTATCATGAAGGGATATTAGAGTTTATCAAAATCTTTTTCTGCATCTATTGGGAGTTAGGGAGGAGTCTCTCCTTGAATTTTTGGAATGTTTCAATAGGATTGGTTCCAGCCCTTCTTTGTATGTGCGGTAAAATTTGGCTGTGAATCCATCTGGTCCAGGGCTTTTTTTTTGGTTGGTAGGTCTTTTTTATTACTGATTCAATTTCATTACTCATTATCAGTATGTTCAGGATTTCTGTTTCTTCCTGCTTCAATCGTAGGAGGTTTTGTGTTTTCAGGAATTTATTCATTTCCTCTAGATTTTTCTAATCTGTATGCATAGCAATGTTCATAGTAGACTCTGGGGGCCTTTTATGTGTCTGTGGAATCAGTTGTAATGTCACCCTTTGTCATTTCTGATTGTGCTTACTTGGATAATCTTTTTTTTCTTTGTTAATCTAGGTAGCCATCTATCAATCTTGTTTATCCTTTCAAAGAACTAATTTTTTACTTCATTGATTCTTTGTATGGTTTTTGGATCTCAATTTCATTTAGTTCTGCTCTGATTTTAGTTATTTCTTTTCTTCACCTCCAAGATTTCAGTTTGGTCATTTTAATATCATTCTTTTTAATGTCTATCTCTTTGTTGAATTTCTCATTCAGAACATGAATGTTTTCTTAGTTTCATTAAATTGTTTGTGTTCTCTTGTATCTCACTGAATTTCCTTAAGATCATTATTTTGAACTTCTTTTCAAGCATTTCATAAATGTCCTTTCCTTCGGAGCCTGTTACTAGAGACTATGTTCCTTTGGGAGTGTCATGTCCTTACTTTTTCTTGTTTCTTGTGTCCCTTTGTTGATATCTGCACATCTAATAGAATAGGGATTTTTTTTTGTTTGTTTTATGGAGTAGCTTTTGTAGGAAGAGATCTTTTTCTTGTAGACGCATCTAGAGTATTAATTGGGTATGGTGCGTTGGCTTTATTTCTGGTGAACTCAGTAACATGGTCCCCATGCAGTTTCTTCAGCTATTATTCTCATCAGTGATGTCTGTGATTGCTTCAGTGACCTAGGCTGTGGGAGTTTTGATGGTATTGGCACAGGTTTGCTGGGAGCAGGGGCACTGGTCTGGTTGTCAGGCTGGGTACATGCAGTCACAGAGGGCTGACAGGCTATCTGGTGGGCTTTCTGGAGAGGCAGAGCTGCCGCTGGACTGGATGTTGGGGTGAGTGTGGGTGTGGTGGTGCCAGGTGGCCCTGCAGTGGTGTATCCACGAAAGCAGGGATACCACAGGACTAGCTGTCAGGCTGGGCATGGGCACATATGGGCTCAGTGATCTAGTCAGCTTTGCAGCACAGGTGTTTGTGAAGTGGCTGGCCAGCTGTTCAGCGGCTTCCTTACTGTATAGGTTTGCCTGTTCCCTGGGAGTGGGGGTAGTGTGCTATGTAGGTTCAGATGCCAGGGTCTCAGTTGTTATGTGGCCTAGGCTTCACACAGCTGGGGTCATAGTGCTGCAGGCATCCAGATGAACTTGGTAGAATGATGGCGAGTCTCAGAGACAGTGAGATTCTGTCACAGAGATAGAGACTGGCTCTTAGTGCAGGGCACACTCTAGCTGAGGGTCCAGTGTCAACAAGGCATTGAGCATAGCAGCTTACATTGTTGAGGTGGGAGGTGCTCAAGGTAGGCTTTTCTGAGGCAATGCAGCTAAGCAAACTCCTGATTACTCTCCAAACTGAATTTGGAGCTTTTGAGGACTGGAGGACTCTCCTGTAGCAAGGACTGGCATTTGTGGTGGTAATGGGCACCACTGCATATATCCAGCATACCTCTTCCCTGTAAGAAGTTCCCCCTGACTTCAAGCTGATCTTGGGAGACAATGTGGCAAAGTCAGGGTGCCTTTCTCACCTCTCTATGGTGCTATCTGTGCTTCTGTTCTCCACAGGGATATTGCTGCTCCCCTGGTGTCTGCTAGCATACTTCCTCAGTCACTTTAGTTGACATATAGTTGTTTATTTATTGTTTTGGTCCCTTCATGTGGGAGAGAAGTCAAATCGACTTGGCAACCTTGATGATGTCACTACCTGGGATGCATGGAGTCTTACTGATTTTGAGGGAGTGGTTTGGAGGTTGGTAATCATGGTAATGTGGATGGGAAGAGAATAGTGGTTATATATAGACATGAGAGTTTCAAAGGAGAGGGCATTGTTGAGGGATATTTTTTAAAATCTGAAAATCACAGTGTGGACTGAGAGTGGTAGCCCAGCATTTCCTTCTCTGGTTACATGGATTCAAAGGTGAGTGAAAGCATGTTTTCTTTCTCTCAGCATCTTTGTTACTTCACTTCTCGAATAAGTTTCTCTTTGTTAGAATTAGGTTCAGAATAGCAATTTCCTTATTGGTTACTCTGTTTTCTGAGAAGTAGAATTATCAACAAAGAAACAGGAATATTTCAGATCATCTACTATGTAAGAATCAAATGAGATTGTGTATTTCAGAGTGTTTTAAAAAGAGCAAAGTATTCCAAATATCTTTATTCCTATTAATCACGTTAAAAATGGAATGAGAACTGAACTACCCATAAAGTTTCTACAAATGATGCCATTATTTTATAGATGAGTAAAATTTTAATTGAAAAAACCCAACATTGTATAAATTATTAAGTTCTTAAGTTCTTAAGCCCTTTTATACTTGGTCCTGTGATCCTGGGGTGGTGACTCTGTGGACCCCATTTTGACTTTATAAGCTGCTTTCTGTTGGGGTATACCAGTAGGGGGTTTAAAAGGGAGACTGGTAGGCCGGGTGAGAAAGGACTTGATTCTTTCCATGGGCTTGCAGCTTTCTTTCTGCCTTCTGTCTGTTCCTGTGAGCATCAGTCCTGCAACACTTCCTCACCAGGCAGGTAAAATTCCCTCCTATATATATATTTTGAGATTGCGTCTCCTCTGTAGCTCAAGCTGGGGTGCAGTGGTGTGATCTTGGCTCACTGCAACCTCTGCCTCCGCAGAAAATTCTTGTGCCTCAGCCTCCTGAGTAGCTGGGATTACAGGCATGGGGCACCACACCTGGCTAATTTTTTGTAGAGACGGGATTTTGCCATGTTGGCAAGGCTAGTCTTAAACTCCTGGCCTCAAGTGGTCCACCAGTCTTGGCCTCCCAAAGTGCTGGGATTATAGACATGAGCCACTGTCCCTGGTCTCCTCCTATAGTTTATCTAAAGCTAGTATGCAAATTTTCCAACACCCGAAGAAAAAAATTTATCATGTACAATCCCCTTTGTTCCCAACATGTGCACCAAGCAAGTGGCATCTCTTCTTCAGAGGTTTGGGTCCCCATGGGATCCTTCTTCCACATTTCTAAGTTTTAACAACCTCTTCCCTTGTTTCCCCAACTCTATCAGTGGTACCTATTTCTGTAAAGTTGCTCTATCTATGATTTCTTAGGGGGTCTCTTTTGTCCTCCAGTTTTCAGTTCTTTGTATTAAATTCTTTCTGTCCAAATGGCTGATATGGTTTCTGCCTCTTTATTGAACCCAGACTAATAGAATTGTCATACTAATTTGTTAATTAGCAAGACAATTTAGGGTCATATCTTAACTGTACATTCTGTCTAGTATTTACTATTTATACTGTTATCCATAATACTTAGTGAATAATGATGACATACACTAAAAATTAATTAAAACACAGATATTATCTATAATAATAAAAACCAAGTTTAGCACTATGAAAAACTTACTACATTGCTTTTATTTTTATCATTTTATTTCATAGTGGTGAAAACTTCATCAGAACCTCACCAACCTGTGGTTCCATTTAGGAACTACCTAATTAATAAAAAGGATTAGGCTTTATGTTAAAATCTTTCACTTCAGCCAAGAATAGCAAGTTTAGTAATTGAATGGACATTTCTGAGCTCCAAATCAATCCAAGATTAAGCTCTGAATTTACTTTTGAAAGACAGAATATAAATGCCCATCATAAAAATTCAGTTTGAGGTGGTTAATTTGAAAATTTCTGAGATCAGTGTTGTTCTTTTAGTATCTTTCTTCCCTATGGAACTTTTAAATTTAAGATAGAAATCTTCAGTTTAGAAATCAGGGGAAAATGGTGAATAGGAGGCAGGACTAACTTGCAGCTGCCACTTGGATAGACAAACAAGGTGTGGAGACTCACATCATGAACTTTTATTCCAAGAACTAACACAGGAACATAGCAGAAAAACTGAAAGAATTCACAAACCCTTTGAAAGAAACAGCTTGCTGCTGCAAACTCCATGAGACAGCTGAAAAATTTTTCCCCAAAGTGTGAGAAGGTGAAAGTCAGCCTCTGTCCAGACACCCTCACTGGAGGCCTGAAAATCCAGATCACGAGAGAAGGATTTAACTTTACCTAGAGCTGAAATGAATGTAGAGAGCTGAGCGAAACATAAAAGTAGAAGAAGCAGTGGGAAGAGCCCTGTAGGCACTCCCAGTCCCCAGAAAGGCCCAGGGAAGCCATTTCTGACTTTATCTCACAAGGGTCCTTGAGGAGGACTGCCAGTGGAATTTGGGGAGTGCCAGAGGGAGAAATAAACTTTCAGCTGAATGTTGTAATAATTTCAGCTGAGTGCAAATTTTCCAGGGCAGAATCTCAGGGTTGGGAAGGTGAATGGAAAGTGCAGGTATGAGCAAAGACACCATGGTGGAGGAGGGGGTGAAGCCTGAAAGTCCTGGTTGTTCTCTCAGTGAGGAGACTTGTAGCCTGGGGCAAGTTCTCAGCCCTGCTCACTGGTTGCCTGGATATAAACTCGATGCTGTTGGGGGAGCATGGTGGGCATGAGATTGGTCTGTTTAGCTGCATGGGAGAGGGGTGAGGCCTGTCACTGCTGGCTTTCCCCCACTTCCCTGGTGACCTAATATCCGGAATCTACAAGAAACTCAAATTAGCAAGAAAAAAAAATCCCCTCAAAAAGTGGGCTAAAGACATTAATAGACAGATCTCAAAAGAAGATATTTAAATGGCCAACAAACATATAAAAAATTGTCAACATCACTAATTATCAGGAAATGCAAATTAAAATTGCATTGTGATATCATCTTACTTCTGCAAGAATGGCCATAATAAAAAAAATAAAAAAAAATAGATGTTGAAATGGATGTTGTGAAAAGGGAACACTTTTACACTGTTAGTGGGAATGTAAGCTAGTACAACCACTATGGAAAACACTGAGGAGATTCCTTATAGAACTAAAAGTAAGTCTACCATTTCATGCAGCAGTTTCACTGCTGAGTATCTACCGAGAGCAAAAGAAGTCATTATACGAGAAAGATACTTGCACATGCATGTTTATAGCAACACAGTCTGCAGTTGCAAAAATATGGAACCAGATCAAATGCCCATCAATCAATGAATGTATAAAGAAAATGTGGTATATATATACTATATGGTATATATGTATTCCATGGAATACTACTCAGCCATAAAAAGGGACAAAATAATGGAATGTATAAAGAAAATGTGATTTTATATAAATATATATATATATATACATACACACACACACACACACACATACACACCATGGAATACTACTCAGCCATAAAAAAGAACAAAATAATGGTATTCACGGCAACCTGGATGGAATTGGAGACCATTATTATAAGTGAAGTAGCTCTGGAATGGAAAACCAAACATCGTATGTCCTCACTCATGAGTGGGATTTAAGCTCTGAGCACACAAAGGCATAAGAATGATACAGTGGACTTTGGGGATTCACTAGAGATTTATTAGGATTTATTAGAGAAGTAAAGAAACGAAAGAATGAGCTGCTTAAATCAAAGCCAAAATGCATTTCCTATTTACCAAAGAATCCAGTTAAAAGTAGTATTTAAAGAATAAATTCCCTGAAGATGTAACAACCTAAGATTTTATCCTCAAATGAGAATAAATTACCACTTTCTGGTAATTTCAAATCATCCTTTCTTCATTCAGTTTCTTCCTCCCTCTTTTTTTCTTCCATTGGGGTATTTTCTTGAAGAAACTGTAGCCAATTCTGGTTAGTCTAAGTCAAAACATAAACTTATTAATAGAATACAGAGATAATTAACAGAATTGAATGTTGAAATAGATGTTGTGAAAAGGGAACACTTTCACATTGTTGGTGGGAATGTAAGCTAGTACAACCACTATGGAAAACAGTGAGGAGATTCCTTATAGAACTAAAAATAGATCTACCATCCAGGAGAAAGTGTTAGAGGGTGGTGAGGGATGAAAAAACCACACATTGCATACAGTGTATATTGCTTGGGTGATGGGTGCACCAAAATCTCAGAAGTCACCACTAAAGAACTGATTCATGTAACCAAACACCACCTGTTCCCTAAAAACCTATTGAAATAAAAAAAAGGCTATGTTCACTAAAAAATTAGATTGAATTAATTATGTGTAGCCAAAGAAGGTTAGTCTATATTCCTATCTCCATATTGAATAAAAGAATTTAAAAAGAATAAATTAATGAAATAAAAAACACTTCTATTTCTTTGAGGTTTCTATCATCTTTGTTTAACTCATCTCACAGTGCAGCACAGTGTATTTTCATTAAATCATGTGCACCTGTTCTTTTCTCCCCCACACCACTTTTTTTTTAGCATACACTTTAGTGATCCAGAGCATCTTATCTTTTATATTCTGTATCCATAAACTTCTGTTTGTCTTTAAACTTTCAAAATAAGAACGCTTAACTTTTAAAGTCTAAATTATATGGTCTTAAGAGTTGATCTAGTTCAGACATGGTCTCATAATAACTTAATTTACGGAAGAGGAATTACTGTTTTAGATTAACACCAATATTTAAGTTTATATGGTGATGGTGACAGGGCCAGCAACGACTTTATTTTGTTCTCTCTGTAGGAACCATTTTCTGGGTAGACATGAATACTTTAAAAACCAAGCATTTATACACCAATAACAGACAAACAGAGAGCCAAATCATGAGTGAACTCCCATTCACAATTGCTTCAAAGAGAATCAAATACCTAGGAATCCAGCTTACAAGGGACGTGAGGGACCTCTTCAAAGGAGAACTACAAACCACTGCTCAATGAAATAAAAGAGGATACAAACAAATGGAAGAGCATTCCATGCTCATGGGTAGGAAGAATCAATATTGTGAAAATGGCCATACTGCCCAAGGTAATTTACAGATTCAATGCCATCCCCATCAAGCTACCAATGACTGTCTTCACATAATTGGAAAAAACTACTTCAAAGTTCATATGGAACCAAAAAAGAGCCCGCATCGCCAAGTCAATCCCAAGCCAAAAGAACAAAGCTGGAGGCATCACGCTACCTGACTTCAAACTATACTACAAGGCTACAGTAACCAAAACAGCATGGTACTGGTACCAAAACAGAGATATAGATCAATGGAACAGAACAGAGCCCTCAGAAATAATGCCGTGTATCTACAACTATCTGATCTTTGACAAACCTGACAAAAAGAAGAAATGGGGAAAGGATTCCCTATTTAATAAATGGTGCTGGGAAAACTGGCTAGCCATATGTAGAAAGCTGAAACTGGATCCCTTCCTTACACCTTATACAAAAATTAATTCAAGATGGATTAAAGACTTAAACGTTAGACCTAAAACCATAAAAACCCTAGAAGAAAACCTAGGCATTACCATTCAGGACATAGGCATGTGCAAGGACTTCATGTCTAAAACACCAAAAGCAATGGCGACAAAAGCCAAAATTGACAAATGGGATCTAATTAAACTAAAGAGCTTCTGCACAGCAAAAGAAACTACCATCAGAGTGAACAGGCAACCTACAAAATGGGAGAAAATTTTTGCAACTTACTCATCTGACAAAGGGCTAATATCCAGAATCTACAATGAACTCAAACAAATTTACAAGAAAAAAACAAACAACCCCATCAAAAAGTGGGCAAAGGACATGAACAGACACTTCTCAAAAGAAGACATTTATGCAGCCAAAAAACACATGAAAAAATGCTCACCATCACTGGCCATCAGAGAAACGCAAATCAAAACCACAATAAGATACCATCTCACACCAGTTAGAATGGCAATCATTAAAAAGTCAGGAAACAACAGGTGCTGGAGAGGATGTGGAGAAATAGGAACACTTTTACACTGTTGGTGGGACTGTAAACTAGTTCAACCATTGTGGAAGTAAGTGTGGCGATTCCTCAGGGATCTAGAACTAGAAATACCATTTGACCCAGCCATCCCATTACTGGGTATATACCCAAAGGACTACAAATCATGCTGCTATAAAGACACATGCACACGTATGTTTATTGCGGCATTATTCACAATAGCAAAGACTTGGAACCAACCCAAATGTCCAACAATGATAGACTGGATTAAGAAAATGTGGCACATATACACCATGGAATACTATGCAGCCATAAAAAATGATGAGTTCATGTCCTTTGTAGGGACATGGATGAAATTGGAAATCATCATTCTCAGTAAACTATCGCAAGAACAAAAAACCAAACACTGCATATTCTCACTCATAGGTGGGAATTGAACAATGAGAACACATGGACACAGGAAGGGGAACATCACATTCTGGGGACTGTTGTGGTGTGGGGGGAGGGGGGAGGGATAGCTTTAGGAGATACACCTAATGCTAAATGACAAGTTGATGGGTGCAGCACACCAGCATGGCACATGTATACATATGTAACTAACCTGCACATTGTGCACCTGTACCCTAAAACTTAAAGTATAATAATAATTAAAATAAAATAAAATTAAATTAAAAAAACTAATCCAATGATTATAAATTCTTTTTTGGCAAACATAGATTCAGGTTTAGGGGAATAATACAAACCTAAAACATACTTAAGCTAAATGATTTCAAATTATTCAATCCATCCTTCCAATTATGGTGGTGTGTCATTTTACTAAAGCATGGTAATGTTGACTTTTCTTTATAAATGATATAGATAGTGCTTTAAAATTTTTATTATTTGTTGGAGGTTATCACTTTGAATTATTTTTATTTCATCTAATTTGTTTTCTCTGAACTTTAATTTTATCTTTCAGCCTAAGTCTAGCAATATACCAGATTGTGGTTGCCTCAAATATGATTTTTTAATATATTGATTTTAGCTATTTTCTTTTAGTCATTCTAAAATCTTTTTAGCATTTGCCAGAAAAACTCATGAATGATCCTTAGTGATCAGAAAAGACACAGGAGTTCAGAACATTGCATCAATTTACAACAAATAAATGAGCAAAGATGATTAAGTTTATGATGATACCTGTAGTAGATACCTTGTATGTTCACTGTTTAACTCAAAGGAATTGCCCATTACCTGGAATAATCTCCAACATGGTCAGTGTGCATCCATTGACCACATCTATACAGTGACCTTCTGTAAGTTAGTTTCTGTGTGTAACAAACTTGTCTAAGAGGGCATACCTTATCCAACCTAGGTCAATTAGATTATTTCTCCAAAGAATTTAAAACTTGGAATTGAGACATACAGAAACTAGAAGTTTTGGGGATCTGGTCACATCAATGGCAGTGCTCTTCAATAAAGTCCATGAACTCCTGTTTTTGAGATCTCCAGAGTTGCGGTTGTTCTTTCCAATCCTGGGTATTATGTTTTCAATTTTTCTTTAATTCTGTTAATTATCTCTGTATTCTATTAATAAGTTTATGTTTTGACTTAGACTAACCAGAATTGGCTACAGTTTCTTCAAGAAAATACCCCAATGGAAGAAAAAAAGGTGGAGGGAGAAACTGAATGAAGAAAGGATGATTTGAAATTACCAGAAAGTGGAACGTGGAAAAAACAGAGTAAAACTAGTTTGAGAATAAAATCTTAGGTTGTAACATCTTCTGGGAATTTATTCTTTAAATATTGCTTTTAACTGGATTCTTTGGTAAATAGTAAATGCATTTTGGTTTTGATTTAAGCAGCTCATTCTTTTGTTTCTTCACTTCTCCAATAAACTTGCTCTCACTTAAAAAATGCCTTGTAGAACAACTCATGATAATTATTACTGTTGGGAAATAGGAGAAACATATTGTATTAGTCAGAATTTTACAGAGAAACAGAACCAATAGGAGATATCTATCTATCTATCTATCTATCTATCTATCTATCTATCTATCTACCTATCTATCATCTATCTAAATATATGACTATAGATATAGATGAGGGGATTTATTATAGGAAGTGGCTCATATGGTTACGGAGGCTAAGAAGTGCCATGGCCTGCTATCTGCAAACTGGAGAACCATAAATTCTGGTGGTGTGATTCAGTGCAAGTCAAAAAAGGCCTGAGAATCAGAGGGCTGTTGGGTATAAATCCAAAAGCCCAAAAACCACTTGTGTCAATGTCCAAAGGTAGGAGAAAATGAATATCTCAGCTCAAGCAGAGAAAGTAAACTTGCCCTTCCTCTGCCTTTTTGTTCTATTCAGGCCCTCAATGGATTGAATGATGCCCACAGATATTTGTGAGAGCAGATCTTCCTTACTCAGTCTACTGATTTAAATGCTAATCTCTTCTAGAAACAGTCTCATACTTGTACCCAGAAATAATATTTAGCAGCTCTCTAGATATCCCTTAGCCTAGTCAAGTTGACACACAAAAGTAACCATCACAGATATTTTATTTGGCAATTGTATTAAAATTAAACAATTTTATATCCTCCCAAAAAGGAGAGGAATAACTTTAGTGACTTTCTGTGTTTCAGAGTATTGAGAATCTATACTTAAGGAAATGGCTCTTATTTATAGGAAATAGTTTGCTATATTTGATCTTAAAACACCTAGCTTTGCAAACTGTTAAACCCAAACACTGTTGTCTCAATCCGAAAATGTGGAACAGTAACTCACATTGGTAAATTTTGGTTACACATGTCATTAAGGTAGTTACTTACCTTTATGTGTCTGTTCATTTATCCTACTGATGTTTATTACATACCTATTATTTGTTAGACTCTATACTAGTGCCTGGGTTTCAGTACTTAAGAAAATAGACAAAATCTCTACTCTTGAGATGTTTATAGTCTAGTTTTAGAATGGGCACTTTTTGGGGTTGTTAATCAACTTTCTTTTTTAATCAATTTGATGTCCATTCAGATTGTATAAATTGAGACCCTGTAGGGAACTGTTTGAGTATGGGGTTGGGGGGATTGATGGAGGACAACAAAATGTTCACTATATAGACATCAAAAATTATTTAAAATATTCATAATTTTGTTCATTGATGTGGAACAGTGTTCATATTTTGATTCTGGTTAAAAATGAAATTAATATGGCAAATTGAGAAGACTGGGAAATTTGTGAATATATATGCATATTTATAGATGCAAAAATAAATATATATTTGCCACACACATACATATACACATGCACAAATACTGTGTAAATATTCTTAATTAGCTATTTTGCCAGATCTGGCCCCAGTGCTTATTTAACTATCCCCAGGAATTTTAGCATATAGAAGATATTTTAAACTACACAAAATAAACAGAAGCATAGTTTATCACTTTTATAAGTTAATTGCAATATTGATATGTAATTAACTCTAATGAATTCAACAGTCATAAATCATTCAATTGATTTTTAAAACCAATCATTGTCCCACTTAACTAATTGCTGATGGTCATTTGCATTTCATAAATGTTACTACTGTCTGTGAATGTACCCATGTTGTGCTAATGCTAGTTTTATCTGTGAACTGAGATTGGAAGTTATAGCACTGGTTTTGGTCCTTGGGCCTGAATTATTTTTGAAAATACTAAGATTGGTTACCTAGACAAGTTTTCTCTTCTGAAAACTGCATTTTCTTACTAACTTAGTAGACAAATCCAAATTTTGCTATCAATTAGCAGAAGTTTTTAAGCGCAGTTCTCAAAGTAGTTCTCTTTTTCAGCAAGTCTGCAAGGTCAAAAATGTTGCATATTAATACTCAGAATAATTTTTCACTTTTCACCTCCAGAGACTACATAAAGTGATGACATTATGGCTCTTATGTTAATATGTTGAGTTTATTATGATTTTTAAATAAATGAATGAATACATATGTAGATATTTTCTCAGTTTTAATGTCTAATGTGATAATGAGTGATAGGATGCACATAAGCAAAATCTCCTTGGGATCTTCCATAATTTTGAAGATGATAAAGGGATCCTGAGATCAGGAAACTTGAGTATTAGTGGCTTAGGGTAATGTAAACAGTTATTTCAGGAAGTTAGTGTTCACAGTATAAAATTCCAAATGCACTCATTTGGATATTTATGCATTTTTTCTGTGTCTTATATAGTTGCCACAGTGTGTCATATAAGCTAAGTAATAAAATGTTGTCTAAAGTGTTTTTAAAAAGTTTGCAGAATGATGGTTACCAGAGGCTGGGAAGAGTAGTGGGTGGAGGTGGGGACACACGGGGATAGTTAATGGGTTCAAAAATATAGTTAGATAGAATGAATGAAACCTAGTATTTGGTAGCATAACAGAGTGACTACAGTCAACAATAATTTGTTATACATTTAAAAATAACTAAAAGAGTATAATTGGAATGTTTGTAATACAAATAAATGATAAATGTGTGAGGTGATGGATACCCATTTTTCCTGATGTGATTATCACATCCTGTATGCCTACATCAAAATACCTCATGTATCCTATAAACATTTATATCTACTATGTACCCACAAAGATTAAAAATTTTTTTAAATTTACACTTTTTAAGTTGCGATAAAATATACATATAAAATTTACTTGGAAGTCCTAGCCAGAGAAATCAGGCAAGAGAAAGAAATAAAAGGCATCCAAATGGGAAAAGAAGAAGTCAAACTATCTCTCTTTGCTGACAGTATGATTTTATACCTAGAAAACCCTAAAGACTCCAGCAAAAAGCTCCTGGAACTGACAAATAACTTCAGTAAAGTTTCAGGATACAAAATCAATGTACAAAAATCAGTAGTATTTCTTTTTTTTTTCTTTTTTTTATGTGTTTTTTTTAAATTTTATTATTATTATACTTTAAGTTTTAGGGTACATGTGCACAATGTGCAGGTTAGTTACATATGTATACATGTGCCTTGCTGGTGTGCTGCACCCATTAACTCGTCATTTAGCATTAGGTATATCTCCTAAAGCTATCCCTACCCCCCTCCCCCCAACCCACAACAGTCCCCAGAGTGTGATGTTCCCCTTCCTGTGTCCATGTGTTCTCATTGTTCAATTTCCATCTATGAGTGAGAATATGCAGTGTTTGGTTTTTTGTTCTTGCGATAGTTTACTGAGAATGATGATTTCCATGGATGATTTCATCCATGTCCCTACAAAGGACATGAACTCATCATTTTTTATGGCTGCATAGTATTCCATGGTGTATATGTGCCACATTTTCTTAATCCAGTCTATCATTGTTGGACATTTGGGTTGGTTCCAAGTCTTTGCTATTGTGAATAGTGCCGCAATAAACATACGTGTGCATGTGTCTTTATAGCAGCATGATTTGTAGTCCTTTGGGTATATACCCAGTAATGGGATGGCTGGGTCAAATGGTATTTCTAGTTCTAGATCCCTGAGGAATCGCCACACTTACTTCCACAATGGTTGAACTAGTTTACAGTCCCACCAACAGTGTAAAAGTGTTCCTATTTCTCCACATCCTCTCCAGCACCTGTTGTTTCCTGACTTTTTAATGATTGCCATTCTAACTGGTGTGAGATGGTATCTCATTGTGGTTTTGATTTGCATTTCTCTGATGGCCAGTGATGGTGAGCATTTTTTCATGTGTTTTTTGGCTGCATAAATGTCTTCTTTTGAGAAGTGTCTGTTCATGTCCTTTGCCCACTTTTTGATGGGGTTGTTTGTTTTTTTCTTGTAAATTTGTTTGAGTTCATTGTAGATTCTGGATATTAGCCCTTTGTCAGATGAGTAGGTTGCGAAAATTTTCTCCCATTTTGTAGGTTGCCTGTTCACTCTGATGGTAGTTTCTTTTGCTGTGCAGAAGCTCTTTAGTTTAATTAGATCCCATTTGTCAATTTTGGCTTTTGTCGCCATTGCTTTTGGTGTTTTAGACATGAAGTCCTTGCCCATGCCTATGTCCTGAATGGTAATGCCTACGTTTTCTTCTAGGGTTTTTATGTTTTTAAGTCTAACGTTTAAGTCTTTAATCCATCTTGAATTAATTTTTGTATAAGGTGTAAGGAAGGGATCCAGTTTCAGCTTTCTACATATGGCTAGCCAGTTTTCCCAGCACCATTTATTAAATAGGGAATGCTTTCCCCATTTCTTCTTTTTGTCAGGTTTGTCAAAGATCAGATAGTTGTAGATACACGGCGTTATTTCTGAGGGCTCTGTTCTGTTCCATAGATCTATATCTCTGTTTTGGTACCAGTACCATGCTGTTTTGGTTACTGTAGCCTTGTAGTATAGTTTGAAGTCAGGTAGTGTGACGCCTCCAGCTTTGTTCTTTTGGCTTGGGATTGACTTGGTGATGCGGGCTCTTTTTTGGTTCCATATGAACTTTGAAGTAGTTTTTTCCAATTATGTGAAGAAAGTCATTGGTAGCTTGATGGGGATGGCATTGAATCTATAAATTACCTTGAGCAGTATGGCCATTTTCACAATAATGATTCTTCCTACCCATGAGCATGGAATGTACACCAATAATGTTCAAGCTGAGAGTCAAATTGAGAATGTTATTACATTTACAAAAACTGAAAAAAAATTAAAATACCTAGAAATATATCTAACTAAGGAAATGAAAAAATCTTTACAAAGAGAACTATAAAACGCTGTTGAAAAAAACCAGAGATGACGCAAACAAGTGGAAAAACATTCCATGTTCGTGGACTTGAAGAATCAATACTGTAAAAAAAGGCCATTCTGCCCAATGCAATCTACAGATTCACTGCTATCCCTATCAAACTACCAATGTCATTTTTCACAGAATTAGAAAAAAATGATTCTAAAAGTCATATGGAACCAAAAAAGAGCCCAATTCACCAAAACAATCCTAAACCAAAAGAATAAAGCTGGGGACATCACATTACCCAATTTTACAATATTATAAGGCTACAGTAACCAAAATAACGTATTACTGGTACAAAGACAGACTCACAGACCAATGAAACAGGATAGAGAATCCAAAATTAAGCCACACACCTATACAGTCACCAGATCTTCGACAAAACCAACAAAAATAAGCAATGGGGAAAGAAATCCTTATTCAATAAATGGCGGGATAGCTGACTAGCCACAGGCTGAAGAGTGAAACTGGACCTTTACCTTTCACCATATACAAGATGGATTAAAGATTTAAATGTAGACCTAAAGCTATAAGAATCCTAGCAGAGTCTCTAATAAAAATACAAAAAATTAGCTGGGTGTGGTGGTGGGATCCTGTGGTTCCAGCTACTTGGGAGGCTGAGGCAGGAGGATGCCTCAGGTTCATGCGAACCTGGGAGGCAGAGCTTGCAGTGAGATCGTGCCACTGCACTCCAGCCTGGGCGACAGAGTGAGACTCTGTCTCAAAAAAGAAAAAAAATCCTGGAAGAAAACTTAGGAAACACCATTGTGGACATTGGCGGCCTGAGAAAGAATTTACGACTAAGTCCGCAAAAGCAATCTCAATTAAAACAAAAATTGACAAATGGGACCTAATTAAACTGAAGAGCTTCTGCACAATAAAATAAACTTATCAACAGAATAAACAGACAACCTACAGAATGGGAGAAAATATTTGCATACTATACATTTGACAAAGGTGTAATATCCAGAATCTGTGAGGAACTAAAACAATTCAATAAAGACAAATAACCCTATTAAAAAGTAGGCAAAAGACATGAACAGATACTTTTCAAAAGAAGGCATACAAGTGGCTAACAAACATATGAAAAGATGCTCAATATCATTAATCATCATAGAAAGGCAAATCAGAAGCACCATGAGATACCATTTTACACCAATTGGAATGGCTGTTAGTCAAAACAAACAAACAAACAAACATGGTGGTGGGACTGCAGAGAAAAAGGAATGCTTATACACTGCCGGTGGGGATGTAAATTAGTTCGGCCATTCAGTTTAGAGATTTCTCAAAGAATTTAAAACAACTACCATCTGACTCAGCAATCCTATCACAGGCTATATATCCAAAAGAAAACAAATAATTCTGCCAAAGAGACACGGGCATGCACATATTCATTGCAGCATTATTTACAATAGCAAAGATATGGAATCAACCTAGGTGCCCATCAATGGTGGATTGGATAAAGAAAATGTAGTACATATGCACCGTGGAATACTACACAGCCATAAAAATGAAATCATATCCTTTGCAACAACATGGATGCAACTAGGAGCCATTATCCTAGGCAAATTATGCAGGAACAGAAATTCAAATACTGTAAGTTCACACTTATAAGTGAGAGCTAAATATTGGGTACTCATGGATATAAAGATGGCAACAGTAGACACTGGGGGCTAGTAGATGAGGGAGGAAAGGAGAAGGGAAAGAATTGAAAAACTGTTAGGTATCATGCTCAGTACCTGGGTTATGGGATTATTTGTATCACAAACTTCAGCATCAAGCAATATGCCCACGTAACAAACCAGCACATGTACCTCCTCAATCTAAAGTAAAAATTGAAATTATAAAAAACAATAAATAAAAACTATCAATTGTTTTACACATAAAATATTTTCCATCTTTACCACTTTTAAGTGTATAGCTCATTGGAAATAAATACCTTTATATAAACATAAAATTTTCCCTTATTCCTCTCCCCTACATTTTCTGACCTCTGGTAATGATCATTCTACTCTCTGTTTTTATGAGATCCACTTCTTTAGCTCCTACATATGAGTGAGAAGATGGGATATTTGTCTCTCTGTTCTTGGCTTATTTCACTTAACATAATGGTTCCATCCGTGATACTGCAGATGACAGGATTTCATTATTTCTCATGTCTAAACAACATTCCATTGTGTATATATACACCACATTTTCTTTATCGATTTGTATGTTGATGGGCACTTAGGTTGACTTCATATTTTGGGTATTGTGAATAATGCTGCAACAAATATGGGAGTGCACATATCCCTTTGATATATTGATTTCCTTTCTTTTGGATATGTTCCAAGTAGTAGAATTGTTGGATCATATAGTAGTTCTATTTTTAGTCTTTTGAGGAACCTCCATAATGTTCTCCATAATGGATGTACTAATTTACATTCCTACCAACAGTTGGACGAGGGTTCCTCTTTCTCCACATTGTTGCCAGCATCTGTTATTGCCTGTCTTTTTGATATAAGCCATTTTAACCGGGGTAAGATGATATCTCATTGTGGTTTTGATTTGCATTTCTCTGATGATTAGTGATATTGGGCACTTTTTTCATATACCTGTTGGCCATTTGCATGTCTTCTTTTGAGAATTGTCTATTCAGATCTTTTGCCCATTTTTGGTTGGATTATTTGTTTTTTTTAATTGCTGTTGAGTTGTTTGAGATCCTTATATATTCTGGTTATTAATCTTTTGCCAGACAGATAGTTTGCAAATTTTTTTTCCATTCTATGTGTCGTCTCTTCACCTTGTTCTTACCCTTGTGGCATGGAAGCTTTGTAACTTTTATTTATTTATTTATTTATTTTTTTATTATTATACTTTAAGTTTTAGGGTACATGTGCACATTGTGCAGGTTAGTAACATACGTATACATGTGCCATGCTGGTGTGCTGCACCCACTAACTCGTCATCTAGCATTAGGTATATCTCCCAATGCTATCCCTCCCCCCTCCCCCCACCCCACAACAGTCCCCAGAGTGTGATGTTCCCCTTCCTGTGTCCATGTGATCTCATTGTTCAATTCCCACCAATGAGTGAGAATATGCGGTGTTTGGTTTTTTGTTTTTGCGATAGTTTACTGAGAATGATGATTTCCAATTTCATCCATGTCCCTACAAAGGACATGAACTCATCATTTTTTATGGCTGCATAGTATTCCATGGTGTATATGTGCCACATTTTCTTAATCCAGTCTATTATTGTTGGACATTTGGGTTGGTTCCAAGTCTTTGCTATTGTGAATAATGCCGCAATAAACATACGTGTGCATGTGTCTTTATAGCAGCATGATTTATAGTCCTTTGGGTATATACCCAGTAATGGGATGGCTGGGTCAAATGGTATTTCTAGTTCTAGATCCCTGAGGAATCGCCACACTTACTTCCACAATGGTTGAACTAGTTTACAGTCCCACCAACAGTGTAAAAGTGTTCCTATTTCTCCACATCCTCTCCAGCACCTGTTGTTTCCTGACTTTTTAATGATTGCCATTCTAACTGGTGTGAGATGGTATCTCATTGTGGTTTTGATTTGCGTTTCTCTGATGGCCAGTGATGGTGAGCATTTTTTCATGTGTTTTTTGGCTGCATAAATGTCTTCTTTTGAGAAGTGTCTGTTCATGTCCTTTGCCCACTTTTTGATGGGGTTGTTTGTTTTTTTCTTGTAAATTTGTTTGAGTTCATTGTAGATTCTGGATATTAGCCCTTTGTCAGATGAGTAGGTTGCAAAAATTTTCTCCCATTTTGTAGGTTGCCTGTTCACTCTGATGGTAGTTTCTTTTGCTGTGCAGAAGCTCTTTAGTTTAATTAGATCCCGTTTGTCAATTTTGTCTTTTGTTGCCATTGCTTTTGGTGTTTTAGACATGACGTCCTTTCCCATGCCTATGTCCTGAATGGTAATGCCTAGGTTTTCTTCTAGGGTTTTTATGGTTTTAGGTCTAACGTTTAAGTCTTTAATCCATCTTGAATTGATTTTTGCATAAGGTGTAAGGAAGGGATCCAGTTTCAGCTTTCTACATATGGCTAGCCAGTTTTCCCAGCACCATTTATTAAATAGGGAATCCTTTCCCCATTGCTTGCTTTTCTCAGGTTTGTCAAAGATCAGATAGTTGTAGATACACGGTGTTATTTCTGAGGGCTCTGTTCTGTTCCATTGATCTATATCTCTGTTTTGGTACCAGTACCATGCTCTTTTGGTTACTGTAGCCTTGTAGTATAGTTTGAAGTCAGGTAGTGTGATGCCTCCAGCTTTGTTCTTTTGGCTTAGGATTGACTTGGTGATGCGGGCTCTTTTTTAGTTCCATATGAACTTTAAAGTAGTTTTTTCCAATTCTGTGAAGAAAGTCATTGGTAGCTTGATGGGGATGGCATTGAATCTGCAAGTTACCTTGGGCAGTATGGCCATTTTCACGATATTGATTCTTCCCACCCATGAGCATGGAATGTTCTTCCATTTGTTTGTATCCTCTTTTATTTCCTTGAGCAGCAGTTTGTAGTTCTCCTTGAAGAGGACCTTCACATCCCTTGTAAGTTGGATTCCTAGGTGTTTTATTCTCTTTGAAGCAATTGTGAATGGGAGTTCACTCATGATTTGGCTCTCTGTTTGTCTCTTGTTGGTGTATAGGAATGCTTGTGAATTTTGCACATTGATTTTGTATCCTGAGACTTTGCTGAAGTTGCTTATCAGCTTAAGGAGATTTTGGGCTGAGACAGTGGGGTTTTCTAGATATACAATCATGTCATCTGCAAACAGGGACAATTTGACTTCCTCTTTTCCTAATTTAATACCCTTTATTTCCTTCTCCTGCCTAATTGCCCTGGCCAGAACTTCCAACACTATGAATAGGAGTGGTGAGAGAGGGCATCCCTGTCTTGTGCCAGTTTTCAAAGGGAATCCTTCCAGTTTTTGCCCATTCAGTATGATATTGGCTGTGGGTTTGTCATAGATAGCTCTTATTATTTTGAAATATGTCCCATCAATACCTAATTTATTGAGAGTTTTTAGCATGAAGGTTGTTGAATTTTGTCAGAGGCCTTTTCTGCATGTATTGAGATAATCATGTGGTTTTTGTCTTTGGCTCTGTTTATATGCTGGATTACATTTATTGATTTGCGTATATTGAACCTGCCTTGCATCCCAGGGATGAAGCCCACTTGATCATGGTGGATAAGCTTTTTGATGTGCTGCTGGATTCTGTTTTCCAGTATTTTATTGAGGATTTTTGCATCAATGTTCATCAAGGATATTGGTCTAAAATTCTCTTTTTTGGTTGTGACCCTGCCCGGCTTTGGTATCAGAATGATGCTGGCCTCATAAAATGAGTTAGGGAGGATTCCCTCTTTTTCTATTGATTGGAATAGTTTCAGAAGGAATGGTACCAGTTCCTCCTTGTATCTCTGGTAGAATTCGGCTGTGAATCCATTTGGTCCTGGACTCTTTTTGGCTGGTAAGCTATTGATTATTGCCACAATTTCAGCTCCTGTTATTGGTCTATTCAGCGATTCAACTTCTTTCTGGTTTAGTCTTGGGAGAGTGTATGTGTCAAGGAATTTATCCATTTCTTCTAGATTTTCTAGTTTATTTGCACAGAGGTGTTTGTAGTATTCTCTGATGGTAGTTTGTATTTCTGTGGGATCAGTGGTGATATCCCCTTTATCATTTTTTATTGCGTCTATTTGATTCTTCTCTCTTTTTTTTTTATTAGTCTTGCTAGCGGTCTATCAATTTTGTTGATCCTTTCAAAAAACCAGCTCCTGGATTCATTAATTTTTTGAAGGGTTTTTTTGTGTCTCTATTTCCTTGAGTTCTGCTCTGATTTTAGTTATTTCTTGCCTTCTGCTAGCTTTTGAATATGTTTGCTCTTGCTTTTCTAGTTCTTTTAATTGTGATGTTAGGGTGTCAATTTTGGATCTTTCCTGCTTTCTCTTGTGGGCATTTAGTGCTATAAATTTCCCTCTACACACTGCTTTGAATGCGTCCCAGAGATTCTGGTATGTTGTGTCTTTGTTCTCGTTGGTTTCAAAGAACATCTTTATTTCTGCCTTCATTTCGTTATGTACCCAGTAGTCATTCAGGAGCAGGTTGTTCAATTTCCATGTAGTTGAGCGGTTTTGAGTGAGATTGTTAATCCTGAGTTCTAGTTTGATTGCACTGTGGTCTGAGAGATAGTTTGTTATAATTTCTGTTTTTTTACATTTGCTGAGGAGAGCTTTACTTCCAAGTATGTGGTCAATTTTAGAATAGGTGTGGTGTGGTGCTGAAAAAAATGTATATTCTGTTGATTTGGGGTGGAGAGTTCTGTAGATGTGTATTAGGTCCGCTTGGTGCAGAGCTGAGTTCAATTCCTGGGTATCCTTGTTGACTTTTTGTCTCGTTGATCTGTCTAATGTTGACAGTGGGGTGTTAAAGTCTCCCATTATTAATGTGTGGGAGTCTAAGTCTCTTTGTAGGTCACTCAGGACTTGCTTTATGAATCTGGGTGCTCCTGTATTGGGTGCATATATATTTAGGATAGTTAGCTCTTCTTGTTGAATTGATCCCTTTACCATTATGTAATGGCCTTCTTTGTCTCTTTTGATCTTTGTTGGTTTAAAGTCTGTTTTATCAGAGACGAGGATTGCAAACCCTGCCTTTTTTTTGTTTTCCATTTGCTTGGTAGATCTTCCTCCATCCTTTTATTTTGAGCCTATATGTGTCTCTGCACGTGAGATGGGTTTCCTGAATACAGCACACTGATGGGTCTTGACTCTTTATCCAATTTGCCAGTCTGTGTCTTTTAATTGGAGCATTTAGTCCATTTACATTTAAAGTTAATAGTGTTATGTGTGAGTTTGATCCTGTCATTATGATGTTAGCTGGTTATTTTGCTCGTTAGTTGATGCAGTTTCTTCCTAGTCTCGATGGTCGTTACATTTTGGCATGATTTTGCAGCGGCTGGTACTGGTTGTTCCTTTCCATGTTTACTGCTTCCTTCAGGAGCTCTTTTCGGGCAGGCCTGGTGGTGACAAATCTCTCAGCATTTGCTTGTCTGTAAAGTGTTTTATTTCTCCTTCACTTATGAAGCTTAGTTTGGCTGGATATGAAATTCTGGGTTGATAATTCTTTTCTTTAAGAAGGTTGAATATTGGCCCCCACTCTCTTCTGGCTTGTAGGGTTTCTGCCGAGAGATCTGCTGTTAGTCTGATGGGCTTCCCTTTGAGGGTAACCCGACCTTTCTCTCTGGCTGCCCTTAACATTTTTTCCTTCATTTCAACTTTGGTGAATCTGACAATTATGTGTCTTGGAGTTGCTCTTCTCGAGGAGTATCTTCGTGGCGTTCTCTGTATTTCCTGAATCTGAACTTTGGCCTGCCTTGCTAGATTGGGGAAATTCTCCTGGATAATATCCTGCAGAGTGTTTTCCAACTTGGTTCCATTCTCCACATCACTTTCAGGTACACCAATCAGACGTAGATTTGGTCTTTTCACATAGTCCCATATTTCTTGGAGGCTTTGTTCGTTTCTTTTTATTCTTTTTTCTCTAAACTTTCCTTCTCGCTTCATTTCATTCATTTCATCTTCCATTGCTGATACCCTTTCTTCCAGTTGATTGCATTGGCTCCTGAGGCTTCTGCATTCTTCACGTAGTTCTCGAGCCTTGGTTTTCAGCTCCATCAGCTCCTTTAAGCACTTCTCTGTATTGGTTATTCTAGTTATACATTCTTCTAAATTTTTTTCAAAGTTTTCAACTTCTTTGCCTTTGATTTGAATGTCCTCCCGTAGCTCAGAGTAGTTTGATCGGCTGAAGCCTTCTTCTCTCAGCTCGTCAAAGTCATTCTCCGTCCAGCTTTTTTCCGTTGCTGGTGAGGAGCTGCATTCCTTTGGAGGAGGAGAGGTGCTCTGATTTTTAGAGTTTCCAGTTTTTCTGTTCTGTTTTTTCCCCATCTTTGTGGTTTTATCTGCTTCTGGTCTTTGATGATGGTGATATACAGATGGGTTTTTGGTGTGGATGTCCTTTCTCTTTGTTAGTTTTCCTTCTAACAGACAGGACCCTCAGCTGCAGGTCTGTTGGAGTACGCTGCAGTGTGAGGTGTCAGTGTGCCCCTGCTGCAGAGTGCCTCCCAGTTAGGCTTCTCGGGGGTCAGGGGTCAGGGACCCACTTGAGGAGGCAGTCTGCCCGTTCTCAGATCTCCAGCTGCGTGCTGGGAGAACCACTGCTCTCTTCAAAGCTGTCAGACAGGGACATTTAAGTCTGCAGAGGTTACTGCTGTCTTTTTGTTTGTCTGTGCCCTGCCCCCAGAGGTGGAGCCTACAGATTGATCTCAGACTGCTGTGCTAGCAATCAGCGAGACTCTGTGGGGTAGAACCCTCTGAGCGAGGTGCGGGATATAATCTCATGGTGCGCCGTTTTTTAAGCCTGTCGGAAAAGTGCAGTATTCAGGTGGGAGTGACCCGATTCTCCAGGTGCCGTCCGTCACCCCTTTCTTTGATTAGGAAAGGGAACTCCCTGACCCCTTGTGCTTCCCGAGTAAGGCAATGCCTCACCCTGCTTCGGCTCACGCATGGTGCGCGCACCCACTGACCTGCGCCCACTGTCTGGCACTCCCGAGTGAGGTGAACCTGGTACCTCAGATGGAAATGCAGAAATCACCCGTCTTCTGTGTCACTCAGGCTGGGAGCTGTAGACCGGAGCTGTTCCTATTCGGCCATCTTGGCTCCTCCCCCGGAAGCTTTGTAACTTGATATAATTCCATTTGTCTATTTTTGTTTTGGTTGAGTATGCTTTTGACATTTTACACAAAAAAGTTTGCCCAGATAAATGTCATGGAGTGTTTCCCCAATGTTTTCTTCTAGTAGTTTCATAGTTTTGGGTCTTAGATTTAACTCTTTAATCAATGTTGGTTTGATTTTGTGTATGGTGAGAGATAGTGGTCTAGTTTCCTTTTCTCCATATAGTTATTTAGTTTTGCCAGCATGATTTATTGAAAAAGATGTCATCTTCCCACTTTTTGTTCTTGGTGCTTTTGCCTTTGCTGAAGTAGAGTTGGCTGTAAATGTGTGGATTTTCATCTGGGCTCTCTGTTGCATTCATTTTGTCTATGTGTGTGTGTGTTTTATGTCAGTACCATGTGGTTTTGGTTAATATAGCTTTGTAGTAAATTTTGAAATAAGGTAGTGTGATGCCTCCAGGTTTCTTCTTTTTGCTCAGGATTGCTTTGGTTTTTCAGGGTCTTTTGTGGTTCTAGAAATATTTAGGATTATTTACGATCCTATGATATACCCAAAGGATTATAAATCATTCTATGAAGAGACATGCACATGTATGTTTATTGCAGTACTATTCACAATAGCAAAGACATGGAATCAACCCAATGCCCATCAATGATAGACTGGATAAAGAAGGTGTGATACGTATACACCATGGAATACTATGCAGCCATAAAAAAGGATGAGTTCATGTCCTTTGCAGGGACATGGATGAAGCTAGAAACCATCATTCTCAGCAAACATAACACAGGAACAGAAAACCAAACATCACATGTTCTCACTAATAAGTGGAAGTTGAACAATGAGAAGAGATGGACACAGAGTGGGGAACATCACACACTGGGGCCTGTCGGGGGGTTGGGGGCAAGGGGAGGGATAGCATTAGGAGAAATACCTAATGTAGATGATGGGTTGATGAGTGCAGCAAACCACCATGGCACATGTATACCTATGTAACAAACCTGCATGTTCTGCACATGTATCCCAGAACTTAAAAAGAAAAAAAGATTACACTGGTTCTGTCAATTGCTTTGGGTAGTATTTTCATTTTAAGAATATTTGTTTTTTTTAATTCAGGAACATAGAATATCTTTTTTTGGTATCCTCTTAAATTACTTTATGAGAGTTGTATAGCTTTTCTTGTAGAGATCTTTCAATTCTTTAGTTAGATTGATTGCTAGGCATTTTATATTTTTTGTGGCTGTTGTAAATGGGATTGATTTCTTGATTTCTTTTTCAGATTGTTTATTGTTGGTATTTATAAAGGATACTAATTTTAATACATTGATTTCATGTCCTGCAACTTTACTGAATTTCTTTATCAGCTCTAACAGTTTTTTTAATGGAATCTTTATGTTTTTCATGTTTTTATGAACAAGGTTAATTTGAATTTTTTCTTTCTAATTTAGATGCCCTTTATTTCATTCTCTTGCCTAATTGTTCTCTCCAGGACTTCCAGTATTATGTTGAATAACAGTGGTGATGCTGGGCATCCTTATTTTGCTCCAGTTCTTAGAGAAAAGACTTAATTTTTTTTTCCCATTCAGCACAATGTTGGCTGTGGGGTTGTTATATATGGCTATTATTATTTGAGGTATGTTCTATCTATACCCACTTTGAGAGTTTTTATCATAAAGGATTTTGAAATTTATTGAATGCTTTTTCAGTGTCTATTGAAAAATTATATATTTTTTGTTCTTGATTTTGTTAATATCATGCATTATGTTTATTGACTTGCATATGACAAACCATCTTTGCATTGCTGGAATGAATCCCACTTGATTATGGTGAATGATCTCCTTCATGAATTACTGCATTCTATTTGCTAGTATTTTGTTGAGGATTTTTGCATTGATGTTCATCAGTGATACGGGCCTATATATATTTTTTGCTGTGTCCCTGTCTAATTGTGTATCAGGGTAATGCTGGCCTTATGCAATGGGTTTGGAAGTGTTTCTTTCTCTTTAATTTTTTTGAAGAGTTTGAGTAAAACTGGTATTAGTTGTTCTTTAAATGTTTGGTAGAAATCAGCAATGAAGCCATCAGGTACTGGGCTTTTCTTTCATAGGAGACTTTTTGTTATGGCTTTGTTCTCATTGCTTGTTATTGTTTTGTTGAAATTTTTCTATTTCTTCATGTTTCAATATTAGTAAGTTATATTTCTCTAGGAATGTATTCATTTCTTCTAGATTTTCCAATTTGTTGGCACATAGTTGTTCATAATAGTCTCTAATGATTCTTCGTATTTCTGAGGTCTGAGTTGTTATGTCTCATTTTTCATCTTTGACTTCGTTTTTGAAGGGCTTCTCTTTTTTTTCTTAGCCTAGCTTAATGTTTTTCAATTTTGTTTATCTTTTAAAGACCTTTTCATTGTGTTGATTTTCTGTGATTTCCTTTGTTTCAATTTTATTTATTTTTATGCTGACTTTTATTCTTTCTTCTACTAATTTGGATTTGGTTTGTTACTGCTTTTTTAGTTCCTTGATATGCACTATTAAGTTATTTATTTGAAGTAATTCTACTTTTTTGATCTAGGCATCTATTGACATAAAATTCCCTCTTCATACTGCTTTTCCCATATTCTATAGATTTTGGTATGTGATTTTTTTTCATTTTCATTTGTTTCAAGAAATTTAAAAGTTTCCTTCTTAACTTCTTTTTGTAACTTCTATTTTAAGTTCAGACATAAAAGTGCAGGTTTGTTACGTAGTTAAACTTGTGCCATGGGGTTTGTTGTAGAGATTATTTCATCATTCAGGTATTAAGCCTATTACCCATTTGTTATTTTTTCTGATCCTCCCTCTCCTCCCACCTGCCACCTTCCAAAAGGCCTCTGGTGTGTGTTGTTCCTCTCTATGTGTTCATGTGTTCTCATCAGTTAGCTCCTATTTAGAAGTGAGAACATGTGGTATTTGGTTTTCTGTTCTTGTGTTAGTTTGCTAAAGACAAGGCTTAAAATAAAGGGGTGAAGGAAAATCTACAAGGCCAATGGAAAACAGAAGAAAGTAGGGGTTTCAATCCTAGTTTCTGACAAAATAGACTTTAATCCAAAAAAGATCATAAGAGACAAAGAAGGGAACTACATAATGGTAAAGGGTTCAATTCTCCAAGACTATCTTAACTTCTTTATTGATCTATTGGTTGTTCAGAAGCATGTTGCTTGATTTCCATGTGTTTGTGCATTTTCTGAGGTTCTTCTTGGTATTGGTTTTTAGTTTTATCCCATTTTGGTCAGAAAAGATATTTGATATTTCTATTTTTTTGAATTTGTTCAGACCTGTTTTGTGGCCTAAGATATGGTCTATTCTGGAGCATGTCCCATGTCCTGATGAAAACATTATGTCTTCTGCAGCAGTTGGGTGAAATGTTCTGTAAATGTTAATTAGGCCTATTAGATCTAGTGTGTAGTTTAATTTTTTTGTTTCTTTGTTGATTTTCTGTCTGGATGATCTGTCCATTACTGAGAGTGGGGTGTTAAAGTCTCCTACTGTTATTGTATTGCAGCCTCTCCTTTTAGATCTATTAAAGTTTTCTTTATATACTTGGGAATTCCAGTATTGGGTGTGTAGATTTTTATGATTGGTATATACTCTTGTTGAGTTGACCACTTTATCATTCTATAGTACTTTTTTGTCTCTTTTTACTAAAATAGTTGACTCATCTATTTTATTTAAGTATAATTACTCTTCCTCATTTATCACTAAAAAAATTTTTTTTTTTGAAACAGAGTCTCGCGCTGTCGCCAGGCTGGAGTACAGTGTCACAATCTCGGCTGACTGCAACCTCTGCCTCCCGGGTTCAAGTGATTCTCCTGCCTCAGCCTCCCCAGTAACTGGGACTACAGGCACACGCCACCACGCCCAGCTAATTTTTGTATTTTTAGTAGAGACAGGGTTTCACCATGTTGGCCAGGATGGTCTTGATCTCTTGACCTTGTGATCCTCCCACCTCAGCCTCCAAAAGTGCTGGGATTACTGGCATGAGCCACTGCACCCAGCCTCATTTATCATTTTAAGTTGAATGGAATATCTTTTTCCATCTGCTCATTTTCAGTCTATTTGCATCTTTCTAGGTGAAGTGGGTTTCTTGAAGGCAGCATATGATTGGGTTTGGGTTCTTTATCCATTCAACCATTCTATTTTTGAATTGGAGAATTGATTCCATTTACATTCAGTGTTATTATTGATAAGAAAGATTTATGACTGCCATTTTGTTACTTGCTTTCTGGTTGTTTTGAGACTCCTCTTTTCTCTTCTTCTTCTTCTTCCTCTTCCTCTTCTTCTTCTATTTTTTTGTTTTTTTAGATGGAGTCTCTCTCTGTTGCCAGGCTGGATCTCAGCTCACTGCAACCTCTGCCTCCTGGGTTCAAGTGATTCTCCTGCCTCAGCCTCCCAAGTAGCTGGGATTACAGGCACATGCCATCACACCCAGCTAATTTTTGTATTTTTAGTAGAGACAGGGTTTCACCATGTTGGCCAGGATGGTCTCGATCTCTTGACCTTGTGATCCACCCGCCTCAGCCTCCCTGCTGGGATTGCAGGTGTGAGCCACCGCACCCAGCCATTCCTTTCTTCTTTTCTTCCTGTCTTCCTTTGTTGCTAAGTGATTTTCTGTGGTAATATGTTTGAATTCATTGCTTTTTCTTTTTTTTTTATTTTTTCTTTTTCTTATTTTTTTTTGAGATGGAGTCTTGCTCTGTCACCCAGGCTGGAATGCAGTGGCGTGATCTCCGCTCACTGCAAGCTCTGCCTCCTGGGTTCACGCCATTCTCCTGCCTTAGCCTCCCAAGTAGCTGGGACTACAGGCGCCTGCCACCACGCCCGGCTAATTTTTTGTATTTTTAGTAGAGACGGGGTTTCACCGTGTTAGCTAAGATGGTCTCGATCTCCTGACCTCATGATCCCTCTGCCTCAGCTTCCCAAAGTGCTGGGATTACAGGTGTGAGCCACTGTGCTGGGATTACAGGTGTGAGCCACTGTGCCTGGCCTGCTTTTTCTTTTTCGTTAATCTATTGTATGTTTTTGTGCTGTGGTTATCATGAGTCTTTCAAAAAACATCTTATAGTAATAACAAGTTATTTTAAAGAGATGACAACATATCTTTGATCAAAAATATAAGAATGTAAACAAGCACACAAAAATTCTATTCTTTAACTTTATCCCCCTACCCACTTTGACTTTTAGTTGTCTCAAGTTACACTTTTTATATTATCAATCTCTTAACAGATTGCTGTAGCTATTTTTATTTTTGATAGATTTGTCTTTGTGGCTTTATACTAGAGTTATGAATGGATTGTCCACCAGCATTACAGTAACAGAGTATTCTGGTTTTGTTTCTTTACTTAATTTCACCGGTGAGTTTCATACCTTGAAAAGTTTTCTTTTTGCACATTAGTGGTTTTTTTTTCCAAAAGGAAAAAATTCCTTTTGCATTTTATGTAAGATGGGTCTGGTGGTGGTGAATTCTCTCAGGTTTTGTTTGTCTGGGAAAGACTTTACCTCTGCTTTTTAGTTTAAGGATAATTTTGCTGGAAATAATATTCTTAGATGGCAGTTGTTTGAAAATGTTATTCCACTTCTTCCTGGCCTATATGGTTTCTGTTGAGAAGTCTGTTGCCAGACAAATTGGAACTTTTTAATATGTTATTTACTTATTTTCTCTTGCTGCTTTTAAGATCCTCCTTTGTCCTTGACCTTTGCAAGTTTGATTGTAATAAGCCTCAGGATACTTTTATTTGTATTTAATCTGTTTAGTGTTCTCAGACCTTCCTGAACTTGGATATTTACATCTTTTTCAAGTTTTGGAAAATTTTCTGCTATTATTTATTTGAATAAGCTTTCTATCCTTGGGTCTTGCTTAACTCCCTGTTGAACATTAATACTTCTTAGATTTGGTCTTTTGAGATAATTTTCTATCTATTATGGGTAATTGTCATTCCTTTCCGTTTTTAAACATTTTCTCTCCTCTGACTGCGTATTTTTCATTAGGCAATGTTTCAAGTTCACTGGTTCTTTCCTTTGCTAGGTTCATTCTGCCATTGAGAGCCTCTAATGAGTTCTTCAGCTCAGCAAATGTGTTTACCAGTTCCATAATTTCTGTTTTGTTTTTCAAAATTATTTCAATCTCTTTGTTAAATTTTCTGATACATTTTTGAATTGCTTTTCTGTCTAATGGATATCACTGAGTTTCCTTAAAACTGCTATTTTGAATTCTTGGAGAGCTCACAAATCACTATCTTGTTAGGGTCAGTAATTGAATTCTTGTTTGTTTTTTTGGGGGAAGGTCATAGTTTGCTGTTGTTTCTTGTGCATATATGTCTATGTCTTTGCATTGAAAGATTATTTATTTAGTCCAGCTTTCTGTGTTTAGCTTGTTCTCAATTTTTATTGGATATATTCAGCATCCTCAAGTGGAGGATGATGAATTTGATCAGATACAAAGAATGATCAGATATCAAAGATGGGAGATTCTTGCTAAACTGACTTAAAAGAATTCTTGCTAAAACCGAGCTGTGCAAAGACAAACACAGAAGCCCAAAAGTGAAGACCTTCACAAGAAAATGACTCAGAGGAGCCTGACTAAATTTGGTCAAGGAGAGACTCTTTTTCAATGGAAATATAAAAAATTATCCCTCGCTCTATATCTGTTTGGGCTCCTTAGCTGCCACCATCCCCCAGATGATGTCTGATCACCTGGGCCTGCTTTCAGCAAGAATCCTGTTAGGTTAACTTAACCAAAATCTCATTGATGTTTCCTCTTAGTAATTTTCTATCCACTGACCCCCACTCTGCTCCTTGGCTATAAATTTCCATGTGCTCATGCTGTATTCATAGTTGACCCCAATCTCACCCCACTGCAGAATTCAACTCCAGTTGCCGAGACCAACTCGGTCATGGAGCCCCCAACCCAGTGGCGCTAGAGGAATAAAGACAAAGACACAGAAATAGGGTGCAAAGTGGGATCAAGGGGCTAATAGCCTTCAGAGCTGAGAGCCTCAAACAGAGTTTGACCCACCTATTTATTGACAGTAAGCCCGTGATAAACATCATTTCTGCAGTTTTTAGATTAACTAAAAGTATTCTTTACAGAGAACAAAGGGACAGGCTCTGGCTTGTTATCTGCAGCAGGGACATGTCCTTAAGGCACAGATCACTCTTGTTTGTGGTTTAGGAATGCCTTGAGCGGTTTTCCACCCTGGGTGGGCCAGGCGTTCCTTACCCTCATTCCCTTAAACCAGCAACCTCCAGCGTGAGCATCATAGCCATCACAAGCAGGTCACAGTGCTGCAGAGATCTTGTTTATGGCCAGTCTTGGGGCCTGTTTCCAGCATCCAGTGGTCCCTGTATTGATTGCTGTAGTCCTGAATAAAGTCTTCCTTACCATGCTTTAATAAGTGTCATTGAACAATTCTTTCTTTAATGCCCACTGCCTGATTGGTTACTTTTTTCCACAAAACTTCCCTGACCTACCATATATTTATTTTAAAAATTTATCTGTGTCTCTCCACAGAATACAAGCTTCAGAAGAAGGCTCTTTGCCTGCATTTCTTTGCAGTACTCCCAAAACCTAGAATGATGCCTGCATATAGTGATTGTTATGTTTTGAATCAATGAAAAAAAGCCAGTGAACCATAAACCTATTCCTTTTTTTCCCTATTCTTGTTGTCATCAAAACTTAAGATCTCTTAGCCCTTATCTTGCTGCCTCCATAGCCATCCCCATTGCAGCAGTTGCTGAATCTGTGAGATCTCTTAGTGTAGTATCTTTGGTATCTGTTCTTTGGTTCAGATTCCAAAATGATAGACGCTACTTCAGGCCCTCTTAAACTCTTGTCTGGATTAGGAATATAAACACATACTTTGCATTTTATATCTTTTACTTATCTATTTTGTTTATATAGTACTGTTACATTCTTTAGATTAAAAAAAAATCATAGCAGTCCTGGGAGGAAATTATATTTTAATTATATGGAGCTTTGGGAAGGCAGAAATTTGCCTTAGATGACTCATTTAGGGGCAGAGGTAGAACCTGATTCCCCTTTCCCCACCTTCTCTCCGTAGCCTCTTCCTTTATTATACCTTGTTACATTAATTTCCTGATTTTTATCACTTCTTCGCTTCAGAACTTTTGGGTTTTCATGGCTTACAGAGAAAGTATAGTCTTAGCCTGGCACTTAAGGCCTTTACTATTTGTTTCCAATCTATCATTTTTTTCATTCAAAATTATGTCCCACATTGTAAGCTTCAGGCAAAGTGACCTCTGTATAGTAACTTGGACAAATAACAAATCACTTGTTGTTTCTGTACTTTCGCTCTTGCTGTTCTCTCCACTTGACTGTTCTTAGCGGGTTAGATCATTCAAGGCTCACCTTCTCCACGAAGGTTTTTAAATATCCTCCTTTTTTTGATCTTAGCTGTACAAAAATGCCTTTTTATTCTGAACTCTAACCCTTTACCTGTAAGTCTTTTATAGCATTTAGAGAAGAATCTTGGAAAATAGTTATATGTATTCATTTTATCCCTGTAGGTCTATATCTTATTGCCCTGGAGCAGAAATAGTCACTGAAAAAATTTTGTTTACTGTGGTCCACTCTCATCTCCCAATATCAACTAATATGGACATTGCTTTGTACATATTAGCTCCTGATAGGTGGGTAGAACAAAAGATTTATCTTTTGGGTGAATTGAGACATATCATTTAACCTCATATAATTCGCTGAGAATACACCGTGTTAAAATTAGCTCAAGCAGAGCTAATGTGTGCCGCTCTCATGGAGAGGAATGGAGGGGGCGAGTAAATACAGCACCTTCAACTGAAACATCCAGGTACATGCATTGGGACTAATCAAGGAAACAACTTGTCCCATGGAGAATGGAGAAAAGCAAAGGCAGGATGACTGCCCACTTGGGACCAACATGGAGCCAGGGGAAACTCTCCCCACCAGGGAAACAATGAGTGAGTGAGCAACTCTGAGAACCCATGCTTCTTCCATGGATCTTTGCAACCCTCAGGTCAGAAGATCTTCTCATGAATGCGCTCCACCAGGACCTTCAGTCTGACATGCAGAGCTATGTGGTGGAGTCTTGGCAGAGCAGCTGCTCAGGCACACACAGAGCCTGAGGAGCCTTAGATATCCAGGCTTCCCAGCAAAAGCAGCTGCAGTTCCGGCAAAGTGGGAAGTTAAGACTCCTGTACATATCCCTAGGAAAGAGGCTGAATCCAGGGGGCTGAGCAGCGGTGGTGTGCAGGTCCTACTTCCATGGCATCTCACAGGGTAAGACCCGCTGGCTTGGAACTCTAGCCAGCCACCAGTAGCAGTGTTACACCTCCCTGATGTGTAACACTCAGAGGGAGGGGCAGGCTGCCATCTTTGCTTTGCTTTTTCACAGCCTCAGGCACTGTTGCCTTAGGGATATAGGGAGTCTGAGGCAACTAAGGACTGGAGGGGTCTCCCACCACAGCCCAGCGGCTGTACGGAGGAGCAGTCAGACTGCTTATTTGCGCACATCCCAAATCCTATTTCTCTTCACTGAGCGTTATCTCCAGATGGGGGTCTCCAGTCACCCCCACTGGTGTTTTCTGGCTGACAGCAGCTTCAGACCTCCCTGGGATGGAGCTCTCAGAAAAAGGGGTGGACTGCTATCTTTGCTCTTTCACAGCCTTAGCAGTTCTTGCCTTTGGGCTTTGGAGAGTCTGAGGCAACTAGAGGCTGGAGCGGACCCCCAGCACAGCACAGTTGCTCTACAGAAATGGCCAGACTGCTTTTTTTTACACAGGTCCCTGGCCCCATTCCTCTTCACTTGGCAGGATCTCCTTACCAGGCTTTCCAGCCACATATTGCAGGTGTGTTTGGGAAGGCAACAGGTTTGTACCTCCCTGGGATGGAGCTCCCAGAAGGAGGGACAGGCGCCATCTTTAGTATTTCATAGCCTTCACTATTGATACCTTCAGGAACCGAAAAATCCCAGGTGACTAGGGACTGGAGCAGATCCCAGCATACTGCAGCAGCCCTATGGAAAAGAGGCCAGATTGTTATGTGGGTGCCCACTTCCATATCTCCTCACTGGGTAGTTCTTCCAGGTCTGGGTCTCCAGCCACTGCCAACTGGGGCTATGGAGCCAGTGGCAGCTCTGCAACTCCCTGGACAAGAGCTCCCAGTGGGAGGGGCGGGTTGCCATTTTTGCTGTCTCACAGCCCTTGCCCTTGCTGTCTTCAGGCTCTGGAGAGTCATGGGGACCAAAGGCTGGTCCAGACCCCCACACAGAGCAACCATCTTACAGAAAAGTGGCCAGACTATTGTCCATGCAGATCTTGGTCCTCAGTTCTCCTCACGGGGCAGGGTTGCCCAGCTTGAGACTCTGGGACAATCACCCTGCCCCTGCCTGATCACCACAATCAGAGGCAGCCCAGCAGTTCTCCAAGGAGGAAATCCCAGAGTCCATTCACAACCCCTCCATTACTACAGTTGCAGTGGTACAGTCCTAACAGCCCTCAGACTGGGAAGAAACAAAGGGCTTAGTCATTATGCTGGCACCTCCAGCACGTCATAGCCACCATACGGAGAAGAGTCCAGTTCCTTTTCCCTGGGAACCCCCAACCCACACTCTTCATCAGGCAGGTCCCCTGGCTCATGAATGCAGAACAATCACCGCACCCATGGCTGAGCGTACCCACTGGTAGTGGCCTGGAGTTTCCCTAGGGAGAGGCTCCAAGAGGCATATGGCTGTCCCTCTGCCACTGCCACAGCAACAGTTCTATCCCTACTTCCCTCAGCCTGGGGAAGAAACAAAGAGCCTGAGGCCTATACCAAGTTTACAGCACACCACAGTCACCATGTGGAGAAGAGACCAATCTCTCCTCCTAGTGAGCCTTCAACTGCCTTTTTCCCCAGTAAGTGGAACCCCACGCTCATGCCAGCAGTGCAGCCATGCCACCCCACAGACTGAACACTCCCAGTAATAGCTGCTCTGTGTTTCTTGGGGGTGGAGCCCCCAGGGGCAACTAAAAGCCTGTCTGCCATTGCCTCTGATGTGGTACTACCCCTACTACTCTCAGACTAACAAAGGAGCAAGAAAATAAATGCCTTATCCACACTTCCAACAAGCTGCAGTCAACCCAAGGAGACGAGGCCAGTCTGTGTCCCATGGGTCCTGCCCATCCCCCCTGCTCATCACCAAGCAGGGAACCCACAACTTGGGCACAGAGCACACACTCTCTATCCTTGGCTGATTGCACTGTGAAATTGCTGACCTGCATCTCTCTGGGGTGGAGCCCCCAGGAGACAAGCAAAAGGCCCTTGGCCACAACCATTACTAAGGTCCCTTTCTCTGTCCTACTTAGGGAGGAAACATAAACCATGAGATCACCTCAAAGCTGTAGTGGGCAGCCTGGGAGTGCTAAACTGCAATGTACAGCCAACATTCATGTGGGCGAGGAGCCTACACTTTGAGAGCTTTGACAGGGAGCATGGTTGCAACTGTGAGGAAATATAGGGGAGCCACAAGAACTTACCAACTGACCACTACACCTAAGTGTCACCTACAGGATAACATTCGAAAGCTTCAACACCAAAAATATCTTACTGACATACACCCCTGCGAAACCAAAGATGAGAAGTCAGCTACAAATAAAGGCCCTGCACGAAGCCATGGCCTTGTGAAAACATCCAGAAAATAAGTCTATTGAAAGTAAACAATTTACACTGTAGTTAAAGGAACACCTAAACACAGAGGTGAGAAAGAATGAATGCAAGAATTCCAGTAACTCAAATGACCGGAGTGTCTTATGTCCTTCAAACGACCACACTAGATCTCCAACAAGGGTTCTTAACCAGGCTGAATTGGCTGAAATGACAGAAATGGAATTCAGAATATGACTAGGAATGAAGATCATTGAGATTCAGGAGAATGGCAAAACCCAATTCAAGGAAACTAAGAGTCACAATTAAATAATACAGGATCTGACATATGGAATAGCCGGTATAAAAAAGAACCTAACTGATTTGATAGAGCTGAAAAACACATTACAAGAATTTCACAATGCAATTGCAGGGATTAACAGCAAAATAGACCAAGCTGAGGAAAGAAACTCAGAAATTGAAGACTGGCTCTCTTAAATAAGACAGTCAGACAAAAATAAAGAAAAAAGAATGAAAAGGAATGAATAAACCTCTGAGAAATATAGGATTATGTAAGGAGGCCAAATCTACAAATCATTGGTATCCTAGAAAGGGAGAGGGAGAAAGCAGACAACTTGGAAAACATGTTTCAGGCTATCATCCATGAAAACTTCCCTAACCTTGCTAAAGAGGCCAAAAGTCAAATTCAGGAAATACAAAGAACCCCTGGAAGATTCTACATAAGAAGATTATCCCCAAGACACGTAGTCATCAGATTTTCCAAGGTCGAAATGAAAGAATGTTAAAGGCAGCTAGAGAGGAAGGGAAGGTCACCTATAAAGGGAACCCCATCACTCTAACAGCAAATCTCTCAGCAGAAACCCTACATACCAGAAGAGATTGGGGACCTATATTCGACATTCTTAAAGAAAAAAAATCTTTAACCAAGAATTTCATATCCAGCCAAACTAAGTTTGCTAAGTGAAGGAGAAATAAGATCCTTTTCATATAAGCAAATGTTGAGGGAGTTTGTTACAACCAGACCTGCCTTACAAGAGATCTTGAAAGGAGCACTAAATATAGAAAGGAAACACTGTTCCCAGCCAATACAAAAATGTGATTAAGTACACAGACCAGTTACACTATAAAGCAATCACACAAACAAGCCAGCATAATAAACAGCTAACAACACAATGTCATGATCAAATCCACACATATCAATACTAACCTTGAATGTAAATAGGCTAAATGCCCCATTTAAAAGGCACAGAGTGGCAAGCTGAAAAAAAAAAAACATGACTCAATTGTATGTTGTCTTTAAGAGACCCATCTCACATGTAATGGCACCCGTAAGCTCAAAATAAAGGGATGGAGTTAAATCTACCAAGCAAATGGAAATCAGAAAAAAGCAGGTGTTGCAATCCTAATTTCAGACAAAACAAACTTTAAACCAACAAAGATAAAAAAGAAGACAACGAAGTGCATTACATAATTGTAAAGGGTTTAATTAAACAAGTAGACCTAACTGTCCTAAATATAGATGCACCCAACACAGGAACTCCCAGATTCATAAAGCAAGTTATTATCTACCTACAAAGAGACCTAGACTCCCACACAATGATAGTGAAAGACTTCAGTACTCCACTGACAGTATTAGATGATTGGGGCAGAAAATTAATAAATATATCTAGGGCCTGAACTTAACATTCGACCAAATGAAACTAATAGACCTCTAGAGAACTTTCCATCCAAAAACAACAGAATGTACATATGAACAGAATGAAGATCATCGAGATTGAGGAGAATGGCAAAACCCAATTCAAAGAAACTAAGAATCACAAATAAATATTTTTCCTTGCCACATGGCATATACTCTAAAATTGACCACATAATTGGACATAAAACAATCCTCAGCAAATACAAAACAACCAAAATCATACTAAACACACTCTTGGACCACAGCACAATAAAAACAGATGTGAAGACTAAAAAAATCACTCAAAATCATGCAATTACATGGAAATTAAACAATATGCTCCTCAGTGACTTTTGGGTAAATAATGAAATTAAGGCAGAAGTCGAGGGGTTCTTTGAAACTAATGAGAATAAAGATACAACATACCAGAATCTCTGTGACACAGCTAAGGGTGTGTTAAAAGGGTAATTCATAGCGCTAAATGGCCACATCAAAAAGAAAGATCTCAAATTAGTAACCTAATATCACAACTGAAAGAATTAGAGAAGCAAGACCAACCAACCCCAAAGCTAGCAGAAGACAAGCAATAACCCAAATCAGAGCTTAAATGAAGGAAATTGAGACATGAAAAAATCATGCAAAAGATCAATAAATTTGAGTTGTTTTTTGCAAAAATTAATAAGCTAAATAGGTTGCTAGCTAAACTAATAAAGAAGACAAGAGAGAAGATCCAAATAAACACAATTAGAAATGACAAAGGGGACATTACCACTGACCCCACAGAAATAAAGATAACTATCAGAAACTACTACAAACACCTATATACACACAAACTATGAAACCTAGAAGAGAAGGCTATATTCCTGGGTACATACACCCTCCAAAGACTGAACCAGGAAGAAATAGATTCTCTGAACAGACCAATAACAAGCTTCAAAATAGAATCAGTAATAAATAGCCTACTTACAAAAAACAGCCTAGGACCAGACAGATTCACAGCTTAATTCTACCAGATTTACAGAGAGGTCCTGGTGCCAGTTTTGCCAAAACTATTCCAAAAAATTGAGAGGAGGGACTCCTCCACAACTCATTCTGTGAGGCCAGCATTATCCTGATACCAAAACCTGGCAGGGACACAATGGAAAAAGAAAACTTCAACTTAATATCCTTGATGAACAATGCTGGGTATATACTCAGAGGAATGTTGATCATTCTACCATAAAGACATATGCATGCTAATGTTCATTGCAGCACTAGTCACAATAACAAAGACATGGAATCAATCTAAATGCCCATCAATGACAGAATTGGATAAAGAAAATGTGGTACATACTCACTATGGAATACTATGCAGCCACAAAAAAGAACAAGATCATTTCTTTTATGGAACATGGATGGAGCTGGAGGCCATTATTCTTAGCAAACTAATTCAGAAATAGAAAACCAAATACTGCAGTTCTCACTTATAAGAGGGAGTTAAATGATGAGAACTCATGGACATAAAGAGAGGAACAAGAGACACTGGGGCCTAATTGAGAGTGGAGAGTGGGAAGAGAGAAGACCAGCAAAAATAACTAGGCTTAGTACCTGGATGATGAAATAATATGTTCAACAAACCCCCATGACACAAGTTTACCTATATAACAAACGTGTGTATGTACTCCTGAAACTAAAATAAAAGCTAAAAAAAAAAAAACTTTAAAAAATTAGCTAAAGCATTTATATGATAGTAAGTGGATTAATGAATTGCTATAGGGTGCTTACATTTCTTTTCAGAACCCTCTGAAATCTCAGTATGTTTTAATATATTTGAATGTTAAATAATCCTTAATTATCAAGACATCATTGACTTATTAATGAATATTTAATGAATTAAATGATTTAAATACTCTTATTTGAGTTTCTGAGTTAGAAGGCTTACATTTCATCTTTAGCCACTTGAAGTTTTAAGTAGTGAGCATTGAAACCCAACCTTTAACAAATAAAAGATGATATAAGTTGACAGCAGAAACAACACAGCAAACTTTTATTTTTTAAGGCACCTGTGATGCATCATACAGTGTTATATTCTAGTATTGGTCATATGTTGCCAATTGCTGTGACTTCTCTGTTACACAAGATGTCATAAGCCATTGTGCCAATTTGGAAATTAGGAAAATGCACTTACTAAAAATATCTGAAGAAATAATATTAACAGACACAACATTTTCAATATTTAGCAAGTTCTGTTGTTAAGTGGAGATGTAATCGATATCTTATATTGTACTAGTTTCCTGTGACTGTTCTAACAAATGATCACAAATTTGGTGGCTTAGAACAGCAGAAATTTATTCTGTCAATTCGGGAGCTCAGAAGTCCAAAATCAGTATCATTAAACAAAATCAAGGCATTGAAAGTATTGGTCTCTATCTGGAGGCTGTAGGAAAAAATCTGTTTCTTGCCTCTTCCATCTTTTGGTGGCTGCTAGCATTCCTTGGCTTGTGGGCACATCACTCCAATCTTGAAGGTTAGTATCTTTATTTTTTTAATTTTTCACTTTAATTTTTTTGTTAGATGCTAAAGCACAACAATTTAAATTTATTTTTTAAAAATTCAGCTTTTATTTTAGATACAGGGGAACATGTACAAATTATTATATGGACGTATTGTGTGATGCTGAGGTTTGGGTATGGATTCTGTCACCCAGATGGTGAGCATAGTACCCAATAGGTAGTTTTTCAACCCATGTCCCCCTTCCTTCCTCACCCCTCTAGTAGTCCACAGTGTCTATTTTTGCCATCTTTATGTCCATGAGTACCCAGCATTTAGCTCTTACTTATAAGTGAGAACATTTGGCATTTGGTTTTCTGTTCCTATGTTAATTTACTTAGGATAATGGCCTCCAGCTGCATCCATGTTGCTGCAAAGAACGTGATTTCATTCTTTTTTTATGGATGCATAGTATTCTATGGTGTATATATACCACATTTTCTTTATGCAATCCTCTACTGGGGACACCTAGGTTGAGTCCATGTCTTTGCTATTGTGAATAGCATGGTGATAAACATGCCATTGCATGTATCCTTTTGTTAGAATGATTTATTTTCCTTTGGGTATATACTCAGTCATGTGATTGCTGGGTTGCCTGGTGGCTTTGTTTTAAGTTCTTTGAGAGATCCCCAAATTGCTTTTCATATTTGTTGAACTACAATAATTTGCATGCCTAACAACAGTGTAGAAGCATTCTTTTTTTCCCCACAACTTTGCCATTATCTGTTATGTTTTGACTTTTTAATAACAGCCATTCCGACTGGTGAGATGGTGTGTCATGATGGTTTTGCTTTGCATTTCTCTGATGATTAGTGATGATGAGCATACAAGTGGCCAAGAAACATATAAGAAAAGGCTTGCATCTTTAAATCTCTCTCTGCTCTGTCTTTACATTGCCTCTTTTTCTGTTGCTAGTCAAATATTTCTCTTTCTCCCTCTTAAAAGTACACTTGTAATTGCATTTAGAGTCTACCTGGGTAATCCAGAAAAAGCTTTCCATCTCAAGAACCTTAATCATTTATGCAAAGATCCTTTTTTCTTTATGGATAACATTTATAAGTTCTAGATATTAGGACCTGATATTTTGGGGGCCACCATCAGCCTATCACAATAACCTAACACAGCTTTCTAAGGAAAGATAAGGGGTAATTTGATTTTTGGCAATAACAGCCAACATTTTCATTTGAAATCTTCCTAATGGAACCTTTTAATAATGGAAAGAATGATTTGATGTAACTTACTGAACTAAGCTTAAAGCTGTGCTTGAAAGTTATGCCCAGTTAGCTATATGCACATTGTAAAATGATGCTTTTCAGACTTTTATCCCTTGGAAAATTAATGGGTTAAAAGGACATTCAAGTGTAGTAGGCTATTATTCTACTTTCAAATGTTTTAACATGCTGGGATTATGATCTCAGTACAAAAATTAATTCTAGGAAAAGCAACATGCTATCAAGCTATTCAATTTCTTTTTTTTTGTTTTTTGTTTTTTTGGTACAAAATAAGCATCAACTTTTATTGTCAGAATTTTAAGTCATAGATATGCATGTCATATGCACCTATAGGCCTCCCGATGGCGAGATTATTTTTAGAAATTGTCTTTTCTTATTTCTTATTGATTATAGCAATTACAATCCAACTAACAGATGATTAATACTGAGGAATGTTAGAGGAGTGACATTTACTTTAAGTAAAATTTTAATTGAATTATAATATACATACAGAAAAATGCAAAAAATCTTAAGTGTGCAGTTTGATGAATCTTCACAGTGTATGAACCTATATAAACAGCCCCCAGATTGGGAATATATTAGTAGTACCCTAAGAAGTTCTTCTTGTGCTCCCTTTCAACCACTGTGCCCCCTCTGACTTTAACTGCTACATTCATTTTCATTGGTGTATAATATTCTGTTTTATGAATATACCATATTTTGTTTATCCATTCTCTTGATGAATGACATTTTTTGTTTACAGTTTTAGGATATTACAAATTGTGCTTGTATGAACATTTTGTTCATACTCTGGTATATATCTTTATGGATATCTGTGACTATAAACTTAGAAGTGAACATGCTGGGTCATAGGGTATGAGTGTGTACAGTTTTAGTGTGTACTGCCAAACAGCTACATAGACATTGTATCATTCTCAAGTGTCACCAGTAGTGTATGAGCATTCCTGTTGCTCCGTAAACTCATAAATATTTACTGTCAGTCTTTTTAATTTTAGCCAAAGTGGTAGGTGGGTGATATCACATTTTTGAGCTTGATTTGCATTTCTCTGATGACAGATGAGATTGAATACTTTTTCATATCCATGTAGATTATTTAGATTTCTTCTGTGAAGTGCCAGTTGAGTCATTTGCTCTTTTTTTTCTATTGGGCTGTTTTCTTCTTCTTTTTTTAAAAAACTTGATTTGTAGTTGATGCAAGTTCTTTTTTTTTTTTTTGGTCACCCAGGCTGGAGTGCAGTGACGTGATCTCAGCTCACTGCAAGCTCTGCCTCCCAGGTTCATGCCATTCTCCTGCCTCAGCCTCCCGAGTAGCTGGGACTACAGGCACCCACCACCACGCCCGGCTAATTTTTTTTTTTTTTGTATTTTTAGTAAAGACAGGGTTTCGTCGTGTTAGCCAGGATGGTCTCGATCTCCTGACCTTGTGCTCCGCCCACCTTCGCCTCCCAAAGTACTGGGATTACAGGTGTGAGCCCACGTGCCCAGCCAGTTGATGCAAGTTCTTTGTTGGGTATATGTGTTGCTAATATCTTCCCCCTCTGTAACTTGCCTTTTCATTTTATTAGTTGTGTCTTTTGGTTATCAAGAGTTCTTAATTTTATAGTAGTTCAATTTATCAATCTTTTATTTCATGATTAGCACATTTGTGTCCTATTTAAGTACCTTTGCTTACTCCAAGGTCATAAGATTGTTTTGCAGATTTATCTTCTAGAAGCTTTATTTTAAACTTTCACATTCAGCTTTATAATTCATCTGGAATTGATTTTGCATAGGGTGTGAAGTGAGGACAAGTTTTAATTTTCTGTATGGGTATGGAAACATCCATATTTATGTATACACTATAGTGTTATCATATGCATAATTGAGAGACCATATATGTGTGAGTTAATTTTGTTTTGTAAAACATTTGTTGAGTGCCTAGTAAGTGCCAGGGGTTGTGTTTAGTACTGAGAATATGGATGTAAATAATAGAGATTCTTTTTTCTGAAGATAGTCTTGGTTGAGTGGGGAAGATAATAAGTTGAATCATAATGAAAAATACGGTAATCATATAAAGAACTATATGTGGTGAGGGAAAGGAATGCATTCTTTGTGAGGAGATGAGGAAATCTGTCCTAGAGAAGGCAGCATTTGAGCTGGGTCTTGAAAAATGAATAGGAATTTGATAAATGCATTCCATGTTAGAGAGAAAAATACATAAAAAGACACAGGATTGTCAAAGGACAGGTGTGTTCATGAAATAATGAGAGGTTCACAGTTGAAGGAGCAGTGTGCAAGAAGATAAGAGGGAGAAGGAAAAGGGAGGAAACTAGAACATTGTAAACCATGAGGACTGCATGTGTAAAATTAAGTAATTATAAAAAACATGGCTTATTTGTCAAATGGTGAGAAATTCAGTATGGCTAGAAGATAGATTGTGTTTGCATGGGAAAGAAGTGAGAGAGGAGGACCAGGAGAGGAATGAGGAGTGAATGGAGATGAGTGTGAGAGTTGGGTTGGATTTTATCCTAGAGAAAACTCGTGAGAAGGAGAGTTCTCAGACAGGAAGCAGCATAATCAGATTTGGTTTTTAGGAAGATGACTTTTTAATAACTTGGAGGATAGATTAGTAGGGGGCAGATTGGAAGATGGAAATATGTTAAGAGATATGAGGTTTGGCCAAGGTGTGGCAGTGGTGATGGTGCCAGATGTGGAGCTAGTCTGTTATATAGGAATGAGGTCTTGGTCACTATGAAAGGTGAGGAATCAACAGGTGTGACAGATGACTCCAGAGTTTATAGTTTAAGAGACTGAATAAATGGCCTGCCATCAACTGATAAAAGAAATATTAGAAGGAGGAGGTTTGGTGATAACAAATAATTAAGATATGAACTTTTTAAGTTTCAGATGCTAGTGGAATAAGTAGTTGGAGATATTCAGGAAGAGTTGAGAATATGTATGCGGAATGCAACAAGGAGATCAGGTCCATAAATATATATTGGAGAATCGCCAGCATGTAAAAGTTAGTTAAAGCTTTTAACATTTTTAGTTGTGAAACATTCTAAATATAAGTTTGAATATTGTGTAGTTTAGATCATGACTATTGTAGTAGACAGAATAATTCTAAGCCCCAAGATTCCCTCCTTATGGTGTGCATGCCCTGTCTTATCCTCTGGACTTGAGGGTAGATGGATCTGTGAATATGATGGGTTATCACTCCAATGATTAGGTTACTAATCAGCAGACTTTTAGTTAATTCAAAAGAGATTATCCCAGGCATGGCCTGATTTATTCAGGTAAACCCTTAAAAGTGACTGAGCCTTTCCAGAAAAAGATTCTCCTACCAGCCTTGAAAAAGGAAGCTGCCATGTTTTCAAAGAGGGCCATGTGGCTAGGACCTGAGGATGGCCTTTAGGAGTGAAGAGTGATCTCTGGCTGACAGCTAGCAAGATAACAGGAACTTCACTCATAAAACTGCAAGGTAGCGAATTCTCCCAACAACCAGAGAGTTTGGAAAAGGATCACAAGGATGAGAAGGCATCCCTGGATGACAGCTTGATTTTATCCTGGTGAGATCCTGAGCAGACGATCCAGACAACACGTAGCTGGACACCTGATTTACAGAAACTGTTGGATAATAAGTTTGTGTTGTTTGAAGTTTGTAGTAATTTGTAATGCAGCAATGGAAAACAAATACAACTTTAAATTCCTAACTATAAAAAATTACTTTATCTCTACCTTATTTCCCTTCTCATTATTTAACTGTTATATTAATTTTAGTTCTTCAAATGTTTAATTTTATTTGTTTAACCTTTTCTGCTTCTATTTATTGTACTTTCAAACTTACGTCAGTGTTGTGATTCCTGTTAATGTGACAGGATATTAGCAATTCTACTCTTCCTTCTTCCCAGTTGCTACCTTTCACCTGGAGTGAGACTGCTGGTGAGAGAAACCTGGCTCATATTTAGGGCATCTGGGGACATGCAGTTGTACAATTGATGAAACGATTGTGTAATAAAAATGCAATGCACCTGCTCAGAGTGAATTCTTATTAGGTAAAAGTCCATAAGCAATATGAGGTAATTGAAACAGGATGCATGCTTTATTTGCTAGTTGATAAAACTCAGCGGAGCCTTTCAGCGATGATCTACTCTGCCTTGAAACCATCACCTGAGATGATCAGGGAAGACAAGTAAAACCTGCCAGGAAAAGGCTAAAATAGGCTAAGGAAATTAAGTATAGAAACTCTGCTTAGGCAGCTCAGAGATAATTTATCTGATGTCAAGAGACTTAGTGAAGTTTAATTTAATGTTGGGAAGATAAGAAGCAACAGCTCCATTAATTGGCAACTACCAGCATCATCAGATTTCCTGATCCTCTTCAATCTGCTTGTATCATTTGCTGTTAAAGAAGCCACATTTTACAGGGATCTTTGGAAGCATGCTAATAATGTCCTGCAATACCACCTTCCATGTATTCCAAGTTACTACCATTAAATTTAGTCTTTTCTATGACCAAAATTGTGTGTTTTGGGTTTCGTTTTAGTTTGACTCTAAAGGTAGAAAAACCATAAACAGCATTTCTTTTCTTTTTTTTTTTTTTTGTGACAGATGTCACAAAAGGCTGGAGTGCAGTGTCACCCAGGCTGGAGTGCAGTGGCATGATCTCAGCTCACTGCAACCTCAGTCTGCCAGATTCAAGAGATTCTCATGCCTCCAGCCTCCTGAGTAGTTGGGATTAGAGGTGTGTGCCACTATGCCTGGCTAATTTTTGTATTTTTTAAAAATAGAGATGGGGTTTCACCATGTTGGCCAGGTTCATCTTGACTCCTGACCTCAAGTGATCTGCCCACCTTGGCCTCCCAAAGTGTTGGGATTACAGGTGTGAGCCGTCACACCCGGCCCATAAACAGCATTTCTAATGTTATGACTGTATCATTGTTTTTGAGTTGCAAGTAGAATAAACCAATTTTAGATAAGCAAAAGGAATTATTTTTTGGTGGGGGATGGAGGATGGGTCTCAGAGTCCCTGGAATGGATGGAAAGTTTAGAGAACCAGGCTCAGAAACAGGGTGCTATCACTGTAGTAAATTTATGGTCGATTTAAGTCATAGGGTGGGGAGCTCGATAGGTTCCACCTACAGCCATAGGAGGAACGAGAGGATAGGTAGAGGAAGACTCTATCTCTCAGAAAGACTCTTTAGGATTTGATAGATTCCTTTCAAGGGTTGGGGGCCGGATATCTTGAGTACAGTTCCACCAGGAATGTACCCTGTGAAAGGGAAAGACTTACTTAAAGAAAACGGATGAATTGTTAGGAAGCATGCTTGGATGTCAGGCAGTGAAACAAAATGTATGCTGAGGATCACATGCTGTCTAACATTAACAAGCCTGAGCAGAATCTAGGTCTTTTCAGGGCCGTAAAATGTTGAAAAGGGATAGGGGAGGAAGGAGGGACGTCATCAAACACTGAAGCTATACTGAAAAAGTTATGTCACCATTCACGAAGCAAGATCAGAAAAGCACCTCAAAGGATACATCTAGGAGTTTAGACTTTTCTGCTTTAAAATGGTTACATTCAAAATAGTGAAGAGAGATGGGAGAATATTTCAAAGTATTTCTGCTTGGCTACAAAGTGTTTTCTTTTTTTTTATATTTATTATACTTTAAGTTTTAGGGTACATGTGCACAACCTGCAAGTTTGTTACATATGTATGTATACATGTGCCATGTTGGTGTGCTGCACCCATTAACTCGTCATTTAACATTAGGTATATCTCCTAATGCTATCCATCCTCCCTCCCCTCACCCCGCAGCAGGCCCTGGTGTGTGATGTTCCCCTTCCTGTGTCCATGTATTCTCATTGTTCAATTCCCACCTATGAGTGAGAACATGTGGTGTTTGGTTTTTTGTCCTTGCGGTAGTTTGCTGAGAATGATGGTTTCCAGCTTCATCCATGTCCCTGCAAAGGACATGAACTCATCCTTTTTTATGGCTGCATAATATTCCATGGTGTATATGTGCCACATTTTCTTAATCCAGTCTATCATTGTTGGACATTTGGATTGGTTCCAAGTCTTTGCTATTGTGAATAGTGCTGCAGTAAACATACATGTGCATGTGTCTTTATAGCAGCATGTTTTATAATCCTTTGGGTATATACCCAGTAATGGGATGGCTGGGTCAAATGGTATTTCTAGTTCTAGATCCCTGAGGAATCGCCACACTGACTTCCACAATGGTTGAACTAGTTTACAGTCCCACCAACAGCGTAAAAGTGTTCCTATTTCTCCACATCCTCTCCAGCACCTGTTGTTTCCTGACTTTTTAATGACTGCCATTCTAACTGGTGTGAGATGGTATCTTGTTGTGGTTTTGATTTGCATTTCTCTGATGGCCAGTGATGATGAGCATTTTTTCATGTGTCTTTTGGCTGCATAAATGTCTTCTTTGGAGAAATGTCTGTTCATATCCTTCACCCACTTTTTGTTGGGGTTGTTTGTTTTTTTCTTGTAAATTTGTTTGAGTTCATTGTAGATTCTGGATATTAGCCCTTTGTCAGATGAGTAGATTGCAAAAATTTTCTCCCATTTTGTAGGTTGCCTGTTCACTCTGATGGTAGTTTCTTTTGCTGTGCAGAAGCTCTTTAGTTTTAATTAGATCCCATTTGTCAATTTTGTCTTTTGTTGCCATTGCTTTTGGTGTTATAGTCATGAAGTCCTTGCCCATGGCTATGTCCTGAATGGTAATGCCTAGGTTTTCTTCTAGGATTTTTATGGTTTTAGGTCTAATGTTTAAGTCTTTAATCCATCTTGAATTAATTTTTGTATAAGGTGTAAGGAAGGGATCCAGTTTCAGCTTTCTACATATGGCTAGCCAGTTTTGCCAGCACCATTTATTAAATAGGGAATCGTTTCCCCATTTCTTGTTTTTGTCAGGTTTGTCAAAGATCAGATAGTTGTAGATATACAGCATTATTTCTGAGGGCTCTGTTCTGTTCCATTGATCTATATCTCTGTTTTGGTACCAGTACCATGCTGTTTTGGTTACTGTAGCCTTGTAGTATAGTTTGAAGTCAGGTAGCATGGTGCCTCCAGCTTTGTTCTTTTGGCTTAGGATTGACTTGGCAATGTGGGCTCTTTTTTGGTTCCATATGAACTTTAAAGTAGTTTTTTCCAATTCTGTGAAGAAAGTCATTGGTAGCTTGATGGGGATGGCATTGAATCTATAAATTACCTTGGGCAGTTTGGCCATTTTCACGATATTGATTCTTCCTACCCATGAGCATGGAATGTTCCTCCATTTGTTTGTATCCTCTTTTATTTCATTGAGCAGTGGTTTGTAGTTTTCCTTGAAGAGGTCCTTCTCGTCTCTTGTAAGTTGGATTCCTAGGTATTTTATTCTCTTTGAAGCAATTGTGAATGGGAGTTCACTCATGATTTGGCTCTCTGTTTGTCTGTTATTGGTGTATAAGAATGCTTGTGATTTTTGTACATTGATTTTGTATCTTGAGACTTTGCTGAAGTTGCCTATCAGCTTAAGGAGATTTTGGGCTGAGACGATGAGGTTTTCTAGATAAACCGAATCCAGCAGGACATCAAAAAGCTTATCCACCATGATCAAGTGGGCTTCATCCCTGGGATGCAAGGCTGGTTCAACATACGCAAATCAATAAACGTGGTCCAGCATATAAACAGAACCAACAACAAAAACCACATGATTATCTCAATAGATGCAGAAAAGGCCTTTGACAAAATTCAACAACACTTCATGCTAAAAACTCTCAATAAATTAGGTATTGATGGGATGTAACTCAAAATAATAAGAGCTATCTATGACAAACCCACAGCCAATATCATACTGAATGGGCAAAAACTGGAAGCATTCCCTTTGAAAACTGGCACAAGACAGGGATGCCCTCTCTCACCACTCCTATTCAACGTAGTGTTGGAAGTTCTGGCCAGGGCAATCAGGCAGGAGAAGGAAGTAAAGGGTATTGAATTAGGAAAAGAGGAAGTCAAATTGTCCCAGTTTGCAGAAGACATGATTGTATATCTAGAAAACCCCATTGTCTCAGCCCAAAATCTCCTTAAGCTGATAGGCAACTTCAGCAAAGTCTCAGGCTACAAAGTTTTTTCTATCTGATTTGATTAATTTCAGATTTCAGTGTCTGGAATATTACTAAAATATTATTTCTCTTAACTTGTGACTACATAATCAATACTGTCTATCCCTGATTAAATAAAATATGAGACTTACTCTGTTTTATTCTCCAATTGCTCTCTGACCAGAAACCACGAGGAGGGTAGATTGCTCTCATTATTTTTAACCATACTGTTTTTCTCAAGTTTGTTGACTGCTTTGTTTTAGGGTTGCAGAAAGAGCTATTTGGATTCCGGAATCCTGAAGTTAACAAAATATATAGGAAATGACTTTCTGAATTTCTAAGAGCTTTTTTTTTTTTTTTTGATATTAGCTCTTCACTGGGATGATTAAAGCTGATAATTGGGAACTGCCTTGATACTTTAGTAAGAACATCCTCTTGCCTCACTTAACATGAAAGTGGATTTCTTAGCTGTAACTTGAATAGCAGTATTTCTCCTTCCCTTCATTTAGCTAGTCAGGTCTTTGGCATAAGTTTCCTTAGAAGGAAGGTGGATACTGAAGAGGGGGATGCCTTCTTTCAGATGTTATGAACATCCAGTGGGGATGTGGTTGTGTTGTAAGCCTGAAAATTGTTTACCAGAAGGCTAATGTGATTGAATTCTCAATTATCACTTTAAAAAATAATTATGTGGTCAACTGCTATTTGAAAAAAGAAAATATTCTCAAATTAGATTTTTATTCCCATTTAAAAATAGAACTGTTTCATAATTGCTCAAGAAAAATGAAGCCTTTATGATTTCTTTAGGCATATGCAAAACTAGGGGCAAAAGACTGAGTAGTTTTATGTAATTGTGCTCATTTAAAAATAAGTAAAAGTTTAGTAAAATAATATCTAACTTTATTTTAATGTTCTAGACTTTACAGCTTTATAATCCAATTTATAGTGCCTATGTAGAAATTTGTTTCAGTAATTTTTGGGGGAAAAGTAAAAGTTATTTTGGAGATGGAAGAAGAGAACCCATTCCTTCTTTAGCTGTCCCCTCTTACTTTTGTGACTTTCTTCTTCCTGAGCCAATTTTTATTTTCCCTTTAGAGAAAAGAATGACCTTCAGGTCATCCTTAATTTCTCTTTCTGCCTCATCTCCCACCGTGATCAACTGCCTCATAAATATCAAATATCTCTGGGATCCATTCCATTCTTTCCATTCCCACTGCCCAAGTTCAGACTTACATGACCTCTTTTGATGACAACTATGACAATTTCCGGGCTCAGCTTCTTCCATCTCAATCCACATTTTCTTTCTTTCTCTCTTTTTTTTTTTTTTTTGAGATAGAGTCTTGCTCTGTTGCCCAGGCTGGATTGCAGTGGCGCCATCTTGGCTCACTGCAACCTCTGCCTCCCAGGTCCAAGTGGCAATCTGCATTTTCCATTGGTACCAGAGTTTTTATTCAAAAATGCAAAATGCATTTGCTTAAAACACTTCGGCAATTCCATCTCAATTGTGGAATGAAACCCAAACTTAGTTTGGAACATGAGGACCTCTAAGATACACCTCCAGTGCTCTTTTCTATCTTTCTCACTGACCACTTCAACCCACATACATTCTGCAATACTGCACTTTTTGTAGTTTTCTGAATACTTGCTTGTCTTTAAAACCTTTTTGCCTTTTCCTGTTTCTCTGATGTAATGTACTCCATCCTCCATTGTTCCCCTAGCACACTCTTGTTGAGGCATTCCTTCTCTTTGATGCCTTCTGATGCTCCCAGCAAAATCAGTCACCCTCTATTGTATTACCTTTGCATATATTGTGTTCTCCCTCTTTTTTGTTACCTTTGTATTTGCTTTTTGTTTAGAACTGACTACTATTTTATAATTATTCATTTACTCCTCTGTTTTCCTATTTGCCTCTCAGTTTCTTGGAAGTAGAGGCTCCGGCCTAGCAGCTAGCTCCAGACTTATCATGAATTAGGTGGGAATAACTGTAGATTTTTAAGGATATATATTGGCACTCATTTTCTAATAATAAAGCTGCCATTTTTGTTCCTGAAACCAAGCCGGGTCCAGCTGTGTTTTCTCGAGGCCCAATAATGAGAAGCTGACAACTAGGAAAGAAGGGAATTTATTGCTGTAACCGGATACAGGGAGAAGGCCAGAGATAATTCCACAAGACCAACTCAAAGTATTACAATTTTCTTAGAGCTTATATAGGCTGGGGTTATGTGCCTACATGCAGTATAGCATTCGCCTAAGTCTACTGGTAACTAATTTTGTTTCAACTAGAAGGTCAAAGGCAAAAAATGCTTGCTAAGTCCAGTTAAGCCCCAGTACCTTCAAGGCCTGTCTACTATGGTACCAGAGTGATTATTTCTATTTTATCTCCTTTACAGCTTGGTCTGAAGAGCTGCCTTAGACTCTCCAATGAGTCTATTCAAACGGCTGCTTCTGTTACCTTGACTTGCCTCAGATTTCATCGACCTGGGAAGGGTCCTGGCACTAGGAATGGAAGACTGTCTCTATTATTTTGGCTTGTTTCAGGTTAGGGAGAAGCCCCTGCAAGGCTCCTACTGACCATATGTTTCGTTTCTAGATTTGATGTCTGGGCACTGATTTCCCTAGGTTTAACTATTTGCTCAATGTTAAGGCAGGGCTGTGGAAATATGTCTGTGTAACTGGAGTGCTATGTAAGCGTGTCTGTGTGATTGTCAGGGAGAATTGGCCTGCCACAATTTTTTTCTCCAGTGTCAGATACTGTGCTGGGTTCTTTAAATTTTTTTGTTTCTAATCTGTAGAACAAATACTTGCAGAAAAAGCTAAAACACTTGCATTTAACAAATGAAAACATTGAAGCTTGAAGCTAAATTATTAAGTAACTTTCCTAAAATTATACTGTTATTAAGGGGGCAGGGCCAGAAAAATCTAAGTTAAATTCATTTGATTTCCAAATCCATGTTTTCTCTATATCATGGTTCCTTCCCCGCTCCTTGGTGTTGATGAACTAGGAATATAAATCATTTTGAGTCCTAGTTCTTTATGTGTAACAACACACTGTGTAAATGTGCAACATTGAGTATCGTATACTATACATATTTGTAATCTATTGGTGTGTTACAGATTAATTCCAAATTCAATCTTATCTTACAATCCTGAAAGTTGGGAATCTGGGCACAGTTTAGTGGGTGCTTGAGGCCTCTCGTAAGATTTCAGTCCAACTGTTGGCCAGGCTGCCGGCTCACTGCCAAGCTCACTCATGTGATTGTTGGCAGGATTCAGTTCTCATAGGCTTTTGGATTGAGGGCCTCAGTTCCTCACTGGCTGTTGGCTGGAGGCCTCTTTCAATTCCCTGCCAATTGAGTCTCTCTCTAGGACAGCCCTCATCATACAGCCGGTTTCCCTCAAAATGAGCGAGAGAGGAAGAGTGAGAACCCATGACAGAAGCCACAGTCTTTATAATGTAATCTTGGAAGTGACATTGCATTACTGCTGAATGGAATCCATATTCTATTCATTAGAAGTCAGTCAGTAGTTCAGGCCACAGTCAAAGGGAGGGGATTACAGAGGGATGTTAGTGCTAAGACATGGGGATCATTGGGACTTATCTTAGAGGCTGCCAACCGCACAAGCAAATGAAAGCGTTCACTCTTAAGGGCAGAAGACTATATCATAGAAAGATGTATTCAAAGCTTTTCTAGAATAATGCAATGTTGGCTTTATCATGTTATATGTAGGACAGCTGCACATATATATATATATTTTTAAAAATTTCTGTTAAAACTTTTTAATATGGCTATATTCTGCATGTGGTAAAATTATAGCAATAGACCTACTTTTATACGCACTGTTATCTATATGAGATAATCAGACAGTTCTATCTCTCTTCTAATGCTCACTTAAAACACAAAAGATGTTGATGAGCAAATGCAGTGGAGTGGCCCAAATGTACTGTCTTTAGGGATTTTATTTTTTTAAGTTAGACATACCATTAAAAGGCTGGGTGCATCTAGAGAATTACAATTAGCGATCAGGAAGTTGTAGAATAATTTTGTAGATTTTAAAATGAGGACTACACACTGAATATATCATCTGTATAACTTTATAGTACTACCTGATATATTTTGGCAGTTATTGATGAAGTCTAAAATTTTAATCACTGATAAATATATTTTATAGGTTTATAAGGAACACAGGGACAGATGAATTATTCTTACAGGAGTTTGAGACCAGCCTGGCCAACATGGTGAAACCCTGTCTCTACTAAAAATACAAAAATTAGCCAGGCATGGTAGCACATGCCTGTAATCTCAGCTACTCAGGAGGCTGAGGCAGGAGGATCACTTGAACTTGGGAGGCAGAGGTTGCAGTAAGCCAAGATCACGCCACTGCACTCCAGCCTGGGTGACAGAGCTAGACTCTGTCTCAAAAAAAAAAAGGAAAGAAAATTAAATTATTTTAAAGCTGGTGATTCAAAGTAATAAATAGTTGGATCCAATATATTTTTCCCTGAAGTTTTACCTTTATTTTAGAAATGTGAGCTTAAAGGAGGAAAACAAGAAGAGAGAGGCATGTAGTGTAGTGGTTAGAAACATAGATGCAGGAGTTTGCAGCCTAGGTTTCATACTTTTGTCATGTGGCTTTGAGTGAGTTACTAAATTTCTTTGTGCCTCATCTTAAAATGGGAATAACTGTATATGGTTGTTATGATTAAATTTATTCATATGTCAAATATGCTTAGAAGAGTGCCTTGTATATTATAAGCCTAATGTAACTATTTTTGCTGCTGCTGCTGATTACTGTTATGTTCTATTGTTCTATATACCCCTAGCAGACTATAGTATCCATTCATCCTTAGCAGTTTGTCTGCCAAGTAATATTTTCTTCTTGGTTCACACTAGAGACCTAGATTACCTCAGGGATGAACATATTTAACTCAAAATGCCTTTGATAATAATGCTAAGTACTAAAATTACCCAAATTGTAATTTTTAGAGTGATAAATGTCAGCTTAAAATGTTATTCATTTTATTGTTTATTTAGTATGAACTTTGCATATGTAGGTTGTAGAGGTTCATTTATAACATCTGATAACTTCCAGCAAATCAAAGGACCTGATTCAATGGTAAAATACTTTGAATAAGGAACTCTAGATTTTTAGTATGCTGAACATTTTTAAGCTCCTAATTTAGAAAAATTAGAACAGCTGTCCTCAACATTGGATTTGTGGGTGTATAGTTTTCTAGACCTGCTGTAAGAAAATACTAGAGGCTGGGTGGCATAAACAACAGAAATTAATTTTCTCATAGTTCTGGAGGCTAAAAGTCCAAGATCAAGGTGTTGCCAGGTTTAGTTTTCCTGAGGCCTGTCTCCTTAGCTTGCAGTTGGCTGCCTTCTTATGGTGTCCTCACGTGGCCTTTCCTCATGTGCTTCCCTGGTGTCTCTTCCTCTTAAAAGGACATCAGTCATATCATATTAGGGACCCCACCCTAAAGGCCTCATTTTAACTTAACCACTTTTAAAAAGACTATCTTCAAATATGGTTACATTCTGAGGTACTGGGGGGTTGGGATTACAACATATGAATTTTAGGGGGATGCAGTTCAAATCATAAAAGTGAGTGTACCATCAAGAAGTAAAGTCTCAAAAATGACTGCTGTTTAAAACATAAATTTTACAGTCAGAACATTAATTTGCTACCAAGAAAGACTTAATGAAATAATCACTTTAAATAGCTAATTTCACCATATTCATAAAATTTAAATAACATTTTATATACTAGTCATATAAAGAAAGTTAATAGTAATTCATTATTTTATTTTCCAAGTATTTATTGTACACCTTCTATGAGTCAGTCTGAAGATCTTTCTTAAGCATTTCTTGTAATTCAGGTCTGCTAGCAACAAACTCTCTTAGTTTTTGTGTATGACACAGCTTTTATTTCACCTTCATTTTTAAAAAATAGTTTTACTGGATATAGGATTCTTGATTGACAGATTATTTTTAATTTCAGTACTTTGCATCATTCCACTGCCTTCTGTCCTAATTGTTTATGATGCAAAGTCAGCTGTTAATCTCACTGTGACCTCCTTGAATGTAATGAGTCATTTTTCTCTTGTGATTTTTAAGACTTTCTCTTTGTTTTTGTCTTTTAACGTTTTGCTATGATATGTCTGAGGGTGGATATTTTTGTGTTTATCCTGCTTGGAGTTTGTTGACTATCTTGGTTGTGGAAATTTGTGTTTTTCATCAAATTTGATAAGTTTTTAGCCATATTTCTTTGAATTTTTTTCTGTTCTTTCTCTCTCTCCTCTCTTTCTGGTTCTTCCAGTGTGCGTTTGTTGGTGGGCTTAATGGTATTCCACATTTCTCTTAGGCTTTGTTCATTTTCCTTCATTTTTTTTTCTGTCATAATATTTCCAGAGTGTATAATTTCTATTAATCTGTCTTCAAATTTACAGATTATTTTATCTCTCAACTTAAATTTACTTTTGGGCCCCTCTAGTTAATTTTTTATTTCAGTAGTTTTCAACTCTAGAATTTCCATTAAAAATAATTTCTGTCTGTTTGTTGGTATTATCTATTTGATGAATCACTGTCATTATACATTAAAAAATCATTTGAACATGGTTTCCTTTAGTTCTTTTCACATATTTATAATGGGTGCTTTAGAAATATTTGCCTGCTAAGTCCAATATCTGGGCCCTTCAAAGACAGTTTCTGTTGCCTCCAATTTTTTTGGTTTGGTCACACTTTTTCTCTTTCTTTGCATGTGCCATAATTTTTTCTTGAAAAATTGGACATTTAAGATACTGTATTGTGACAACTCTGGATACTATCTCTCTCTTTTATTTTCTAAGAATTATTTTGGTTGTTTCTTTGGTCATTTATTTGCTTGGTGACTTCTCTGGACTAGTTTTATGATGCATATTTTCTTTGCAGCATGAAGTTTCTAATGTTACTGTTCAGATTTTTGTTTGGTTTTTATCTTTTAGTGTGCCTCTTTAGGGGATGCCTTTGTCTCTTTATAAAACACTAGCCAAAGACATGTGTGTGGCTACTAAAACAGTGCAGGTACTTTACAATTTGGTCCTGCATTCAGCCATTGACTAGTAGCTTAGAGGTTCTGTCTGTGGTTGCTTCTGAGAGGGCACAGCCTTTGGCAGGCACAGTTTTTCAAATCACCAGGGATGAGTGTGATTATATTTTTCAGTTTGATTTCCTAGGAGTCACCACTAAGTCGGTATAACTTATTGTTCAGTAAGTGTTTGATCAGAGTTGTACTTAAGCCCTGTGAGCAAGTAAGGATTCTGTATTATATTGACGGATCTATGTGTGTTGTTTGTGAAATTCTTTCAAGTGTTCCCCATATCCTACTCCGATTAGTACTGAGTGGGTGCAGCCTAATACATGTGAACAGACTTCTGGATCTCCAGGGGTGAGTGCGATCCCAAAAAGGCTCTTGGCTGTCTCTTTTCCTGGTTCTCTCTGTTAAATTTTTGGCTAATTTGCCATTTCATTTGTTGCTACTGATATCACAGAGCTCCCCACCTTAACTGTTAATCACCAAAATCTCCATTGTTCCTGGGAGTGCCTTTAGGAATGAATTTCTCCAGGCTTTTTCCAAATAAAGTCATTCCTCTCAGTCAGAGCTTCAGAGCTCTTCATTCTTTTTTTTTTTTTTTTGAGATGTTAGAAATCTCTACACTTTATTTTTTTTTATTATTATACTTTAAGTTTTAGGGTACATGTACACAATGTGCAGGTTAGGTGATTTCTCAGGGATCTAGAACTAGAAATACCATTTGACCCAGCCATCCCATTACTGGGTATATACCCAAAGGACTATAAATCATGCTGCTATAAAGACACATGCACACGTATGTTTATTGTGGCACTATTCACAATAGCAAAGACTTGGAACCAACCCAAATGTCCAACAATGCTAGACTGGATTAAGAAAATGTGGCACATATACACCATGGAATACTATGCAGCCATAAAAAATGATGAGTTCATGTCCTTTGTAGGGACATGGATGAAATTGGAAATCATCATTCTCAGTAAACTATCGCAAAAACAAAAAACCAAACACCGCGTAGTCTCACTCATAGGTGGGAATTGAACAATGAGATCACATGGACACAGGAAGGGGAACATCACACTCTGGGGACTGTTGTGGGGTGGGGAGGGGGGAGGGATAGCATTGGGAGATATACCTAATGCTAGATGACGAGTTAATGGGTGCAGTGCACCAGCATGGCACGTGTATACAGAGCTCTTCATTCTTACAACCTGCCTTCCCCCTTGAGCAGAGACTTTGTGCCACTGAACTGAAGCTGGAGGTATGGACATTGACTTGCTTCTCCCAAGTGACATCCTTGCTATACGAGTGGGCACTGGTGGCAGCCCCTGATTTCCTTGGCTTGTCCTTGTGAGGTGGGGAAGGGGAAGGAGTGGTGCTAGTATTACCAGCCTGTGATGCTTGGAGTAGAGCCCTTGCCCTGTGAGTGGTAGCTGAGTGGGGGAAGGGAGTCCCAATCTTTTCAGCCATTCCCCCAAGAATTGTGCTTCTATACACAGGAATGGGGATGGGGAGAAGAGATGCTGGCAGGATGAAATGATAGTCCTAGGAGCTTGGCAGAGCTGGTGAGGACTGTTTTTTTTTTTTTTGTTGTTGTTGTTGTTTTTTTGCCATACCCACCTGGATTAGAGCACCCGGGTTATCTATCGCATAAAGCTGGGGGTGTATGGGATCAGCTGCCACAGACTTTCACTGTTCTTACTGAGATTTAGGAGAATTTCCTAAATAAAAGTTTTTTTTTTTTCATTTTCTGTGTGCCCTTAGGACAATTTTCAGAGAGTTTAAATCTGTGTGTGTTCTATTTTTAGTAACTTTAACTAGTTAAATGGTTATCTTCCTGGGATGAGGGTGCAGTAGAATCTTCACATCACCTTTCTGAAATTCTCTCCAGAGACTACACTGATTGTTTCAGCTAGACTCCATATCATTAATTCCCATTGCCTTGAGTGGGGATAGCTTTTGGGGAAATATTATGCTCCAGTGACCCTATTGAAACAGATGCAATAACATTTTAACACAAGATAATTCTAGGAGTTGCAAATCGTTCTATTTGCATGTACAGTTAAAAGAAAGTAAAAGACTTGCATAGTTTAGAAATAAGTACAAAACTATTTTAGCTTTTAAAATATTTATAGAATAATTATTAAGATAATTGTTTTGAGTATAGAATATATTTTCCATAAATAATGATCCCTTACTATACTGTTGTACTATAAAATGACATATTTTGAAATTTGTTTATTTTCATATTTAGTTTATTCTGAACTGCTCTGTTGCCATGTCAATTGATTTTTGGGTAAGACAGTTTAATCTTTGTTTCTTAAATTCACAAAAACTATTTTCCCACAGAATCCCAACCCCACACTTTTTTATTTTTTAGAGAGATTATTTTGGTCCAGACAACAGGCTACCAACTAGGCTTGCTGTTTGTGTGTGTGTGTGCATGTGCACACATGTGTGATGAGGAGGCCATGGGAAATGGTCTCTCCTCCAGGCTTATCAGGAACGGGACACCTGTTTGGAAATAGGTTGTGTGTATTACTTGGAACACAATTATAGATGCATTGAAAGCCAGGAAAGAAGTCAGATTATAGGGTATGATCCACTGGAATTAGTAAACCACAAATAGTTACTGATTGTCACTGTTTCCCACTGCCAAAGGTCAAAGGTCATTGTGTGATTATGCTATAATGTTGTATTTGCTACTAACCTTAAGGTAATTGTTATGGGTTGAATTGTGTTCCCCAGAAAAAGGATATGTTGGAGCCGTAGCCTCTAGTACCTCAGAATGTAACCTTATTTGGAGGTAGGGCCTTTATAAAGCTAATCAAGTTAAAATGAGGTCATTAAATTGGGCCCTAATCTACTATGACTGGTGTTCTTATAAAAAGGGGAAATTTGGACGTAGGTAAACATATACATAGGAAAACAACATGTGAACATGAAAGCAGAGATTAGAGTGATGTGCCTGTAAGCCAAGGGCCACCAAACATTGCCAGCAAACCACCAGTAGCTAGGAGAGAGGGATGGAACAGATTCTTTCTCACTGTCCTCGGAAGAAACCAACCCTGCTGACATGTTGATCCTGCAGTCCTAGCTTCCAGAAATGGGAGAGAATCTATTTCTATTGTTTAAGCCACCCATTTTGTGGTGTTTTGTTACAGCAGCCCCAGGAAACTTATGTAGTAACTTCTCATATTATGTTGCATAATTTTAAAAAATCTTTTAAAATAAGTATTATGTGCTATATCCATTACTATAAATACATTCTGGGTTATAGGTTATGTTATTGCTTGTTGATACTTGACAGTCTTCCCTAATATCTAAAATTTCTTTGCCCTTCCCTTACTAAAATGTCTTAACACTAATAGTGTTGGCATGAAGATATGTAAGTTTGTTGGGACAATATTTGGTGCCATGAATATTTTGATAACTGTGTGACATCTTTTAGAGTCACCATCATCTTTTCTTTCAGGAAATGTTTAGGTAGGACTTAAAACACCCTTATAATTGAGAAAAGGACAATTTTGGAAGATAAATTATTGTGGCCAAACAAGAAAGACCAGCAACTTCAACATAGCTAGTTCTATTTTCATTTTAATTTTTAAATTTTTTTGTTTTTTGTTCTCTTACAAGGATTTTATGGGTCAAGTTAGGCTTTTTTTTTTTTTAGAAATTATTTTGCAACTTGGATCACTATCACTTTAATTCAATTTTTGGCTAACTCAAATTTGCTGAGCAAGAGAATACAGTTATTTGTGCACGCAGTAGTAAGGGAAAGAAAATGAATGACTTGTAACAGATCTGTGCTTACAAATGTCAAAGTTGTCAATGAGTCACTGACTTTAAAAGGTCATACCATTTTATGCTTCTACCTCTTAAACTTAGTAATAAAGACAGGATATGTGCTATACTTCCTACTCTTAATGCATTTGTATCCCAATTTTCCATGTCAAAGTTTGGCTTTACCACCTGCCACTGTTTTTATATGATTCCTTCCAAGTCAAGCCTTTCCTCTCCTCTGAGATGTTTATTAATCTTCAAGAGGTGCTGTCACTAAGGCCTCAGACTGTGGAATTTTTAATAATATTTGGCTAATAGTGATACGTGTGATTGATTTGGACAGCCCCTCAATCTCAGAAATAAAATTGGGTAAGAATTATATGAACTCTAGGATCATTGTTAAAATTCTGGTCAGCACAATTTAGTAAGCAGATTGTGTTATATTCCTTTTCTGCATGTCAAGTAGGTCAAACGTGAATTGTTTTATTCCAGATCTTTATATCTATTTTACTTATGTTTGTGTACTTGACTGGTCATGAACTGAAAGAAGAATATTATAGTCTCCTACTGTGATTGTAGACTTATTTTTGCATTTCTGTCAGATTTTATTTTAGACTCCCTAGAATTTCAAGATATATCTTGACTATATGCTTCATCATATAAAACATCCTAATTATATATACATCCTCATTTTAAAATAACATTTGACCTTTAGTTCTAATTGGTCTGATTTATTATTATTAATTATGATATTTACTTTTAAAAAATATGTTAATATCTCCATTTTTTTTTTTTGAGACGGAGTCTCGCTCTGTCGCCAGGCTGGAGTGCAGTGGCCCGATCTGGGCCCACTGCAACCTCTGCCTCCCAGGTTCAAGCCATTCACCTGCCTCAGCCTCTTGAGTAGCTAGGACTACAGGCATGTGCCACCACGCCTGGATCATTTTTTGTATTTTTAGTAGAGACGGGGTTTCACCATGTTGGCCAGGATGGTCTCTAACTCCAGACCTTGTGATCCGCCCATCTTGGCCTCCCAAGGTGCTAGGATTACGGGAGTGAGCCTCTGCGCCCAGCTTAATATCTCTGTATTTTTATTCTGAGCATTTTGTTTTGGATATGTCCTAGATAGATAGCTTATAGCTGAGTTTAGTAATGCAATATGAGTTTCTATTTTTATTTACTTATTTATTTTTATTTTATCCTCCCTGGGTTACTCCTTATTTATTTATTTATGTATTTATTTATTTTTATTATACTTTAAGTTCTGGGGTACATGTGCAGAACGTACAGTTTTGTTACATAAGTATACTTGTGCTATGGTAGTTTGCTGCACCCATCAACCCATCGCCTACATTAGGTATTTCTCCGAATGCTATCCCTGCCCTAGCCTCCTACCCCCAACAGACCTCTGTGTGTGATATTCCCCTCCCTGTGTCCATGTGTTCTCATTGTTCAACATCCATTTATGAGTGAGAAGATGCAGTGTTTGGTTTTCTGTTCCTGTGTTAGTTTGCTGAGAATGATGGTTTCCAGCTTCATCCATGTCCCTGCAAAGGACATTAACTCATCCTTTTTTATGGCTACATAGTATTCCATGATGTATATGTGCCACATTTTCTTTATCCACTCTATCATTGATGGACATTTGGATTTTTGCAGTTATGAATAGTGCTGCAATAAACATACATGTGCATGTGTCTTTATAGTAGAATGATTTACAATCCTTTGGGTATATACCCAGTAATGGGATGGCTGGGTAAAATGGTATTTCTGGTTCTAGATCCTTGAGGAATCACCACACTGTCTTCCACAATGGTTGAGCTAATTTACACTCCCACCAACAGTGTAAAAGCATTCCTATTTCTCCACATCCTCTCCAGCATCTGTTGTCTCCTGACTTTTTAATGATCGCCATTCTCGTCTTTCATAGTCCTTCAGTTTTAAGACTAGCTATGGGAGTTTGCCTTCCATTATTTTCTTGATTGTTTTTCCTTCTCTATTCCTTGTGATCATTTCTTACGGAGCTTTGACAGATGAAGGCTGGATCATCTGGGTTCATCCTCCATCTGCCTTCTGTTTTCTAGGACTTCTTTGTTATATCTGATATGCTGATGGCACTTGTTCTTATTCTCTATACATGTGAAGTTTTTTCTTTATAAAATATAAAATATTGAAAAAATTCTAGGTATATTTTAGGTGGAAATAGGAATCGGGCATATTTTTGATCTGCCTTCTTGTATTACTTTTATAAACAGAATCATAAATTTAAATTATAGGAATAAAGTGCTTTTATTGTGATATCACCTATTTCTACTATCACGTCTGGGATGGTCACTTATAGAGCTCATCTAAGATGACTATTACACTGTAAAATTTTATCTTAAGAAACTTTTCCTTCATAGGTAGAGTTTCCTTTGGAAGAATAAAGGGGCAAAAACTGACCACTTTAAAAGTTAGTACTTTGTCTAGAGCTGATGGAAGATTTGAAAATCACATTCAAAGGCTTTCACCTTGAGCTGCTTTTACCCTTGCTACCTGAAGATGACATTTTTACACCAGGAAACAATTTTTATTTCTATTTTTTATCCATCAGAGTTAGCCACTCTAGTCTCCTAAGCCCTAAGGTATAATATTAACAGACTCTATTCTATAAGCAACTTTGAGATTTCTGATTTATCCCTGTCCTTAAAGGGTTATTAGTCTTTCAAATATTTACCAGTGTGATAGATCTTAAATGATTTCATATTGTTTTGAGTTTCATTTCCCAAATTACTAGTGAAGTTGAACATTATTTTTATGTTTATTATCTAGTTGAGTTTCCTCTTCTGTGAATTACCTATGCATTCCTGTAGTCTGTTTTCTACTGGATCATCTTTTTTGTCGATTCATAAACATTTTATATACATATGTATATAATAAAATTAATACTGTATTATTTCTTTGTTAGTTTTATGTATTACAACTATCTTCTACAAGCCTAAAGCTTGCCTTTTAAAAGTTTGTTTATTGGTGAGGTGGCGGGCGCCTGTAGTCCCAGCTACTCAGGAGGCTGAGGGAGGAGAATGATGTGAACCTGGGAGGCAGAGCTTGCAGTGAGCTGAGATCGCGCCACTGCATTCCAGCCTGGGCGACAGAGCGAGACTGCGTCTCAAAAAATAAATAAATAAATAAATAAATAAAATAATAAAATAAATAAAAGTTTGTTTATTATATCCTTTATCACACAATGTTGTTTCATTTTAATATACTCCCAATTCGTCAGTCTTTTTTTTTATGGTTTATTTTTTTATTTTATGTTTTTTATTTTATGTTTATTTATTTTATGGTTTATTCTTTTTGTCTTTTCTTATCTCAGTGGCATGATGATAGTTTTCTATATTTCTTGTGTTAGACGTTTGCATTTCATCACCAATTGCCCCAGCAGTGCTTATCAAATAGTTCATTCTTTTCTCACTTATTTAGGAAAGAATGTAATACCATTTCTACCGTAAACCATCATATATGGGTTCTTCTGAATAGTAATGATCCACTATTATAATCACTATGGTTGTATAGTTTTGATGGATGTTAGGGCAAGTCTGGATTGCTGGCCAGGTAAATTTCTACCCCCACTCCCTTTTTCTTTTTCAAAATTGTCCTGGAAATTTCTTGACTGTGTACTTAAAAGTGAATTTTAAGCTAGGCACTGTGGCATGCATCTGTAAATGCACCCGTAATCCCAGCTACTTGAGCCAGGAGTTTGAGACCAGCCTAGGCAACACAACAAGACCTTGTCCCAAAAAAAGAGAATTTTAGTTTCAGCTTGTCAAATTCTTTGGGGATTTGATTAACATTCCATTGAGTTTATAATTTTGAGGGAATTGCCACTTCTAAATTCTGAAATTTCTATCAAAGAATATAGCAGTACATCAATACTTTTATTAGGGCTTTTTTTCTTTTTATTAGTAAAGTTTTAGAATATTCTTCACAAACACCTCCACACTCCACATATTTATTACATTTATCCTTGGTATCTTTTAGTTTTTGTTTATATGATAAATACCTTAGAAGTTATTTCGAAATATTCGTTACTGGCATTTGAGAATATGATGTGTCTTTGAATATTAATTTTTTTCTGAGACAGGGTCTCACTCTGTCATCTAGGCTGGAGTACAGTGGCATCATCATGTCTCACTGAAGCCTCAATCACCCAGGCTCAGGTGATCCTCCCACCTTAGCCTCCTGGGCAGCTGAAACTGCAGACGTGCACCATCACTCCCAGCTGATTTTTGTATTTTTTGTAGAGATGGAGTCTTGCCACATTGGTCACAGTCCACCCCTTCGGCCAAAAATTTATCCTGCGCTTCTGGGGTTGTGTTATCTGCCCCCCTGGGCAGCCTTTGGGGAAGTCGGATTCCATACCCTGTGACCTGGGCTTCATTTGGACCTAGAAGTAGTGGGAGGAGCCACTTTGACTACTGCGGGGTGGTCCTAAGGAAGGCCATTCTGAAGCTTGCCTGGGTGAGATAGGTGGTGGTGTCAGGAGATGAAGAGATGGGCTGGTGGGCAGCTAGATTCTGACAAGCATCCAAGGCCCAGGAGATGTTGGGGTGGAGTAACTCTGAAAAGGTGCATAAGCTGATGCCAGTGGAGTAACCATGAGGCTAGTGAACTATTATGCATCTCCTGAAGTAAAACAACCTCTCTTTATTGCTCAAAAAAACCAAATATATGTACTAACAGTCAGATTTTTAAGGACTTGAATGGCTTTATCACCAATGGTATGGGCTACGGTTGATCTATGGTTTTTGCCATCACACCAATAATGCCCTTGGCTGGTGGTTTTGAATGTCTTTACCATAAATTTTATAAGGGATTGTGACTGTTTATCAGGCATTTAGTTTGTCATGGTGTAAGATTGACCAGACAATTGCTCATGTAAGAATTTGTAGGTTATGATTTGATGAATTGGATGACTGCTGCTACTAGGGAGCAATTTTCGTTTGCCTTTTCTTTGATAATTCACTGGAAAACTGTGAATAATAATATTGCATATAAAAGAGACAAAGATGGATAAAGGTAGACGGGAATAAATTTTCTCTGTAAGTAGGAAACAGCTATGAATCTCTTATTAAATTTTGTAGGCAGGGAGCCTGCAACTCTGAGCATGAGTTCTTATTAGTTCTTATTATAAGAAAAATTTAGATCAGTTATGGACTTACCATTCTAAAGCAATCAGAGTTGAAATTTTTCATATTTTGACCACATTTTGCAGAGGGAGAAGGGTAAAAGAAAAAGCTGTTATTGAAATTTGTAAGCATATAGTTCATAGTTGAAAGCAGCGGAGACCAGATTTGGCTGATTTGAGTAGAAAATTATTTATTCAAAGGACATTGGGCTTTGCCAGTCTTGGGACTATGCAGATGGGAACAACAGTCCAATCATTCTGCAGAACTAGCTCAGTAGGGACATTGCTGTCACTGCTGCAAAGAACTACAGCTTGCACTGTTGACATTGCTAGCAATGGCCTCCAGAAGCTGCCATCAGCTCTGCTATCCCTGCTACCTAAACACTTGATTTTTGTGACAGCCATCTCCATTACCATAGATAATTTATTCCTTCTGCACCTCACCAGACAAGGGAAACAAGACTGCCTTGGCCAGCAAGGGACTGTCAGGGGATTTGGTGGGTTCAGGGAACTTATGACATCCAAATTTATTCATTTGCCTCCATTCTATATCTCAGTTTTGTTCTATCCAGATCAGTGCTTTTACTTTCACATAAGTGATCTCAGTGGGCTGTGAATTCAACTGACATTGTAATTTAGAAACCTGCAGGATCAAAGTTTGAGTCTGATTTTCAGTTATCTCAGCCCTGCGGCTGAAAGCGATAAGAGATTCTTTTAGCAGTCAGAGAAACATGGGATTTCACTTCATGCCTCTAGCCAAGAATTTGTGATTTCAGCTTGTCATTCTTTTGCTTGAAGCCGTGAAGCAGAGTTAGAAGCAACCTCCATGCCTCACAGTTCTTGAATTCCTATGCTGTTTGTACACTTGTGTGGCAGTTGCCTACGTCCTTATTAGCCTTGCCTTCAATGAGAACTTCTTGAAGGTGACAACATGTGCAATGGACTTTCAGATTCCCATTCCTTAATACTGGCTAATTTTTGTTGGTTTTACTTTTTATTCAATTCAATTTTTCGAAGGGACCATTGCCTGCAGTTACAACTGCTACCAATTTATGTGTTAGTGTTTTTAGTTAAAAGCAACTCTGTCTGATGTAAGCAGAAAATGAATTCATTATAAGGACACTCAGTTGCACAGAATTTCTGGGGCTACAGAGCTAGGAACAATACCTAAAATCATGACCTGAAAGGACACCACTGCTGTGCTGCTGAGCCTGTGCTGTACTTTGCATCATTAACAGCAGTATTAATGGACCCTGGATTGGGGCTACTAGCACTGCTGCCATTGCTACCCCAGGAATATTATCATGGTCCAACTCCTGTCATTGCCAGAGTAAATTGCTCACATTGTCCCCTACTTTGCATCACTTCTTTACAGTTCAAGATCCAAGCGATGCATTTGATAAGTGCAAAGTGGGTCTTAAGTCCATGCTCTTGCTGCCAGGGCCACTAAGGAGGTGAGTATGTGGCATTTTCTTTTTTATAGTGTGTGGCAGTCTCTGCCACTTACCTCATACCTTCCTTCATAAGGTGGAGAAAATCAAAACATAGGAAGTAGGTTGTGGCAAATACTATAGGCTGGCTCACTCAATACCCATTCCAATCTTCTGCTAGATTGATCTTCACCTAGGAAGTGATGAATTATGTTCCTAGGTTCCATAGCTGCTGCAGAGTTGTACAAGACTGCAACTGGAGCCAAGTCACCTGATGTGGTGGTTGCATGCAGGGAGACTAGAGCTTATGTAAGCATGCTTGTGAAGGTGACTTGAGCATTTTTTTCTTTTCTGTTTAAAATTGACACATAATAGACATACATATGATATTTTGATACATTAATATGTAACGATCAAATCAAGGTAATTGGTGTATTTATTACTTTAAACATTTACCTTTTCTTTATGCTGGGAATGTTCAAATTATTCTCTTCCAGCTATTTTGAAATATACACCACATTATTGTTTACTCTAGTCAACCTACTGATTTATTGAACACTAGGTCTTTTTTTAAAAATTGATAAATAATAGATGTCCATATTTTCAGGCTACTTGTGATAATTTGATACATTCATATAACTAAGTCAGGGTAATTGGAATATTCATCACCTTATATATTTATCTGTTCTTTATGCTAGAAACATGCAAATTATTCTCTTCTAGCTATTTTGAAATGCACAATAGATTAATGTTTGTAGCATCACGCTACTGATACATCAAACACCAGGTCTTATTTCTTGTTTCTAATGGCATATTTGTACCTGTCAATTAACCTCTATTCATCCCTTCCTCACTGACCCTTCCTGGCCTCTGATAACCACTAATCCACTCTATCTTCATGTGATCCAATTTTTAGCTCCCATATATGAATGACAATGTGCAATATTTGTCTTTCTGTGTTTGGCTTATTTCACTTAACATAATAACCTCTACTTCCATCCATGTTGCTGCAAATGACAGGATTTTATTATTTTTAATGGCTGAATGACATTCCATTGTATATATATAAAACCACATTTTCTTTATTCATCCATTGATAGGTACTTAGGTTGATTCCATATTTTGCCTATTGTGGATTAATGCTACAATAAACATGGGAGTGCAGATATTTTATTGATATATTGTTTCATTTCTTTTGGCTATATACCCAGTAGTGGAATTACTAGATCACGTGATAGTTCTGTTTTCAATTTTTTGAGGAACCTCCATACTGATTTCTATAGTCGCTGTACTTTGCATTCCTCAGCATGTACAAGGGTTTCCTTTTCTCCACATCCTTGCCAGTATCCATTATTGCCTGTTTTTTTTAATAAAAGCCACTCTAACTGGGGTCAAATGATATCTCACTGTGGTTTTGATTTGCTTTTCTCTGATGATTAGTGATATTGAACTTTTAAAAAAATACTTTTTGGCCATTTGAATGTCTTCTTATAAATATTTATTCAGCTCTTTCACCCAATTTTTAATTGGATTTCTTTTTTGCAATTGAGTTGTTTCAGCTCCTTATATTTTCTGGTTATTAATTCCTTGTCAGATGAATAGTTTGCTAATATTTTTTCTTATTCTGTGGGTTGTCTCCTTACTTTACGATTGTTTCCTTTGTGGTGCAGAAGCCTTTTAGCTTGATGTAATCCTATTTGTCTTCTTTGCTTTTGTTGCCTGTGCTTTTGAAGTTTTACACAAGAAAAATCTTTGCTCAGGCCAATGTCCTGCAGCATTTCCCCAACATTTTCTAATGTTTTCGTATTTTCAAGTCTTAGATTTAAGTCTTCAATCCATTTTGATTTTATTTTTGTATATAGTGAGAGATAAGTGACTAGGTTTATTCTCTATATGGATATCCAGTTTTCCCAGAAGCATTTATTAAAGAGGCTGTCCTTGCCCCACTGTATGTTCTGGGAGCCTTTGTTGAAAGTGAATTGGCTGTAAATGCATGGATTTATATCTGAGTACTCTATTTTGTTCCATTGGTCTATGTATTTTTAAGACAGTACCATGTTGATTTGGTTATCATAGCTTTGTAGTATATTTTGAAGACAGGTAGTGTGATGCCTCTAGCTTCATTTTTTTCCCTCAGGGTTTCTTTGGCTCTCTTTTTGGTTCCATATACATTTTAGTTTTTTTTGTTTGTTTGTTTCTTTGAAGAATGACATTGGGGTTTTGATAAGGATTGCATTGAATCTGTCAATTTCTTTGGGTAGAATGGTCATTTTAATAATATCGATTCTTTTAATCCATGAGCATGGACTATCTTTCCATTTTTTTGTCCTCTTTAATTTTTTTCATCATAGTTTTATAATTTTCTTTGTATAATCATTCACATCTTTGCTCAATTGATTCCTAGGTATTTAAAGCTCTTTGTAACTATTCTAAATGGGATGGCTTTCTTAATTTTTTTTTCAGATTGTTTGCTGTTGAAGTATACAATCCAAGGATCTTTGTTGATTTTGTGTCCTGCAACCTTACTGAATTCATTTATCAGCTCTAACATGGTTTTTGTTTGTTTGTTTAGTGAAGTCTTTAGGTTTTGCTAAATATAAGATGATGTTGTCTGCATGCAAGGCTAATATAACTTCCTCCTTTCCAATTTGAATGTTCTTCATTTTTTTTCCCTTGACTAATTACTCTCGTGAGGACTTCAGTATTATGCTGAATAAAAATGGTAAAGTGGGCGCTCTTGTCTTGTTCTTAGATGTTTTTTGAAGTCTTTCCTCTAAGACATTTTTTTCCTGTTCAGTATGATGTTGGCTGTGGGTTTGTCATATATGACCTTTATTATTTTGAGGTATGTTCATTCTATACCCAGTTTTTAAAAAATTATAAAAGGATGTTAAATTTCATTGAATGCTTTTTTGGCATCTATTCAAATGGCCATATGGTTTTTGTTCTTGATTCTGTTAATGTGACCTATCATTTGTGTATGTAGTGCCATCCTTGCATCTCTGGGATGAATCTTACTTCATTATGGTCAATGATGTTTTTAATATATTGTTGAATTTGGCTTGCAGTATTTTGTTGAAAATTTTGGCATCTATGCTGATCAGTGGTATTGGCCTGTAGTTTTCTTTATTTAATTGTATCCTTGTCTTGTTTTGGTATCAGGATAATGCTGGCCTTGTAGAATGAGTGTGAAAGTGTTTCCTTCTCTTCATTTTTTTGAAGAGTTTGAATATAATTGATATTCATTCTTCTTTAAATATTTGATAGATTTCAGCATTGAAGCTGCTGGGCTTAGCTTTTCTTTGAGGGGAGATTTTTTTATTATGGCATTACTTGTTAATGGTTTGTTGAGGTTTTCTACTTCCTCATGGTTCAATCTTGGTAGGTTGTATGTGTCCAGGAATTTATCTATTTCTTCTAGGTTTTCCAATTTTTTGGCATATAGTTGTTCATAATAGGCTTTAATGATTCTTTGTGGGTTTTTTTTGTATTCTCAATTGTTATGTCTTCTTTTTCATTTCTGATTTTATTTATTTGAGTTTTCTTTTTTCTTAGTCTAGCTAACAGTTTGTCAATTTTGTTTAATCTTTTAAAAACCAACCTTGCATTTCATTCATCTTCTGTATTTTTTTAGTATCAGTTTCATTTATTTCTGCTTTGATCTTTATTTTTTATTTTTTTCTACTAATTTTGAGTTCAGTTTGCTATTGCTTTTCTAGTTCCTTGGGTGCATCCTTAGATTATTTGAAGTTTTTCTACTTTTTTGATGTAGGTATTTATTGCAATAAACTTCCCTCTTAGATACTGCTTTTGCTGTAATCTATGGATTTGGTATGTTGTATTTTTATTTTCATTTGTTTCAAGAAATTTTAAAATTTATTTCTTATCTTTTTTACTGGCCTATTGGCCATTCAGAAGCATGTATTAAAATTTCCTTTATTTGTGTAGCTTTTGAGAATGTGTAGTTTCTGAGATTCCTCTTTTAATTGATTTTTAGTTTTATTCCATTGTGGCCAGAAGAGATACTTGATGTGATTTTTGTTTTCTGAATTTTTAAAATTTCTCTGTTTGTTTAGATTTGTTTTGTGACCTAAGATCTGGTTTATTCTGGAAATTGTCCCATGTGCTGATGAAAATAATGTGTATTGAATTGTAGCAGTTGGGTAAAATGTTCAGAAAATATTAGTTAGGCCTATTAGGTTAGTGTGCAGTTTAACTCCACTGTTCCTTTGTTGATTTTCTATCCTGATCATCTTTTCATTACTGAGAGTGGGGTACTGAAGCCCCTATTATTGCTGTATTGCTGTCGATCTCCTCTTTTAGCTCTACTGCTGTTTACTTTATATACTTGGGTGCTCCAGTGTTGGGTGTACAGATATTTATAATTGTTATATTCTCTTGTTATATTAACCCTTTTCTCACTATATAGTAACCTTTGTCTCTTTGTGTAGTTTGTCTTTTTTTATAGTTTTTCACTTATACTGTATTTTTTCTGATACATGTATAGCTACTTCTGTTTTTTACTTGCATGAAATATCATTCCCAACATTTCACTTTTAGTTTATGTCTGTCTTTATAGGTGAGGTAGTTTTTCTGCAGGCAGCATTAGTTATGTCTTGATTCTTTATCCGTTCAGCTTTTCCATGTCTTTAAATTGGAGTACTGAGGCCATTTACTTTCACTGTTAGTATTGGTAAATAAGGACTTACTACTGCTATTTTTATAGCTTGTTTTGTGGTTGTTTAGCAACTCCTCTCCTCCTTATTGTCTTTCTTTGTGATTATGTGACTTTCTATGGTAGTGTGTTTTAATTTGTTGCTTTTATTTTTGTATGTCTATTATAGGTTTTTTTCATTGTCCTTATCTTGAGGCTTACAAAAAAATTTTATAGGTTAACCAGTTATTTTAAAGGGATGACAACTTAGATCACACACACATAGAATAGAAGCAAACAAACAAAAAACCTTTATACTTTAATTCTGTTCCTCCTCCACCACCATTTTGACTTTTGGTTGTCTCAATTTACATTTTTATATTGCCTATCTCTTAAAAGGTTGTTGTAGTATTATTGTTTTTGATATATTTGTCTTTTGGGCTTTATACTAGACATGAGCGGATTGCACACAATTGCTGTATTGGAGTATTCTGGCATTGTCTTTGTGCTTAATTTTGCCAATGGGTTTTATACCTTTAATTGTTTTATTCATGCACATTAGTGTTTTTTTCTTTCAGATTGAAGAACATCTTTTAGCCATTCCCGTAAGATGGGTTGGTGGTGGCGAATTCTCTCAACTTTTCTTTGTCTGGGAAAGACTTTATCTCTTCTTCATATTTGAAGGTTAGGTTTGCTAGATATAGTATTCTTGGATGGCAATTGTTTTCTTAGAGCACTCAGGAAATGTTGGCCCACTCCCTCCTGGCCTGTATGGTTTCTGTTGAGAAGTCTTTTGCTAGATCAATTGGAGCTCCTTTATATGTCATTCACTTTTTATCTTGTGCTGCTTTGGGGATCCTCTCTTTATCCTTGACCTTTGAGAGTTTGATTATTACACCCTGCCTTGGGATAGTCCTATTTGGTTTGAATCTGTTTGGTGTTCTCAGACCTTCCTGTACCTGGATATCTATATCCTACTTAAATTGTGGAGAGTTTTCCATTATTATTTATTTTAATAAGCTTTCTTTTCTTTGTTCTTGGTCAACTACCTCTTGAACATCAATAATTCTTAGATATTGTCTTTTGAGGTAATTTTCTGTATATTGTAGGTGATCTTCATTCCTTTTCATTCTTTTTTCTCCTCTGACTGTGTAATTTCAAATAGCCTGTCTTTGAGCTCACTGATTTTGTCCTCTGCATGGTCTATACTAGTGTTGAGAGACCAATGAATTTTTTATCTCAGCAAGTATATTTGTCAGTCCCAAGATTTCTGTTCTGTTTTTAATAATTTTAACCTGTTAAATTTTAATCATTTTAATCTCTTCGTTAAATTTTTCTATTAAATTTCTGAATTGCTTTTATGTGTTATCTTGGTTATCACTGAGTCTCCTTAAAACTGCTGTTTTGAATTCTTGGTCAGAGAGCTCACATATTGATATCTTGTTAGAATCAGTCACTGGTTCCTTGCTTTGTCTGGTTGGGGAAGTCATGGTTCCCTGTTTGCTGTTGTTCCTTATGGGTGTATATTTAAGTCTTTGCATTGAAGGATTAGCTATCTATTCCAGTCTTCTCTATCTGGCTTGTTTTGTTTTTATTAGTTATGTTTGCTTAGAGATATTTTGCAATTTACCTGTTGAATTTTTAAATTATTTTGTCTGCTGGGTCACTGCTTTCTTTTTAGCACTAGATGGCACCTTAATACCAGCTTGGCCTTGGCTCTAACAAACAACTGTATTGCTGCCCATCCCAAATGGCTGAGGTCCCATAGATGATATTCTGGCAGTGTGGAAGGTGGGCTAGGGGTTCAAGTCTGAGGGACCTGTGGGACAAACAGTGTGGCACTGCTGAACAGCCACTCTGATTTGGCATCTTCTAGGTCAAGTTACAGAGCAGTGTTTCCAGGGCTGGGATGATAGTCCCATCTCCCACCTTTGTGTATGGCCATTCTCAGGGGTATTTCCCCCTTCAGGCACTTCTGATGCTTTCTGTGGGCTGAAGCAGGGACAAGTCACCTTCAGGGAATCCAACATGAGGGGAAGCTAGTTGTTCACCCTTTTCCAGTGTAGAAACTGTGAATCAGGGGGAATGTTTCTAGTGTAGAAACCATGAATCAGGGAAAATTTTCCACATGCTTGGTGTCAGGCAGATTGGAGGAAAGGGTGTTGCAGATATTGAAACCTGAGTCTCTTAGTGATTGCTTGGATTTTTTTTTTCATGTTTCTGTGGTGTTGGGAACTGACTCATCCTCATATTTGAGTTCTGGGATATTGCTGGTGAAAATCTTGGCGCTCTATATTTGCTTTTGGCTTTCTCTGTGTATGTGTTATGGGGTGGGTGTGGGTGTGGAATGAAACCAGCTTGCTTCTCTGCCACCATTTTGGTATTAGAAGTCATTACATCTTATTTCTTCAATCTAACTGTAATTTTGTACACATTAATTTACCTCTCTTCATCCCCCTTCACCCCCTACCCTAACCACTTTCATATATTCTCTATGTGAATATGACTTTTTCCAGAGTGACTGTGGACAAATTCTGGCATTCAGAATCAAGTGTACAAAATGGTGAGTAAGGTTGGCAATGGAGTTTCTTAGAGCAGCCCCACAATGTGCTATGCTTTTTTTTTCTCACTGTTTATTTCTTAGCTTATTGACCCTATCTATTTGCCTTCAAGTTTTGTTCTTTGGGCCTTTTAGGGATTCTGTGGGCTAGCTAATAACCTTCTACAAAGCCTTTTCTGCTAAAAATATCTCAGTTCAATACTATTGTTTGCAAGTATAAGCCTGACTAATGGAGAGTTTCAGGTGGTAGGTGTTGCACCCCGCCCCCCCACCAAAAAAATGATAAATACCTCCTCTGCTAAAATATACATGTAGAGATTGGGAGTGTTGGTCTTCACTCAGTATTTGTAAAAAAAATGGATTAACAGACCTAGAGAATGTGCACAACCGTTGGTTGTGACAGCAAAATATTCTACTGTACTAGTCAACCTGTGAGTTTCAAGCCTCAAATGCTATATGACACATTGGATGCATAATTAAGCTGCAGCATTGCATTAATATCAATAACTAGCATTTGTTGAGTGCTCACCAGACAGTGCTATATAGGTTATTTTATAAGTTATTTTATGTAATCCTCAAAATAAACCTTTGAAGTATTTACTAGTGGCATCTCTATTTTATAGAAGAGGAAATTAAGGTTTAGACCAGTTTAAGTACTTTCCCATGGTCAATCTGTTTGGTAGGCAGGAATGGGATATGGACCTATATCTATCTGACCCTAGATTTCTCATTATGCCATTAAACAACACTGGCTCTTACTGTTATTGAATGTAGATTTAACTGGTCTGCTCAGTATTGCAGAGAATTTGATGAGGAAATTATGATGGAGGATGCATACTTAACAAAGAAAATCTCCTGGATGGATCTTTCCTATACAGGAATTGTGAAAATCTTCCCTGAGACAGGTAAGTTATGCTGATTGTGTTTGAAAACCTTGCCACTCAAAGCATGTTCCAGGGACCAGCAGCACTGGCATCAGCTGGCAGTTTGTTAGAAATGGCTTTGCGTATGAGAGAATGAAATAGGAATAGCAAATAAAGAATATCGAGAAGCCTTCTGGATGGAGTCTTGGATCTTGTTGTATAGGAGATTTTTTTTTTAGTGTCCTAATGAAAATTTTTGTATGTCTAGGCAAGATTGCAGAGTAGACTAGATGTATAATTTAATGTTATTTTCTAATTTATTTTTCTTCTCTCCTTTTAATTGCAGTATAAATGTACAGTATCATATATGTATACCCATATAAGCAAAAGACACTAATAGAACAAGAGTAGCAGGACCTACTTATGAGCTCAGGTCTCCTTATTATCTCGTGAGCATTTACTAATACCTTTATTCTTACAAAGCTTGATATTCTAAGTAGTATTAAAGGGTCTGTAAGACACATGGTACCTAAGAGATAATTCACATCATAGCTATCACTGACTTAGACCAATATCTCATCTTCTTTGTTTCATCTTTGTCATGACTCTGGGTATAGACTTTCCTTGAAAACGTCACCTAAATTCTCATTTCAGGAGGCACCTGCCTGTCACAGATACCAGTCAGGGAAAAAGAACACATAAGGATTTCCTGCTGGAACCCGAAAGCTTTTTCTGCAGTCCAGGTGGTTCTGATAGCCCTTACCAGATGTCTGTCCAGAGCCATTAAGTCTTGGCATGCTTGCTCTTGGGAAAATATTAAGCCATCTCACCCATGAGCAAGTGCTGAATGAATGGAAAGTTTCCAGCTGTGTGCCCAGAAAAAAATGTTTAATGAAGACAACTGATGTCTTTGAATGGTTTATTTTCTCAATTGTTTTTGAGGCTACAGCTTACATATCAATACTTCCGAGGGACTAAGTATACAAGAAAGACACTTAAAATGAAACCCTTAGTATATATTAGGACAATGTCCTCATTTTTATGTTCTCATTTACTTTACTATTGAAATTTTTAGAATGATTTATCAAGATTCTTTTATTATTATTTATTATTTTCCTCTGCCTAAATAAATGGGGGTAAAATCTAAAACCATTTACTTATGAGTAAATATGATTGAGGAGGTTTCTATATGCTTATATTTTAAAACAGAACAAAAAAACAAAAAATACCTACAAAGTTGGTGTTGAACTTAATTGAACCATGCTGCACTGACCCTTCTCACTTCTGACTCCTGTTTGCCCTTGGCTTCCTCTGTCACCTCTCCCTTCTTCATGTCCCATGCTCAGACTTTCGGAACCAGGTTTCCCTACCATGTTATGTTGTTTCATAGCTCTTCCTCTCACTTCTTTCTCTGTGTAAAATGCATCTCTTCCCTGTTTACATTTGGAATGCCTTCTCATTTTCAAAGGTGCATCTGGTTTCTCTACTGAATAGAACCTTTCCCAATTTCCCAATAGAGAACTTAACTACCCCTCACTTGGTGCCTACCCTGTACCCCAAATCCCCGATAAAACAATCTTTACATGGATGTTGAGTAAATAGTGACAAAGTGAAACAATGAAAGGAACCAATAAGATTCCTTAACTCTTTAACTAATGATGTATTAATAGGACCAGAAAATTACAGGAAAGAATCATTTTTTTCTTTTGCTTATATTTATGCCCTATTTGTCTATTATGCGGAAAACATTATGGTTCGGAGCCCATGGCTTATTCATGTTTGTACATCCAATGTTCTCTCCGGTGCTAATTTTGATCATCTGCTCAAAATAATGATTTTGAGCAGATGATCAAATAATGATTTCATTGAAAAACATCACTTCATTGGCTTGGTACTTTTATCGTGACCTTAGATTTCTTGTATATACTACCTTTATATGTTATCTGAGGAGATTTGTTTTTATATAAAGGTTCTTAATAAATTTTCTTCAAATGTCAGGATCAAGAGCATAGGCATATTTGCTCTGGAATGTTTATCCTATTCTTCACTGATGATCAATTTAGAGTGTGTCTGTTCAGGCAAGAATAAACAGAGCAAATGATCTCTTTTTCCCATATGAGCTCTTGAATTTCACTTTTCCCTAGAATGAAAAGTGCTTCTTGCCAATAGAGGATTTTTTATACTGTCATTTAAAAAATGGATTTTCTTTTATCAAACCAATAACCTTTATATGTGCATTGTTTTCTCCTACATGGAGCCTTGAGATCAGCTTTCACAGATTCTGTTTTGTGGTGAGTGCTGTCAGTGTAGAAGGATGTCATTTGTCATGCCTTAGAGACTGTGTAGCACCCCTTCTTTCTTTTGCTAAATAAGAAAAATAAGCTGCTCTCTGCCCAAGCAAGACAAATGTACTTGGGATACCTATTCTTTCCTGTGATTTCTCTGGACTTGCATCACTGGTTTAAGATTTAAGGCATCTTCTTGGTTCTTTACTTTTCATTGTTTCACAGCTCTTTGCTACTGTTTACTCAATATCCATGTAAAGATTGTTTAATGGACACTTTGAAAACTTCACAATTGTAAAGCAGTCCAGGTTTGTTGTTTGTGGTGTCATTCTATCTTTCTTTTCTCTGTTGTTTTCCTCCCTTCTGACCCTTGATCAACTAATGAGTGTCCTTACACCCTGACTACTCAGTTCTCCCCACAACTCTGCCTATCCTAGTGTGCTAGTCTCTCAATGACAAAGTCATTCTTCTTTCTCCTCCAACTAAAACGCTCACTAGTTGATTGTCAAGCAGAAAATCTCTCTGATTAACTCCCTCCCTCCAAGTAACTACTGATTGTTAATGGCCCAATATCTTATTCTTCTAGGATGAAAATGAACATTGTGAAATAGGTGACAACTTTATGTGACAAATGCATTTACCAAGGACATAACTCTATGATTGTGGTATTTCACACATCATGAGGTGGAACACTGGGGTTGTTTCTAGAAGGGATGTGTAAGCTACTGCCTATTCCCATTTGTTTAAGGATTTTTCAGTCTTAGAATTGTTCATTTCTATTCTTCTTCCATGGAGGAATCTAAATGCTGTTATGTCACGGTAACTAACTGCATTGTGCTTCATATATTATCATGTAGATTACAGGGCAAGTTATTTTGTTTTCTAAAACATTACTGGTAGAACATAAAGAACAGTAGCAATAAGACTATTAACTTCTTAATTGTTCCTGGATACCATTATTATACATTCAAATTTTGGTGAAGCCTCTGATCAGAGTATTTAAAGGTGTGTGTATTTAAAAACTTGTGACATAGATCATATATTAAAAATAGTCTGCTTCAGATTATTCTCTGGGAACAAAACAATGGAGTAGATGGAAGGAGCTTAGTCATCAAAGCATTTCTTACATAATAGATATGACAATGGTAAAAATAGATGAAAATTGAAGGAAAAGAGATGAAGCGTAGAGAATAGTTTTAAGGAAACTATACAAACAGACAGCAGATGTCACTGTTGCTTTTTCATTATCATTAATCTTTTTTTGGGTTTTGTTCCTAGTTAATGACATTTTTCATTTTATTTGAGAACTCTAATAGGTTAATCAAGTTCACGTATGCTGAACTTCTGTTTTGAATGTTATGTTTATTAAGGTTATGCCTATAAACTTTGCATATATAATTATAAAGAAGATACTTTGTATGCTGAGGACCATTAATTTAATATTATAAATTGACAAAATAATTTTTATAATAAACATCATCTGATTCAGAATAGTTTCCTAATAAAATAAAGTGTTAATCATCTTGAAGAACAGCTGGTCTTGATCTTCTTTTAAATGACCAGTCATATCATTTGTTCTCTTTATTGTGAATACTGAAATACATATCACCAAATCTTCTCTGTGATGATGATCTAAGAGATTTTTTTTACCATGTGAACACAACCAGCCAGTTTTATGTAGAACCTGAGAAACACGTTCCACATCAACTTCCAAAACACTATTCACCCCCCCCGTTTCATTTTCTCTCCTTGATCAGTTCAACTCTAGCTTTCAATTACAGTGTTTCCTCTTCAAGCTGCTGTGTAGGATGCACAAACCTCAATTTCTCATCTTCCTATCTAATCATTTACCAGATCCTGTTGATTCTAACTTCTGTGTTTTTATTTCTTTTCTCTTCTTCTTTTCTTTTCTCAAAGACAGGGTCTCTCTCTCTGTCACCCAGGCTGGTGTGCAGTACCTTTGTAAAGGCACTACAACAGTGTGCATTTCTAAAATCAACTTCCTTTTTATCACAAACTTTAAACTTCATAGTACACAGCTAAGTATGTGACACACATGCACACATTTCTGTAGGAAGAATAACTTGGACAGTTTTTCAGTTTCAGTGGGGCTCCATTATTTCATGAGAATGAAATGAGGCAACCTTGGTTTTAATGTGGAAAAAAATTCAGCAAGAACTAGTAATAATACAATGAGAGTTTCTAAAGATTTCTTTTTCATAAAATCTAATTCTATTGTCATTTTTAATTCAAAAGACTACAACTTTACTGTTATATTCTTAAACATAGTAAGCCTGTTTTTTTTTTTAAATCTATAAAATAAGGAACTTGGGTAAAATGTTCCTAATGTGCTTTTCATAGATAAAATTCTATTATTCAATAGGAAGTACTGAAAGGCGTACTTAGGATTGCTTATTTCTCTTACAAAAACCTCATCAGTATATGTTCTATGCTTCTATAAAAATGTATTACAGATGATTACTTTTAGAACTAAAATGAAAATATATATTAAGCACTTACTGGGGAATTAGGATTTTTATAATCATAGGACAGTAGTGAAAATTACTTGAAATCTGTTATAACTGAAAAACAATTCAAGGAATTTAATGACATTAATCTTTACATTTGAAGATAAGCCTGTGACTGTGTATATGTTGTAACTGTTACAATAAATGATAAAAACTAGCTTCTATTTTGGATTTTGTTATCTTGATTGCTTACTGAAAATATTAATGGAAGTAATGACACAGGAGTCAGGGAGAGGAAGGAGATGGGCTGTCCAAACATGTTTTCTGTTATCCATGTGTGAGCACTGCCTATGAACACTAAGGCAGGGGTCCCCAACCCCTGGGACCAGTACTGGTCTGTGACCTGCTAGGAACTGGGCCGTATAGCAGGAGGTGAGCAGTGGATGAGCAAGGGAGCATTACTGCCTGAGCTCTGCCTCCTGTCAGATCAGCAGCGTTCAATTCTCATAGGAGGGCTACCCTGTTGTGAACTGCACGTGCAAGGGATCTAGGTTGCACACTCCTTATGAAACTCTAATGCCTGATGATCTGAGGTGGAACAGTTTTATCCTGAAATCATCCCTCCAGCTTTGCCCCACATCCCCACTGTCCATGGAAAAATTGTCTTCCACGAAAATGGTTCCTGGTGCCAAAAAGGTTGGGGACCACTGCTCTAAGGAATATATTTAGAATTGCTGGAATAAATAATTTTTATCACTGGTGAATTGGCATATGGTTTTCTGTGTTTGATTTATATATTATTTAACTAAGTAAGTGTTCTGAAGAGGAATTTAGAAAAAGAGTATTTTATTCACTAGTAGGAACTTTAGTGCTCAGAGACATGTTTCTGCAGCCTGTCCCAGCATGTTATTTTTTGAACACATTGCATCTTCAGTATAGATGTGGTTTGAAACTTGGACTTCACTTTTAATTCACGTCATCTTGGTTAGGAAATTCAACTTCTCATTAGTGAAAATTTCTTATAAAAGCGAGAATAATGCTACCTATATTTTTTGGGATTGTTGTGAAGATTACACTTGATAAATTTAAACACCAATATATGTGTAAGGTGTACCATAAATTATTGATATATATATCATTGTAACCACTAATAGCAAATGTTTCTCAATGGCCTAGTAAGTAAAAGGTGTTTTGTTGATTCTGGGATTATAAAAAGATAGAATTTGTGGTCTTCATAGTTAGAAGCAGTATTTAAATAACGAACTTACTATTTGTAACAGTAGTTATTTACTTGCAATCTTTAAAAATTGTTATTTATTTATTTATTTATTTATTTATTATTATACTTTAAGTTTTAGGGTACATGTGCACAATGTGCAGGTTAGTTACATATGTATACATGCGCCATACTGGTGCACTGCACCCACTAACTCGTCATCTAGCATTAGGTATATCTCCCAATGCTATCCCTCCCCCCTCACCTCAAGCCACAACAGTCCCCAGAGTGTGATGTTCCCCTTCCTGTGTCCATGTGTTCTCATTGTTCAGTTCCCACTTATGAGTGAGAATATGCTGTGTTTGGTTTTTTGTTCTTGCAATAGTTTACTGAGAATGATGTTTTCCAATTTCATCCATGTCCCTACAAAGGACATGAACTCATCATTTTTTATGGCTGCATAGTATTCCATGGTGTATATGTGCCACATTTTCTTAATCCAGTCTATCATTGTTGGACATTTGGGTTTGTTCCAAGTCTTTGCTATTGTGAATAGTGCCGCAATAAACATACATGTACATGTGTCTTTATAGCAGCGTGATTTATAGTCCTTTGGGTATATCCCCAGTAATGGGATGGCTGGGTCAAATGGTATTTCTAGTTCTAGATCCCTGAGGAATCGCCACACTGACTTCCACAATGGTTGAACTAGTTTACAGTCCCACCAACAGTGTAAAAGTGTTCCTATTTCTCCACATCCTCTCCAGCACCTGTTGTTTCCTGACTTTTTAATGATTGCCATTCTAACTGGTGTGAGATGGTATCTCATTGTGGTTTTGATTTGCATTTCTCTGATGGCCAGTGATGGTGAGCATTTTTTCATGTTTTTTGGCTACATAAATGTCTTCTTTTGAGAAGTGTCTGTTCATGTCCTTTGCCCACTTTTTGATGGGGTTGTTTTTTTCTTGTAAATTTGTTTGAGTTCATTGTAGATTCTGGATATTAGCCCTTTGTCAGATGAGTAGGTTGCAAAAATTTTCTCCCATTTTGTAGGTTGCCTGTTCACTCTGATGGTAGTTTCCTTTGCTGTGCAGAAGCTCTTTAGTTTAATTAGATCCCATTTGTCAATTTTGGCTTTTGTTGCCATTGCTTTTCGTGTTTTAGACATGCAGTCTTTGCCCATGCCTATGTCCTGAATGGTAATGCCTAGGTTTTCTTCTAGGGTTTTTATGGTTTTAGGTCTAATGTTTAAGTCTTTAATCCATCTTGAATTGATTTTTGTATAAGGTGTAAGGAAGGGATCCAGTTTCAGCTTTCTACATATGGCTAGCCAGTTTTCCCAGCACTATTTATTAAATAGGGAATCCTTTCCCCATTGCTTGTTTTTCTCAGGTTTGTCAAAGATCAGATAATTGTAGATATGCGGCGTTATTTCTGAGGGCTCTCTTCTGTTCCATTGATCTATATCTCTGTTTTGGTACCAGTACCATGCTGTTTTGGTCACTGTAGCCTTGTAGTATAGTTTGAAGTCAGGTAGCGTGATGCCTCCATCTTTGTTCTTTTGGTTTAGGATTGACTTGGCGATGCGGGCTCTTTTTTGGTTCCATATGAACTTTAAAGTAGTTTTTTCCAATTCTGTGAAGAAAGTCATTGGTAGCTTGATGGGGATGGCATTGAATCTATAAATTACCTTGGGCAGTATGGCCATTTTCACGATATTGATTCTTTCTACCCGTGAGCATGGAATGTTCTTCCATTTGTTTGTATCCTCTTTTATTTCCTTGAGCAGTGGTTTGTAGTTCTCCTTGAAGAGGTCCTTCACATCCCTTGTAAGTTGGATTCCTAGGTATTTTATTCTCTTTGAAGCAATTGTGAATGGGAGTTCACTCATGATTTGGCTCTCTGTTTGTCTGTTGTTGGTGTATAAGAATGCTTGTGATTTTTGTACATTGATTTTGTATACTGAGACTTTGATGAAGTTGCTTATCAACTTAAGGAGATTTTGGGCTGAGACAATGGGGTTTTATAGATTTACAATCATGTCATCTGCAAACAGGGACAATTTGACTTCCTCTTTTCCTAATTGAATACCCTTTATTTCATTCTCCTGCCTAATTGCCCTGGCCAGAACTTCCAACACTATGTTGAATAGGAGTGGTGAGAGAGGGCATCCCTGTCTTGTGCCAGTTTTCAAAGGGAATGCTTCCAGTTTTTGTCCATTCAGTATGATATTGGCTGTGGGTTTGTCATAGATAGCTCTTATTATTTTGAAATACGTCCCATCAATACCTAATTTATTGAGAGTTTTTAGCATGAAGGGTTGTTGAATTTTGTCAAAGGCCTTTTCTGCATCTATTGAAATAATCGTGTGGTTTTTGTCTTTGGTTCTGTTTATATGCTGGATTACATTTATTGATTTGCGTATATTGAACCAGCCTTGCATCCCAGGGATGAAGCCCACTTGATCATGGTGGATAAGCTTTTTGATATGCTGCTGGATTCTGTTTGCCAGTATTTTATTGAGGATTTTTGCATCAATGTTCATCAAGGATATTGGTCTAAAATTCTCTCTTTTGGTTGTGTCTCTGCCCGGCTTTGGTATCAGGATGATGCTGGCCTCATAAAATGAGTTAGGGAGGATTCCCTCTTTTTCTATTGATTGGAATAGTTTCAGAAGGAATGGTACCAGTTCCTCCTTGTACCTCTGGTAGAATTCGGCTGTGAATCCATTTGGTCCTGGACTCTTTTTGGTTGGTAAGCTATTGATTATTGCCACAATTTCAGCTCCTGTTATTGGTCTATTCAGAGATTCAACTTCTTCCTGGTTTAGTCTTGGGAGAGTGTATGTGTTGAAGAATTTATCCATTTCTTCTAGATTTTCTAGTTTATTTGCATAGAGGTGTTTGTAGTATTTTCTGATGGTAGTTTGTATTTCGGTGGGATCGGTGGTGATATCCCCTTTATCATTTTTTATTGCATCTATTTGATTCTTCTCTCTTTTTTTCTTTATTAGTCTTGCTAGCGGTCTATCAATTTTGTTGATCCTTTCAAAGAAGCAGCTCCTGGCTCCTGGATTCATTAATTTTTTTGAAGGGTTTTTTGTGTCTCTATTTCCTTCAGTTCTGCTCTGATTTTAGTTATTTCTTGCCTTCTGCTAGCTTTTGAATGTGTTTGCTCTTGCTTTTCTAGTTCTTTTAATTGTGATGTTAGGGTGTCAATTTTGGATCTTTCCTGCTTTGTCTTGTGGGCATTTAGTGCTATAAATTTCCTTCTACATACTGCTTTGAATGCGTCCCAGAGATTCTGGTATGTTGTGTCTTTGTTCTTGTTGGTTTCAAAGAACATCTTTATTTCTGCCTTCATTTCATTATGTACCCAGTAGTCATTCAGAAGCAGGTTGTTCAGTTTCCATGTAGTTGAGTAGTTTTGAGTGAGATTCTTAATCCTGAGTTCTAGTTTGATTGCACTGTGGTCTGAGAGATAGTTTGTTATAATTTCTGTTATTTTACGTTTGCTGAGGAGAGCTTTACTTCCAGATATGTGGTCAATTTTGGAATAGGTGTGGTGTGGTGCTGAAAAATATGTATATTCTGTTGATTTGGGGTGGAGAGTTCTGTAGATGTCTATTAGGTCTGCTTGGTGCAGAGCTGAGTTCAATTCCTGGGTATCCTTGTTAACTTTCTGTCTCGTTGATCTGTCTAATGTTGACAGTGGGGTGTTAAAGTCTCCCATTATTAATGTGTGGGAGTCTAAGTCTCTTTGTAGGTCACTCAGGACTTGTTTTATGAATCTGGGTGCTCCTGTATTGGGTGCATATATATTTAGGATAGTTAGTTCTTCTTGTTGAATTGATCGCTTTACCATTATGTAATGGCCTTCTTTGTCTCTTTTGATCTTTGTTGGTTTAAAGTCTGTTTTATCAGAGACTAGGATTGCAACCCCTGCCTTTTTTGGTTTTCCATTTGCTTGGTAGATCTTCCTCCATCCCTTTATTTTGAGCTTATGTATGTCTCTGCACGTGAGATGGGTTTCCTGAATACAGCACACTGATGGGTCTTGACTCTTTATCCAATTTGCCAGTCTGTGTCTTTTAATTGGAGCATTTAGTCCATTTACATTTAAAGTTAGTATTGTTATGTGTGAATTTGATCCTGTCATTATGATGTTAGCTGGTTATTTTGCTCGTTAGTTGATACAGTTTCTTCCTAGTCTCGATGGTCTTTACATTTTGGCATGATTTTGCAGCGGCTGGTACCGGTTGTTCCTTTCCATGTTTAGCGCTTCCTTCGGGAGCTCTTTTAGGGCAGGCCTGGTGGTGACAAAATCTCTCAGCATTTGCTTGTCTGTAAAGTATTTTATTTCTCCTTCACTTCTGAAGCTTAGTTTGGCTGGATATGAAATTCTGGGTTGAAAATTCTTTTCTTTAAGAATGTTGAATATTGGCCCGCACTCTCTTCTGGCTTGTAGAGTTTCTGCCCAGACATCCGCTGTTAGTCTGACAGGCTTCCCTTTGAGGGTAACCCGACCTTTCTCTCTGGCTGCCCTTAACGTTTTTTCCTTCATTTCAATTTTGGTGAATCTGACAATTATGTGTCTTGGAGTTGCTCTTCTCGAGGAGTATCTTTGTGGCGTTCTCTGTATTTCCTGAATCTGAATGTTGTCCTGCCTTGCTAGAATGGGGAAGTTCTCCTGGATAATATCCTGCAGAGTGTTTTCCAACTTGGTTCCATTCTCCCCGTCACTTTCAGGTACACTAATCAGACGTAGATTTGGTCTTTTCACATAGTCCCATATTTCTTGGAGGCTTTACTTGTTTCTTTTTATTCTTTTTTCTCTAAACTTCCCTTCTCGCTTCATTTCATTCATTTCATCTTCCATCGCTGATACCCTTTCTTCCAGTTGATCGCATCGGCTCCTGAGGCTTCTGCATTCTTCACGTAGTTCTCGAGCCTTGGCTTTCAGCTCCATCAGCTCCTTTAAGCACTTCTCTGTATTGGTTATTCTAGTTATACATTCTTCTAAATTTTTTTCAAAGTTTTCAACTTCTTTGCCTTTGGTTTGAGTGTCCTCCCGTAGCTTGGAGTAATTTGTCTGAAGCCTTCTTCTCTCAGCTCGTCAAAGTCATTCTCTGTCCAGCTTTGTTCCGTTGCTGGTGAGGAACTGCGTTCCTTTGGAGGAGGAGAGGCGCTCTGCTTTTTAGAGTTCCAGTTTTTCTGCTCTGTTTTTTCCCCATCTTTGTGGTTTTATCTACTTTTGGTCTTTGATGCTGGTGATGTACAGATGGGTTTTTGGTGGGGATGTCCTTTCTGGTTGTTAGTTTTCCTTCTAACAGACAGGACCCTCAGCTGCAGGTCTGTTGGAGTACCCGGCCATGTGAGGTGTCAGTCTGCCCCTGCTAGGGGGTGCCTCCCAGTTAGGCTGCTCGGGGTCAGGGGTCAGGGACCCACTTGAGGAGGCAGTCTGCCCGTTCTCAGATCTCCAGCTGCATGGTGGGAGAACCACTGCTCTCTTCAAAGCTGTCAGACAGGGACCCTTAAGTCTGCAGAGGTTACTGCTGTCTTTTTGTTTGTCTGTGCCCTGCCCCCAGAGGTGGAGCCTACAGAGGCAGGCAGGCCTCCTTGAGCTGTGGTGGGCTCCACCCAGTTGGAGCTTCCTGGCTGCTTTGTTTACCTAAGCAAGCCTGGGCAATGGCGGGCGCCCCTCCCCCAGCCTCGCTGCCGCCTTGCAGTTTGATCTCAGACTGCTGTGCTAGCAATCAGGGAGACTCCGTGGGCGTAGGACCCTCCGAGCCAGGTGCGGGACAGGATCTCCTGATGCGCCGTTTTTTAAGCCCGTCAGAAAAGCGCAGTATTCGGGTGGGAGTGACCGGATCTTCCAGGTGCTGTCTGTCACCCCTTTCTTTGACTAGGAAAGGGAACTCCCTGACCCCTTGCGCTTCCCGATCGAGGCAATGCCTCGCCCTGCTTTGGCTGGTGCACGATGCGCACACCCACTGACCTGCTCCCACTGTCTGGCACTCCCTAGTGAGATGAACCCGGTACCTCAGATGGAAATGCAGAAATCACCCGTCTTCTGCCTTGCTCACGCTGGGAGCTGTATACCGGAGCTGTTCCTATTCGGCCATCTTGGCTCCTCCTAAAAATTGTTTTAAAGTTTGTATTGGATTTGAATTTTAGAGGCTTGCTAACTTTCCTTTAATAGTAACTCTCTGACTATCCTTACCCTTTTACCAACCAGGCTAGCAAAGTTGAACCACCAGTTTTAATGTTCTCACTTTTCATCTGTGGACCTAGACATGAAAACAATGGAGGCTAAGATGGGATTTTTGAGTTAACCTGCTCTCCACTGACTTTTTGAGTGGACGGTGGAGGTACTTCTCATGAAATACCAAGGTAGAAAGTGAACTTTACCCTTGTTGCATTTTGGCATGGCTTGCTTACAGCTTTTATTCATGTTAAAAGGTAAATTTATGACATGGAAATAAATAGTCATAAGTTTAGATTACGGATCCCAGCTGTCAGACTCTCCAGCCAGAGTGGGTCCTGTGGTGTCCAGCCTTCTCTGCTCTGCTTCTCTAGCCTTGACTAGTGCTTCATAGAACTATGTATGATACATTTTTGGTTACTATCATAGCCTCCCAACTCCTTTACAATTTTAGCTAATATTCTGTCTGCTATTATCTTAGCCTGTAGAAATGAAATGATCATGTAGGTTCATACATGTGTACATTGTTGTCTATGATACAGTCTCACTTGTAAAAAACTTCCTCAACAATAATCCATACTCTTAGTATTTTTGTAGCAGTTCGGAACTACTGGAGGTGAAGTCACTACCAAGTTCTGAATGTTTGTGAGGTGAGGAAACCACTAACATGTGAGAATATTTCCCAAAATCACTTCCTACCACAATATTTATGTTTCCAAGAAATTAACTGAACATTTACAATTTACTAAATACTTTAATGATTTATATATAACAATGTATATATTTTTTACAACAATTTAGGTGGGTACTATTATTATTCCTGTTTTGAGGATGAGAACATGAAGAAATGGAGAGTCCTACAGCTGGCCTCCTAAGTGGCCTGATGTACCACAGTTAGGAAGGGGCAGAGTTGAGACTACAACCCAAGTCGTGTGGGCACAGAGTCTGTACCTTTGGCATTTGCATTGCCAGTCTTTGAGGGGAGGTTTGGTTTTCCCATTTAGAGTTGGCAGAGGAGAGCAGGATGGAAGAGATGACCTCCACAGGATAATTCCAGGCTCTCAGAGCCAGAGAATCTTTTTCTCAATGCATAGTTTGAATTGGGCCTCTGGATCAGGGACCACGTGATGTAATAGCCCCAGTACGATAATATTTTGGATTGATGCTTTTCTTGTAATCTAGTCTCAGGCTGGAAAATGTATCTAGTTTATCAAGCATCATAAGGTCAACATTGGAGAATAGGCAACTAGAAGTCAGACTTGGAATTCACTGGTTCAAATTTCTTACATAGTATAATTTATGTATGTAATAAACATTAGTAGTAATACATGCCATTATCTGCCTTTAACCAAAGTTCTAAAACAGTGGTTCTCCCTTGTTATTTTGCAACACTTTGGGAGTGTTATGAAATTATAATATTAAAATGTTCCTACTAATATATAAAACACCTATGATATTATTGTGCCTTTTGGTGGGTGGGAATGAGGGTTTTGGATGTGGTCAAACTTCACTAAAAGTGTTAATAACCATGTAAGAGTGTGGAGAATATTTTTATTTATTTTGCTTTTTACCTATCCTCTGTAATGCCAAGTGTGAATAACTATTTGATAAAAATTGAAGAGAAACACGAGACTGAGGTTAAACAGGCTGAGTGAGGAGGCGGATGCAAATAGTGAGAGGAATAGCCTGATTTTTCCAAGGACAAGGATTTAGGCTGATGGGATGTATTATTCGGGGGCTGGGTGAGGCAGGGAGAGGAGGCTGAAATATGAGGAGAGGCTAAAGAAGGCAGAAATCTTCATTTTAAGAATCAGTGCTGTCTGTAACAAAAGAACCATTCCAGTGTCTCAAGGCAGCAGCAGGATGCTGTCTGTTCCAACAACTCATGGTAATTGGAGAAGGACGTTTCCCAGGCAGCTAAAAGTAAAGAAACAGAAAGGATTCTGCCTTATGGAAAAGCTCACTAACACAGAGACAGCAGAACAGGTGCGGGGCTGGAGGGCTTTGAAGATGTTGCAGAAGCAGGAAGCAGAGAGCATTGAGTTGTAGCATCCAGGCCCTACTCCCAGATTTGCTAGGGATGGTTGGCACTGTTACAGGGCCCAGTTCAAGTGCCTGAGAAAATGACTTCAGTGTGTGAGACATGCCAAGGGTTATACTATTTCTACCTTCTAGAATAGGGTGTAGGAAACTGGATGGGAGGGAAGGGTTGCACTGAATCAGCCAGAGGGCTGAGCTTTGCACCATGACCCTTCCCACTATGGCAATGATGTGGCATCTCACTGGCCAGCACATTGGTAATTTGAGTATGTCTTTTGTTATGTTCTCTGTATTTAGAATTAAGGGAGTTCAGACACTGTAAAGAGAAGGTGTAATATGTTAAGGCTTTTAAAATGTGAATTTTTTGGCATATATGGTGGAGAAAGCAAATGCTTAGTTGTGTGACAGGGATCAGAGTCTCCTTAGAAACTAATTAACAAAGTGTCCAGTATATTAATTATTTAAATTCATAAAATCATGGACTTGTATTAGATGATCTTTCAGGTTTTTTTCCATACATAAAGTTTCACAGTACTTCACACACTACAGTTTCTTTCTATATAGTCTATGATGACCTCTTCATTTTACCCTCAGACACAAGCTTTTACGGTTGGCCTTTTGTGGTCTTTTTTGGTATTGATAGTTTAGATTGAATTTTTGGTTCCTGGCATTTGGCTTACTTACTGATTTTTTTCTCATCTTGTGTCTCAAGAGAGCTTTCTTAAAATAAAATTCAGTCTCTCTTTTGTTTTCAGCATGATTGCATCTAATTATGTAATTAGGCTAAATACATGCAATCAGGAGCAAGTAATAAATATTAGATTCTAACTCTGTAAATTTTGTTTTTCGTAGTAAATGCCTCAGGGGCAGAGCTTTTTTATTTATGCCTGCTAATACCTTCCACAGTGTTGTACATGTACCAAGAACTCAGTAGTTATTTGTTGAATTAATGAAGTATTTTTAAGATGCAATGCAAATCTCATCTAAAAATATGCAAATTCTCTCGAGACGCTAGAAATATTTTTCAAAGTTATTTAAAGCCATATTATGTTTGGACCATGTACTGGTTTAGGCTAAATTGATTTATCAAGCTGTATGTTTGGCACAGTGGTGGCTATGACTACATTAGTTGTCTTGGAAGAAAAATGATTTTTATAGGTCATAAGTTAGGTCAGTTAGTCATCATAGATTTACTGTGTTTCTGACACTGTTTCCTTAGATTTGATCTGGCTTTTCTCTTGTACATTTGAAGCTTATTTAGGAGTGTGTCAGAACAAGCTGTCTCACCTGCCTGAATTGTTAGCCTTTAGGGCAGGGACAATGTTGTTATGTTATGTTCAGAGCAGGGCACAGGAGAGAGTTGCCTGGATCATAAAGAATGGTGATGAGCTCAAGTTGGTGACCTGGTTCCTCTGTTCAGACACTATGGGCTGGAAAGGATGTGCCATATTTCTCAGGGGTTTTTCCTAATAACCCCTCTGCAGCTATCCTGCACCTTGTTACAAAGTCTTCTTTTACATTACTTTGTAAACATGTACCTGTAATGTAACTTCCATTTTTCAAGCATTCCAATGTTACAAGCACATAAAAATACACCTTGTTTTATTTGTGTTTTTATACTCAATACCTAGCAAAATTCCTGGCATACGGAGAAGTTTGAAATGCTTGTTGAGTCAAATAGAGCTGGTGCCTGTGGCAGTGGATAATCAGGCAGTCGAAAGCAGATTAAAATCTCAAATCTAGGTGGATAAGCTGTTGATGTGCTGCTGGATTTGGTTTGCCAGTATTTTATTGAGGATTTTCACATCTATGTTCATCAGGGATATTGGCCTGAAACTTTCTTTTTTTGTTGTGTCTCTACCAGGTTTTGGTATCAGGATGATACTGGCCTCATAAAATGAGCTAGGGAGGATTCCCTCTTTTTCTATTGTTTGGAATAGTTTCAGAAGGAATGGTACTAGTTCCCTTTGTACTTCTGGTAGAATTCGGCTGTGAATCTGTCTGGTCCTGGACTTTTTTAGGTTGGGAGGCTATTAATTACTGCCTCAATTTCAGAACTTGTTATTGGTCTATTCAGGGATTCGACTTATTCCTGGTTTAGTCTTTGGAGGGTGTATGTATCCAGGAATTTATCCATTTCTTCTAGATTTTCTAGTTTATTTGCATAGAGGGGTTTATAGTATTCTCTGATGATCATTTGTATTTCTGTGGGATCAGTGGTGATCTCCCTTTGTCATTTTTTATTGTGTCTATTTGATTCTTCTCTCTTTTTTCTTCTGTATTAGTCTGGCTAGCAGTCTATTTTGTTAATCTTTTCAGAACACCAGCTCCTGGATTAATTGATTTTTTTGAAGGGTTTTTCGTGTCTCTATCTCCTTCAGTTCTGCTCTGATCTTAGTTATTTGTTGTCTTCTGCTAGCTTTTGAATTCGTTTGCTTCCTTCTATAGTTCTTTTGTGATGTTAGGGTGTTGATTTTAGATCTTTCGCGCTTTCTCCTGTGGACATTTAGTGCTATAAATTTCCATCAAAAAACTGCTTTAGCCGTGTCCCAGAGATTCTGGCACATGGTGTCTTTGTTCTCATTGGTTGCAAAGAACTTATTTATTTCTTCCTTATTTTAATTATTTACCCAGTAGTTGTTCAGGAGCAGGTTGTTCAGTTTCCATGTAGTTGTGCAGTTTTGAGTGAGTTTCTTAATCCTGAGTTCTAATTTGATTGCATTGTGGTCTGAGAGACTGCTTGTTATAATTTCTGTTCTTTTACATTTGCTGAGGAGTGTTTTACTTCCAATTATGTGATCAGTTTTAGAATAAGTGCGATGTGGTGCTGAGAAGAATATATATTCTGTTGATTTGGGGTGGAGAGGTTCAACATATGCAAATCAATAAATGTAATCCATCACATAAACAGAACCAATGACAAAAACCACATGATTATCTCAATAGATGCAGAAAAGGCCTTTGACAAAATTCAACACGCCTTCATGCTAAAATCTCTCAATAAACTAGATATTGATGGAACGTATCTCAAAATAATAAGAGCTATTTATGACAAACCCACAGCCATTATCATTCTGAATGGGCAAAAACTGGAAGCATTCCCTTTGAAATCTGGCACAAGACAAGGATGCTCTCTCTCAGCCACTACTATTCAACATAATATTGGAAGTTCTGGCCAGGACAATCAGGCAAGAGAAAGAAATAAAGGGTATTCAAATAGGAAGAGAGGAGGTCAAATTGTCTCTGTTTGCAGATGACATGATTTTATATATAAAAACCCCATCGTCTCAGCCCAAAATCTCCTTAAGCTGATAAGCAACTTCAGCAAAGTCTCAGGATACAAAATCAATGTGCAAAAATCACAAGCATTCCTATTCACCAATAATAGACAAACAGAGAGCCATATCATGAGTGAAGTCCCATTCGCAATTGCTACAAAGAGAATAAAATACCTAGAAATACCACTTACAAGAGATGTGAAGGACCTCTTCTACAAACCACTGCTCAAGGAAATAAGAGAGGACACTGACAAATGGAAAAGCATTCCATGCTCATGGATAGGAAAAATCAATATCGTGAAAATGGCCATACTGCCCAAAGTAATATATAAATTCATTGCTATCCCCATCAAGCTACCATTGAGTTTCTTCACAGAATTAGAAAAAACTACTTTAAATTTCATATGGAACCAAAAAAGAGCCTGCATCATGAAGACAATCCTTAGCAAAAAGAACAAAGCTGGAAACACCACGCCACCTGACTTGAAGCTATACTACAAGGCTACAGTAACCAAAACAGCATAGTACTAATACCAAAACAGATATATAGACGAATGGAACAGAACAGAGGCCTCAGAAATAACACCACACATCTACAACCATCTGATCTTTGACAAACCTGACAAAAACAAGCAGTGGGGAAAGGATTCCTATTTAATAAATGGTGCTGGGAAAGCTGGCTAGCCATATGCAGAAAACTGAAACTGGACCCCGTCCTTATGCCTTATAAAAAAATTAACTCAAGATGGATTAAAGACTTAAATGTAAGACCTAAAACCATAAAAACCCTAGAAAAAAACCTAGGCAATACCATTCAGGACATAGGCATGGGCAAAGACTTCATGATTAAAACACCAAAAGCAATGGCAACAAAAGCCAAAATTGACAAATGGGATTTAATTAAACTAAAGAGCTTCTGCACAGCAAAAGAAACTATAATCAGAATGAACAGGCCACCTACAGAATGGGAGAAAGTTTTTGCAATCTATCCATCTGACAAAGGGCTAATATCCAGAATCTTCAAAGAACTTAAACAAATTTACATGAAAAAAAACCCCATCAAAAAGTGGGCAAAGGATATGAACAGACACCTCTCAAAAGAAGACATTTATGCAGCCAACAAACATAGGAAAAAAAGCTCATCATCACTGGTCATTAGAAAAATGCAAATCAAAACCACAATGAGATACCATCTTTTGCCAGTTAGAATGGTGATTATTAAAAACTCAGGAAACAACAGATGCTGGAGAGGATGTGGAGAAACAGCTTTTACACTGTTGGTGGGAGTATAAATTAGTTCAACCATTGTGGAAGAGAGTGTGGTGATTCCTCAAGGATCTAGAACCAGAAATACCATTTTACCCAGCCATCCCATTACTGTATATATACCCAAATGATTATAAATCATTCTAATATAAAGACACATGAACACATATGCTTAGTGCAGCACTATTCACAATAACAAAGACTTGGAACCAACCCAAATGCCCATCAATGATAGGCTGGGTTAAGAAAATGTGGCACATATACACCATAGAATTTTATGCAGCCATAAAAAAGGATGAGTTCATGTCCTTTGCAGGGACATGGATGAAGCTGGAAAACATCATTCTCAGGAAACTAACACAGGAACAGAAAACCAAACACTGCATATTCTCACTCATAAGTGGGAGTTCAACAATGAGAACACATGGACACAGGGAGGGGAACATCACACACCGGGTCTTGTTGGGGGGTAGTGGGTGGGGGGTGGAGGGAGGGATAGCATTAGAAGAAATACGTAATGTAGATGACAGGTTGATGTGTGCAGGAAACCACCATGGCACATGTATACCTATGTAGCAAACCTGCAAGTTCAGCACTTGTATCCTGGAACTTAAAGTATAAAAAAAAATAAAATAAAATCTCGAATCTAGATTTCCTGTCACCTTTCAAAGGAGTAGTGGATTCTAATGGCTCCTAGACCCTAACCCAGAATCATCCAGCTTGGTTAGGGTCATCATAGATCTCCAGGCAATGGGATTTATAGAAATAATGGTCTTAGAAAAGGCAGTTGATTTTGTAATTACACCTGATGTCACTTTGGGTTTGTAATCCTTTGTTTGGAGATATTTTTGCCCCAAAGGGGTCAGAGGAATTGGGAACTTGGGCGCAGGAGGATTTATACTTATTGAAAATGGACTTTCCTTATAATCACATGTGGAAGCCTTATGAAACAACTCTTTTGGTGCTCTTAACTGGACTTGTTTAAATCCTTACTGCTCAATGCCTTTATAACATGAATAAGAAACAGTGTTCTGACAGTAAAACATCCATTAGAAAAGATGGTAAATTTATTGGGAACATTTTAGGGCTTAAGCATATTTATAACTGTGAGATATGGCCTCAATTATTAATCATCCTGAGAAACTGGAGAAGTGACTCAGGTGACTCTGATAGACTAGATTAATGGCACATGATTTTACTACCCCAAACTGAAATCATCATCTACAAAAAGAGATTTGCAGGCTTTTTGGTGATTTATCCCTGGCTGCCTTAGAGCGCAGAACTGTGGCTGTTAATTACCACTGATTTCATTTACCTTCACCTAGGAATGTCATTTTGAAGTGCAATTTGTCATTTGAAGTGTGGTGAAAGGATTCAAATCATTCCACGTTTGACACTTTGGACTAAAGTTAACCCAAAGACATGGTTAATCTATGATTTATTTTTAAAACAGTAAGAAATAGTGGTGAAGAGGTATTATTTTTTGAGGACTTACTATGTTTGAGGAATAATACCTACATTTGAGTCAAATGAAGGTATTATTCCCATTTTACAGATGAGAAATTTGAGACTTAGAGTAATTAAAGGTTTTGCCCAAGGCTACACTACTTAAAAGAAGTCATCCAGGATCCAAGCCAACCTAAATGATTTCAAGGTCCATTTGCTCTGCCTCCTCCATAGAAATTTCCCCCCAAGTTTTGCAGTGATTTAAATATCTGCAGCAGGTTTTTCCTCATATGGCACTCTGGTGTTACAGTTATTTAAGATTTGGTTTTATTTTATTAGACTACTTTTGTCTTAATGAATAGAGTTGTATATTTCTATAGCATCTGGGATAGTGCCTCTTGGTCATAGATTTATAATCATTTATTAAATAAAGTCATTTAATAATCTGACACTGTTGGGTTGCTACTTGATGTAGATCTGGAGTTCAAAATTATTCTTCCCCAAATAATGCTAGTGGTTGGCAGTTATAATGTAAAATCTCCATTAAAATATCATAATTTTTATCTTTCTTTAAAAAAACAAACAGAGTATACATTCTTGTCAGCACAACATAGCACTTATTCTAAAACTGATCACATAATTGTAAAACACTCCTCAGCAAATGCAAAACAATGGAAATAATAACAGTCTCTCAGACCACAGTGCAATCAAATTAGAACTCAGTATTAAGAAACTCACTCAAAACTGCACAACTACATGGAAACTGAACAATCTGCTCCTAAATGACTACTGGGTGAATAATGAAATTCAGGCAGAAATAAAGATGTTCTTTGAAACCAATGAGAACAAAGACACAATGTACCCGAATCTCTGGGACACAGCTAAAGCAGCATTTTGAGGGAAATTTATAGGACTAAATGCCACAAGAGGAAGCAGGAGAGATCTAATTTTGACACCCTAACATCACAATTAAAAGAACTAGAGAAGCAAGAGCAAACACATTCAAAAGCTAGCAGAAGGCAAGAAATAACCAAGATCAGAGCAGAACTGAAGGAGATAGAGACATGAAAAACCCTTCAAAAAATCAATGAATCCAGGAGCTGGTTTTTTGAAAAGATAACAAAATTGATAGACTGCTAGCCAGACTAATAAAGAAGAAAAGAGAAAAGAATCACACAGACACAATAAAAAATGATAAAGGGGATATCACCACCTATCCCACAGAAATACAAACTACCATCAGAGAATACTATAAAAACCTCTACGCAAATAAACTAGAAAATCTAGAAGAAATGGATAAATTCCTGGATACATACACCCTCCCAAGACTAAACCAGGAATAAGTCGAATCCTTGAATAGACCAATAAGTAGTTCTGAAATTGAGACAGTAATTAATAGCCTCCCAACCTAAAAGAGTCCAGAACCAGTCGGATTCACAGCCAAATTCTACCAGAGGTACAAAGGGGAGCTGGTACCATTCCTTCTGAAACTATTCCAAACAATAGAAAGAGAGGGAATCCTCCGTAGCTCATTTTATGAGGCCAGCTCATCCTGATACCAAAATCTGGAAGAGACATAACAAAAAAAGAAAGTTTCAGGCCAATATCCCTGATGAACATCAATGCAAAAATCCTCAGTAAAATACTGGCAAACCAAATACAGCAGCACATCAAAAAGTTTGTCCACCATGATCAAGTCAGCTTCATCCCTGTGATGCAACAGTGGTTCAACATATGTGAATCAATAAATGTAATTTATCACATATACAGAACCAATGACAAAAACCGATTATCTCAATAGATGCAGAAAAGGCCTTGGACAAAATTCAACAGCCCATCATGCTAAAAAGTCTCAATAAACTATGTATTGATGGAACATATGTCAAAGTAATAAGAGCTATTTATGACAAACCCACAGCCAATATCATACTGAAAGGGCAAAAACTGGAAGCATTACCTTTGAAATCTGGCACAAGACAAGGATGCCCTCTCTCACCACTCCTATTCAATGTAGTATTGGAAGTTCTGGCCAGGACAATCAGGCAAGAGAAAGAAATAAAGGGTATCCAATTAGGAAAAGAGGAAGTGAAATTGTCTCTGTTTGCAGATGACATGATTTTATATATAGAAAACCCTGGCCGGGCGCGGTGGCTCACGCTTGTAATCCCAGAACTTTGGGAGGCCGAGGCGGGCGGATCACGAGGTCAGGGGATGGAGACTACAGTGAGACCCCATCTCTACTAAAAATACAAAAAATTAGCCAGGCGTGGTGGCGGGCACCTGTAGTCCCAGCTACTCGGAGAGGCTGAGGCAGGAGAATGGCGTGAACCCGGGAGGCGGAGCTTGTAGTGAGCCGAGATCACATCACTGCACTCCAGTCTGGGCAACAAAGCGAAACTCCGTCTCAAAAAAGAAAAAAAAAAAAGAAAAAAAAAAAAAAAAAAGAAAACCCCATCGTCTCAGCCCGAAATCTCCTTAAGCAACTTCAGCAAAATCTCAGGATACAAAATCAATGTGCAAAAATCACAAGCATTCTTATACACCAATAATAGACAGAGAGCCAAATCATGAATGAACTCCCATTCACAATTGCTACAAAGAGAGTAAAATACCTAGGAATATAACTTACAAGGGATATGAAGGACCTCTTCAAGGAGAACTACAAACCACTGCTCAAGGAAATAAGAGAGGACACAAACAAATGGAAAAACATTCCATGCTTACAGATACAAAGAATCAATATCATGAAAATAGCCATACTCCCCAAAGTAATTTATAGATTCAATGCTATCCTGCTATCCCCATCAAACTACCATTGAGTTTCTTCATAGAATTAGAAAAAACTACTTTAAATTTCATATGGAACCAAAAAAGAGCCTGCATAGTGAAGACAGTCCTTAGCAAAAGAAGAAAGCTGGAAGCATCACGCTACCTGACTTCAAACTATACTACAAGTAACCAAAACAGCATGGTACTGGTACCAAAACAGACATATAGACCAATGGAACAGAACAGGGGCCTCAGAAATAACACCACACATCTACAACCATCTGATCTTTGACAAACCTGACAAAAACAAGCAATGGGGAAAGGATTCCTATTTAATAAATTGTGTTGGGAAAACTGGCTAGCCGTATGCAGAAAGCACAAACTGGATCCCTTCCTTACACCTTATAAAAAATTAACTCAAGATAGATTAAAGACTTAAATGTAAGACCCAAAACCATAAGAACCCTAGAAGAAAACCTAGGTAATACCATTCAGGACATAGGCATGGGCAAAGACTTCATGATTAAAACACCAAAAGCAATGGCAACAAAAGCCAAAATTGACAAATGGGATCTAATTAAACTAAAGAGCTTCTGCACAGCAAAAGAAACTGTTATCAGAGTGTCTATCCTTTGAGAGCCAAAGTGTCTATCCTTTGAGAGTTTGTAACCAAGTGCAATGATGGGAGATATTAATACTATTTATAATGTTAGGTGGAATATTCTATTAATGCCTTAAGAAAGGATTAAAGCAGAGTTGTAAAAGTTTGGAGAGAGATGGTTTTTAATTTGCAAGGATCGGGGAAATGTTCATGAAAAAGGGGACATTTGACCTAGAACTTGGAAAAATGAGTATGTTTTGACCGATAGATTTCAAGGGAAAGAACTCCAGGCAGAGGAAAGATTTTGGCAATAGTCATGGCGGCAGAAATGTCAAGGATATGATAACTAGTTTAATTTGACGGGAGTATAAGACTTGTTAAGATAGTGAAAAAGATAAGACAGGGAAGGATCGTTGGAGACAGAGCTTTGGGGGTCTTGTACAAGATGATATTTAAGTTCCTTTTCAACAACTTTATGATCCTATAATTCTCTGAATGCCATGACAAGTCACTGGGTTTTATTAAGTAAGCAATTGTGAGTCCCAAAAATATTTTCAGTTGTGACATCTTATCTTCATTTGATATTCTATTTATTTATTTATTTATTTATTTATTTATTTATTTATTTATTTATTTTTTGAGACAGAGTCTCGCTCTGTCGCCCAGGCTGGAGTGCATGGTGCTATCTCGGCTCAATGCAAGCTCCGCCTCCGCGGTTCACGCCATTCTCCTGCCTCAGCCTCCCGAATAGCTGGGCCCATAGGCGCCCGCCACCACGCCCGGCTAATTTTTTGTATTTTTAGTAGAGATGGGGTTTCACCGTGTTAGCCAGGATGGTCTCGATCTCCTGACCTCGAGATCCGGCCGCCTCGGCCTCCCAAAGTGCTGGGATTACAGGCGTGAGCCACCGCGCCTGGCCCATTTGATATTCTTACAGTGCCATGGAGTGACATAATCAGAACTGTGTTTTGTAAGCACAGATTTTCTTTTTTTAAGATTATTTTGGCAGCAATGTGTACTGTTGCATGAAGTGGAAAAGGACTGAAGGTAAAAGTTGGAAGGCTATTGCAATAGTGTAAAATTAGGAAATAGTATAGATTATACTATTAGAAACTAGTATAGATTAGAAATATAGTACAGATTAGAAAATAATATAGCATAGATTAGAAACAAAGACCTGAATTAGAATAGCATCGATGAAAATAAAGAGTTAGAGGCAAATTTAAGACGAATTTTAGAATTATATTCTACAGGGCTGGGCAGTTGATTGAATGTATTACTATGTTTTGGGAGCAGTGTTAGAGAAGGAGAGCTTAAAGATAATTTCAGAGTTTGGAGGCTGGGGGATTATAAGAAGGTTGAGAACATAATAGAGCTAAAGGAATCATTTGGTGATGCCTATTTAAAGAAGAGGGAAAAGAGTTCATTTTTAGTTGTATTAAGTTAATGGCAAGGAATTCAGGGCATTCAATTAGTTTTGAAATTGGGAATGAAATAAAAGGCTGATATTATTTTCTACATGCAAATTCTTGATGGGGAAGTTTAGGGCAAAGTACCAAATGGAACATTATCTCATTTTCAACACATCCATTAATTACAGATCTTGAAGAACTCTATCATTAATAAGTAGACACACTCTAATAAAAATAGACTCATAGACACAAAGACCTACCCATTTATACAAATACTCCTGTAAAGGTAGCTCATAATAGTTACTGTGATGAATTGAGAGTGACCATCTCTGGTACTAGGAAAGAATAAAAAAACTTTAACTTCAGAACTGATTTGGATCAAATGATTCCAGGAAATTCCATTATAAGTACTTCTTTTATTTAAAGTTCATGATCATTCCTCAGGCCCCTTAGGTTGCTTAATTTTCTTATCCTTAACAATCTCCTTATGAGATATTGAGTGAATAGGATTTGTGCTATCTTGGGGCCATTTTATCAACTAGTTCTTGAAGGGGGCAGATTGATTTTCCCAAGGTTAGGTTTCATTTTATTAATTGATGTCCAACAGTTCCAGAATTTACTTAATTCAGGTGGAGCACAGTTGTTAGGCCATTAACTCTCCAGCTACATTTGTCTTCCATTAATCAAACTGAAATTCAGTTTCTAAGATAGGTTTTGCAAACCTCTTTACCCTCACTCCCTTTCTCTCCTCCTCCTTCCATTTGTTTAAAAAAAATTATTAAATTCCTGCTCCCTGCCAGACATTATGTCAAATGCTAGTAATGGATTGATGAATATGCTCCCGTTTTTAGGCATCTCATAGTACATGGGGGTAAAATCATACATGCTCTGACAGAGGAGCACAGAATAGGGAACTAAATCAGACCAGGTTAGGGAGGGGTAAATTAGAAAGGCTTCCTGGAAGTGGTGACATCTGAGCAGAGTTGTGAAGGTACATAGGAAGTAGCTAGCCAAGGGGTGGGGGTTGTGGGATGAGAAGGGGTGGGTATTCTATGTGAGGGTTAAAGACACATGAAAAGATTTACAAGTAGTCTATATAGCTGGAAAGAGGAGCATATTTGGAGAATTCTAGGAGATAAGATTAGATAAATAGGCAGAAGATAGATAATTTTGAGTTTTGGGTTTACATGAGGACTTTCAATTACTTCTTGAAATCTTTAGAAAGCCATTGTAGCATTTTATGCAATGGATTAACTTGATAAACTCTGTATTTTGCGAAGTTTATTCTGGTACAGGAATGGAAAGTGTATTTGAGAAAGGCCAAGAAATCTGTTGGAGGCCACTGCTGAAATATGAGAATGACGTGGATGAAAGTCTAAACTAAGGTAGCTGAAAAATTGAGAGAAAGGGACAAATTCAGGAGTCATTGAAAAGGTAGACAGTTTGGGACCTGGAGCCTGATTTGATGGAGTAAGTGACAGACACGGATAAACTCTCATATATTTGGTTTGGATATCTGCATCTTTAGTTGGTTCATTCACTGGAGGTGCAGAAGATCTGGTTTCTGGTAAAAGGTAGACGTTACCAACTGTGACATGTGGTTGTAGAGGTTTGCATTGGTTATCCAAGTAGAAATGTCTATTAGGCAACTCAGTTGAATGTTTTGAGCAAGAGATATAGATTATGGAGTTAGCCTATGAGCTGATGCTGTGGGTGTGGATGCCAAACTGCAGGGGTGCTGCATAATGTGAAAGGGCAGAGGATGAGGTTGGAGCTTTGGGAAGACTAGAACCAATTACATGGGAAGATATTTAATTGGTAACGAGAGGAACACATGAAAGACAGATAAACAGGAAGAGTAAGAGGTAGGAGAAAAAACAGAGAAGAGCAATGCAATTAATGGAAACTGAGAGGGTTTGAAGGAGTTGTCCTTAGTGTCAATTGTGCAAACATGTATATTAAGATCTACAGAATGTTTTGTATTGTATTCGGCATAAAGACATACTCATTGACCTCAGACTTGTACAGTTTCAGTAGAACATTATTGGAAGAGCTGAGTTTGAGACCTAATATTTTCCAGGTTATAAGGGTAACAGCTAAGTTAGGAATTAAAAATGAAATGGCACTTTGGGAGGCTGAGGCGGGCGGATCACTTTAGGCCAGGTGTTCAAGTCCAACCTGGCCAACATGGTGAAAACCTGTGTCTACTAAAAATACAAAAATTAGCCAGGTATGATGGTACATGCTTGTAATCCCAGCTACTTGGGAAGCTGAGGTGGGAGAATCACTTGAACCACGGAAGCGGAAGTTGCAGTGAGCCGAGATTGTGCCACTGCACTCCAGCCTGGGCAACAGAGTGAGACTTTGTCTCAAAAAAAAAAAAAAAGGAAAAAAAGAAAAAACAGTGGTAGAGTGGAAATAGATCTTGGACTCAAAACCAGGTTGGGGGCCAAAATGAGCAGCAAGTGATCTCAGACAGAAGCAGGCAGGAAACAAACAGGAGGCTCATAAAGATTCTATTGAAATATGATATGATTTTATCTGCCATGCCTCTGCTTAGGATATCTTAAAGGCATTTTGCAGCTTCTGCCATCACATTTCTGAGACATGTTTTGTATTGACCAGCCATTTCACACGCAGGGGACAAATTGGGTATCCTGAACTGTTATATGCACCTGCCCATCTGGCATTAAGTAGCTGCGCAATGTTCCAACACAATAAAGCAAAGTGCCAGTGGGAAGAAGAGTTCTTCATCATCTGCTACATAGACTCAGAAATCAATAAGTGCTTGACAGGCTGGTAAGCATTCTTTTGATGATGGATCCAATGCCACTGGAAGTACTTAAAAGCCTCAGCAATGTTTGTCTATTGTGAAAGAAAAACATAGTTGTAACTGGATGTCCTGAGAAGGTTGAAGCTCTTGCATTGCTTTCAGGATGGGCACGCTAAGAATATACATGTACCACATTTTGAGGGATATGAATCCAGTGGCATTGGTGAGGTAGCTAAGGAAGGTGTTCTTGGACATTTTAATTTGATGAGGGATGGGCAAGAGACAAAGGGTGCTGTGTGTGGGTGTCTGGATGGACACCACCTGGGCTTATTGTGTTTTCCAGTGAATTAGTGATAGCTGACTCTGGTTCTTCTGCTTGGATCATACCTTGTCTTATAAAGTGTACTCACCCGGACAGAAATACACTTTGTTAAAATAGACTTGAGTAAAGTATTTCACCCACTCTGATCACCAGAGTGTTTTTTGTAAGAATCTTGAGGCTCTATTCAATCCGCTTGTCTATCTATAACAGTATTGAAGAGTTCTGTAATTCAGTGCTTTATTAAGCAACAAAAGAATTTGTGGACAATGTCTGAATCCCCAATTTGGAAGGAGAACAACTTTATTCATATAGTTTAATACCACAAAGTATAAAACTGGACATTGGTGTTTGATATACATTTTGAGTTTCTTGGTGAAAACTTTTAGCCAGAAAAATTGTTTTTGTTCTGGTCTGTTTTGAATTTTCTAATATTGGACAAATTTAGCTGACCATTCTGTGTCAGCTAAATTTGATCCTCTTCTGTGATCCTCTTCTTTGTGTTACATGCTATTTTTGCTATGGTCTTTTGCCCAGGGATAAAACTTCCTTGCTTAAAGATCATTTGGTTTTTTCATTAATACTGTAAAAAATGTTTAACTTATTTTGATTTTCAAAATATTGTTCCCTGTTTTCTTCTTATCCCTGCAATGGGTGGTTGTTGCTGCCCCGTGTCTGCCTCTCCATTGTCCTATCAATCTCTGTCCTTGTGGTCCTTGCTCACCTTCCCCATGCAGTGCTCTCTGTCCTGACCTGCATTCTCCTCACTGTAGTAATGAATGGTTAAGAACTAAGGCTTTGGGATGAGATAGGCTGAAGCATAGTTCTAGCACCATCTTTACTTGCTCTGTGGTCTTGGACAAATCACTTGACCTTGATATATTTCAATTTTCTTTTCTTTTCTTTTTTTTTTTTTTTTTGAGAGACAGAGTCTGCTCTGTTGCCCAGGCTGGAGTGCAGGGTGCCATCTCACTCACTGCAAGCTCCACCTCCTGGGTTCATGCCATTCTCCTGCCTCAGCCTCCCGAGTAGCTGGGACCACAGGTGCCTGCCACCATGCCCGGCTAATTTTTTCTATTTTTTTTTTTTTCAGTAGAGACAGGGTTTCACCATGTTAGCCAGGATGGTCTCGATCTCCTGACCTTGTGATCCGCCTGCCTCGGCCTCCCAAAGTGCTGGGATTAGAGCATGAGCCACCATGCTCGGCCAGATATATTTCAATTTTCTCATCTCTGAAGTGAGATCATAATGGTACCTACCTCATAGGTTGTAGTAATGATTAAATAACAAAATGAGACAATATATGCAAAGTGCTTACACAGCACTGGCATGTAGTAAGTGCTTCATCATGTTTACTGATTCAATTCTGAATATACATATGATGTAATATAAGCATGGGAGTGATTGCCCATCACCTTTGCCATGTTCTATGTGTTAGAAGCCAGTCACAGGTCTCTCCTACACTGAAGGGGAGGGTATTACAAAGGTGTGAATACTAGGAAGTGGGCAATCTTTAGGGGCCACCTTAGGAGTCGTTGACCAAATGCTTGATATACTATCATAAGACAATACTGAACCATGGCCTAAATCTTGTTAATTTTATGAGAAAGATATCAAAATATGGTACCACATCTGAAGTTCTTAGAAAAGTCTGACTGTAACAGGAAGTATGAGCTGAAGCTATTTACTTTGTTTTTTTTTAAGCTTTTTTTTTTAAACAGTTTTTGTGGTTTCATAGTAGGTGTCTATATTTATGGATTACATGAGATATTTTGATACAGGCATGCAACGCATATCAATCACATCAAGGTAAATAAGGTCTCTACCATCTCAAGCATTTATCCTTTGTGTTACAAACAATCCAATAAACTCTTTTAGTTATTTTAAAATGCACAATTAAATTATTTTTGACTATAGTCACCCTGTTGTGCTATCAAATACTAGGTCTTATTCATTCTTTATAACAATTTTTTTTACCATTAACCATCCCCACTTTCCCCTCCCCCCCCCACTACCCTTCCCAGCCTCTGGTAACCATTCTTTTATTCTCTATCTCCATGTGTTCAGCTATCTGAGTTTTTAGCTCCCACAAATAAGTGAGAACATGTGAAGTTTATCTTTCTGTGCCTGCCTTATTTCACTTAACATAATGACCTCCAGTTCCATACATGTGTTGCAGATGACAGGATCTCATTCTTTTTCACGGCTGAATAGTACTCTATTATGCATATGTACCACATTTTCTTTATCCATTTATCTGTTGATGGACACGTAGGTTGCTTCCAAATCTTGGCTGTTGTGAATAGTGCTGCAAGAAACATGGGAGTGCAAATATCTGGAAGCTACTTCCTTCAAAAAGTCCCCTTGCAGCTAAAAAGCTTAGGAAAGGTCGACATATTTTTAAAAGAATTTTTTGGGAAATAAGATAAGGGTATTGAGGTCTGAGAAAAGTGGAAAGAGTTTGGGATAGACCAAGTGGTTAATATGATACTAGTTGATCAAATTGGAGGGAAAAATTGCTAAGTAACAGTGAGCCTCTATCTTAGACTGGTTGGGATGAATTTGTAATGGAACCGACTCACAGTTTTAAGACTTTGTGCAACAATGCTGGACAGTCTGGAAGCAGGATAAGAAAAAGAAGTAAAGTTTAATCAGGGATAAGGATTGGCGAAACAAGGACAGTGGAAACTTAGAGTGTGGGGAATTCTAAATCTTATTACTGTTGCAATTTGGCTTGTCTAGCTGAAAATGGTTAATTTTTTTCTATCTTAAATTATGAACTATTCCAAATATCAGAACAGAATGTAAAATAATGTAGTAGGTAACCACCTATTCCCAACTGTATTTAATAGGTATTAAAATTGCACATATTTCCTTCAAATATTTTTCCCTTTTTGAAAATAACTAAAACTACATATCCTATTTTATCTTTCTTCTTTTTTCCTTCCTTAATGAAGATTTGAGGTTTGCAGTTAGTATCATATCTGTTTCACTGGGTCAGTATGTATAATCTTAGAATGTCATTTTGTAAGAAGGGAAGTCTTTAACATACTCATTAGCAAGTAGTGCATACAGCATAAAGAAGAAGAGAGTTACAACAAACTTTGAGGACAACAGTCAATGCCCAGATGTTTTGTTGCAACATTAATGTGCCTGATTTCAGAGTAAGCATTAAAATGCTTTAATATCCAGTTGGCTTAAAATATGAAGGGCAGAAAAACAAATGCACTCTTCTGTGGAGGAGTTAAACTGAAAAGCAAAGGGGGCTCTTGTCTAGCACAAGCTAGAAGAGATAATTGTTCATTAGGGAGTGTGAAGTCTATCGTAAGTAAGCACAACCACATTCATTAGCCACTTCCCTGCTTTCTATCTGTAATGGGCATTAAGTTTCTTTGTGTTCAACTAGAATGAATTCTGGGTTTTCCACTACAGGCTCTTTCTTGTGTTTCTAATATTCTGCACTTTGATCTTTTTTCTCTTTGGATTTTCACTAAATTGGTATAAACTTACTGTTTACTGAATGTTCATGCCCCCTCATTTATACGTTGAAATCCTGACTCCCATGGTAAAAGGAGTGGGGCCTCTGGGAGTAATTAGACCATAAGGCTGGAGCCATCATCAATGGAATTAGTGCGCTTAAAAGAGACATGAGAGAGTTTGCTCTGTCTGTGCTTTCCACTATGTGAGTTCTCTTCAAGAAGGTATCTGTCTGCAAACCAAGAAGAGGGCCCCCACCAGACCTGAGCCTGCTGACATGCGGGCTTTAGACTTCCCAGCCTCTAGAACAGTGAGAAATAAATGTATGTTGTTTAAGCCACCAAGTGTATGGAAATTTGTTACTTTAATCCAAGCTGACTAAAACAAACAGATTGTAAATTATCTCTTAAGTAATGTACTCAAAATGTATGACAAGTTCTCAGAGAATATACAGAGTACATAGAAATCAAGCTCTCAGAAAATGTAGTACATGTAGAAGTCAAGTTCTCAGAAGATATAGAATGTACTTAAAAAAGCACTCAACCAAACAGAAGACACTTATATAAAAAGCTACCTAAAGTATGCTTATAATGATTGATGAGTATTACATTTTGTTACTAAGCATTACCAAAAGTCAGAAATCTAGGATGTCACCAAAATTACTATGTTTGTTGAGTTTTGGAGACAAGTCTAGCACCTTAACTTACTTGAAGGCCGTACCATTTTGACAAATAAAGAATCTGTATCTCTAGGTGTCAGGGTCATCTTCAGATTTAACCCTAGGGTCAGCTCAGTCTAAACCACATACTTTGGTCTTGTTTTCTGGGGAGCAAATAGCCTAGCCTTCTCTCTTACAGCTTACAGGTGGTTAAATGCCTCTAACAACAAGCAAGCCACCATATAAAAGAGTGCATATGGGAAAGAACATGAGTATGTAAATCTGGGGAACTGTTAGGGGTGTGAGTAGCTGGGAATGGGTTATAAATGCACTTATAGTATTATATAATGGAAGTTCAAGATTCATTCAATTTATACCACATACATACTGACTGGCTACTTTGTGCCAGGTACTCTGAAGAGGAAAGGCAAATATGTGAAAATTGTTACTCTAATGGTATTAATGCAGATTGTTGAAACCCTGTGAGAGGATAGGGAACTTCCTTCTTCTGGTGGTGGGGCTTGATTCAGTAGGTGATAGGCTGGATTCTTTGGAGTATGATTATGCCATTGAGAGACCTATACAGCCTCTTTATAATTGATTAGGTAAAGAGGGTATATAAGAAACTTATTGGACATATTGAGATACTCCTTAGAGATTTTTCCTGGAGGTCAACTCTGTGAAGGCTATATGACATTGAAAAGCAAATGCTACAACCTGGGAGAATTTCAGCAGAATCTGATATACTCACATTGTGATATCATCTGTTGAACAGGAAGAGAAGGAAAAAGGCTCTCAACTAAAGTTTTCCTCTGGTATTTGTAAGATTCAAGTTTGAGAGGCCAGATGCGGTGGCTCATGCCTGTAATCCCAGCACTTTGGGAGGCCAAGGCGGGTGGATCACCTGAGGTCGGGAGTTTGAGACCAGCCTGACCAACGTGGAGAAACCTCGTCTCTACTAAAAATACAAAATTAGCCGGGCGTGGTGGCGCACACATGCCTGTAATCCCAGCTACTTGGGAGGCTGAGGCAGGAGACTCACTTGAACCCAGGAGGCAGAGGTTGCGGTGATCTGAGATCACGCCATTGCACTCCAGCCTGGGCAACAGGGGTGAAACTTAGTCTCAAAAAAAAAAAAAAAAGATTCAAGTTTGAGAGTGTCTTCTAGCATACGATTTCTGATTAGCTGAATGAAGGTGACACTGGACTCTGTAGAGGTTCTCATTCACATCTCATAGTGCTGAAACAATCAGACAGAGTCTTCCTTTGGTAAGGAAAGTAGCTAAAGCCAGGATAACTAGGCATTATACCCATT